>NC_000008.11:7971608-8276089 GCF_000001405.40 Homo sapiens | reverse complement strand
CCTTAATTAAACTTTGAGATGATTTTACTTCCTGTTGCATTCTTAATTCCAACGTATTGCTAAAATAGTTTAATACATATACATCAGATTTTCACTTACCATCTTTTTGTTCTCAGGGTCCGCATTAGGGACTTACGTAACACATTGTATCTTTATCCGTGAACATTTAATGACATATTTATACAGCCAAGACGTTGTTCATCTCCCATTCTTTCCGGCTTACCTTCCCCCATCCGATGCTTCTGATCCAGTTCATTTGGTCCTTGGAAAGCTCCTTTTCTGAAGTATTTACCTCGGGTGGGGTACTCAATGATTTATTCTCTGCATTAATGCGTGTTCTCAAATATCTCTGTGTGTTTCATGTTGCTATAACAGAATACCCGAGGCTGGGTAATTTATAAAAAGGTTTATTTAGCTCACAATTCTACAGACTTGGAAATTCAAGGGCATGACCCTGGCTCCTGGTGAGGGCTTTTGTGCTGTGCACATTATGGTGGAGAAGGTAAAAGGGGAAGCAGATACATGAGAAGAGGCAAACCTGAGGGGCATTCTGTCTTTATAGCAATCCACTCTTCAGGAATTAATCCATTCCTATAACTAATCCAGTGTCACTGGAGCAAGAACTCACTCACTACCTAGATAATGGCACCAAGCCATTCATGAGGGATCCACACCCATGATTCAAACGCCTCCCGCTAGCCCGCACCTCCCAACATCACCACTTTGAAAACCAAATTTCAACTTGCATTTTGGTGGGCACAAACCATACGCAAATCATAGACCTTTCTCTCACCTTAATAGATAAACAACTGCCTAGTATAGAATTCCTGGGATTTTCTCTCAGTTGCATGAATTTAAAAATTCACTGTCTTCTAGTTTTCTGAGTTGCAGGCAAGAAGTCCCATGACAGTTTTATTTTTTTTTCTTCCAAAAAAGAAAAAAACCTGGAAATTTATTTTACCAAGATATGCCCACCTGCCTGTTTTTCTTAAGAATTCAGCTAAGAATTCTGAGCTTTTCTTCTTTGAAGACAGGCTTAGGAAAACTTTCTCCTACATTGTATAAAATTATTTCTTCTACTCCATGTGTTCTTTCTTCCTCTTTTACAACGTCTGTTATTCAAATGATAGGCATCCTGCTTCTATTTTCCGAATCTCTCACCTTTTCCATTATGATTTCTCCCTCTGTATTTTGCTCTGGGATTTGTGATGCTGTTTGTACTTGACCTTCCAGGCTACTCATTCCATTCTCATCAATCACCATCCATTTTCTTAATTCCTCTACTGAAATAGTAAGGTTTTCAAAAGCTCTAGGAAGTCTTTTTCTTTTACTTGCTGTTCTGTTGTTTTGTTCTTAAGGGTTTTTTTAACTTTTTATTTAGGAACTTATTTGCACCACCAGGTCTGTGCCGCTGCTTGTGTTATCTGATGGTTGTATCGATTTGTCCTCTCTTTGGCTTCCGAACAAAGTTAAATATACTATTATTTTTCTCTGATGGCCTATTTGAGCTCAGGCTTATTTTTTTGTGTACTACTCTAAAGATCAGGAAACTCTCAGGCCAAGGGATCTCATTCCTGTGAGCCGGGTTGTAGAAAATGACACACCTGGGGACACATCCTCTCAATGGCTCAGGTGTCTCAGAGGCATTTAGAGGAAGCATTCCTGCTCCCAGGATTATCTTGGGCTCTCCCAGTGCTAAGGGCAGGAAAAACTTGTCCAAATCTTTAAGTCCCTTGGGGAGTCCTGGCACACTCAGGTAGGACAGGGTGGAAGCTCTCCCCCCACCAAGGGTGCACATGGCTTGGCAAGACTTGCTCTTGTCTCCAGCTCACCCGGCTCAACACCACCTCTTTCTGTGAGGGAGGGGAGCTCCTGAGAGCGCAGGGTCTCGTTTATATTCACTGTGGGTCCTGAATCTTGAAAGGCAAATATCTTGGATTTGGGTGTGGAAGGGAAGATAATTTCACTTAAAGGACCATTTTCTGAAAATTCCCTGCCCAGTTGTTTCTCCTGTAAAAATAGAAAATTTAGACTAGTGTTAGATAATACTGAAGAGCTCTTTTGGCTCCAAAAAAATCTATACATTTGACAGCTACAGTAATTGATGGGATTAGAACATGTCACGAAAGGAACATTTTAGGGCAGGTTCTTTTACGAAGAGAAGAGTTTTTGGGCTGTAATGCAGATAGGAAAAATCGGGAGACAAGAAACTGAGCTTGAGACTGGATGACAAATGCCTCCAGTTTTTATATCTTCAAATTCTGATCATATACAAAATATAAAGTGTTTTCTTCCCATAACCTAGAGAAGAGATGGGGTCTTACTCTGTCGCCCAGGCTGGAATGCAGTGGTGCGACCTCGGCTCACTGCAACCTCTGTCTCCTGGGTTCAAGCAATTCTCCTGCCTCAGCCTCCCCAAGTAGCTGAGACGGGCTTTCACCATGTTGGCCAGGCTGGTCTCGAACTCCTGACATCAAATGATACACCTGTCTCGGCCTCCCAAAGTGCTGGGGATTACAGGTGTGAGCCACTGCGCCCAGCCTGGAAGTTCTCAAATTTTGATGTGCACATGAATTCCCTGAAGTCACATCGCTGCAGGTTCTGATTCAGCAGGTCTGGGATCAGGCTGGAGATTCTTACCAGTGAGGACACCCACACTGCTTGCCTGTAATCGCATTTCAGTAGCGAGGCCTGGAGTATTTGTAATGGTGTATAGCCCTCTGGTGGCCATAGCGGGAATGTACAACCATTTTGTTACACACTGGTACCTTCTTTTTCTGCGACTGTTAAAAAAATAAATCCCTCCCCAAAGCCAGCAACTGATGTAGCTGTAACCAGCATAATATTGGCAAAGCCAACATAGTTTATTAATTTGGACTCTATTAGTTGGGAATTTGGAGTCATTCCAGACAGACCACACTGCCAGTGACGATTAACGAAGAGACATGTTTAGTCTACTTAAACGCTAAGGCAAATGCATTTTTTCCAAAACAACATGAGAAACCAACCTCGTAGTAGCCTTTATATACAAATAATAAGTGAGTAACAAATGATTCATTTTTATTAGTTTTTTTAAAATTCTCTAAGCTTTTAATTTGATTCCCCTATCCCTGTCAAGTGCTGCCATAAATTGCGTTTTTTATACAGGGTTCTCCAATTCAGGCCTGTCTCTATGAATCAGACTAGCCTACTCTTTAATTAAGAAAAATGGGGCAGTTTTATAGTAATTTTGAATTTCTCAGACTTTTGGCTCCTCTCAGTCTATGCTTCTCAAACAGAAAATTAAAAAAGGGCTATAGCACTTGACTAACTATTGTCAGTGGTTCAAATTAAACAAAGAACGCATAAATGTTTGGAAGGTATTCAACTTAGGAAACACTACTTTTTTCTGTTTTTTTTTTTTTTTTTTGCTACAAATATGCTTCTTATTTTGAATGTTAATAGACACATTTCCTGGCTTTGCCATGGTAAATAGATAAATGTTCCAGAAATCATTCCATTTTTTGAGATAACAAAATTATTATCATTCTAGGATGGAAAGTGAACATCCTACCCAAAGAATGTACATATACGCAAACTCGAAGTCCACCTCATTGAAATAAACTTGCAAACTATTGTCAATATCAACTTGACGCTGACATAAACCTCTTACCTCATGTGTCACCCGTTATCACTGGACCGTAGCCCTGAGCAGATACTGGAAAATCGTTCACTGGCTCAGGGGAAGTTTCCTGAGAATAGTCATGACAGTGTCCCTGTTTGTATGTGGACGCTAAATGAGATCCCAAAATGAGACTGTTTGCTTTGCTGATTTTCCGTAGTATCATTATATCCCTTTATGTTACAAGAGTTTCACAGATCTTGTACATTCTAGGAAGTTTTATATGTTGATTCAAACCTTTTATTTATCAGCCTTATAAAAACAACTGGAGTAATTACTACTAATGATCTGGGCTTGGCAATTATTGAGAGAACTGTCTGCATAAATAATTTCAAAGGCTCCTGTTTGGGGGTTTAGGAGTTAGGGTGACTTTTTCTGTAAAGACTTGGTGAGAAGTACAGAAAAATGGTTATTTCTAGATGTTTCCCTACCCTTAGAGCCTCTAAAATCAAACAACAGTTTATATGCATTTCTGACTCAGGTTCATGTGGATCATGAATATAACCAGACGTCACCTGTTAATGGCCTTGATAGTTGGTTTATTAACCTTGATAGTTTCATTACATTTTAAAATATCTATCATAGAGATAAAGCAGGTGAATATTCCCCATGCCTAGCAGCTGGTTTTGCTTATCTGCAATTCATAAGTGTTCATTACATCAAGGTATAAGGAAGGAACAGAACCTGGATTGATACCTGAAATTCAAGACATCAGTCACTTTCTACTTTAAAATCTAATTGATCCCTTTCTTTAATTTATTTTTTGTTTGTTTTTGATTTTGTTGTTGCTGTTGTTGTTGTTTTGAGGTAGGGTCTCACTCTGTCACTCAGGCTGGAGTGCACTGGTGCAATCTCAGCTCTCTGCAACCTCTGCCTCCTGGGTTCAAACGGTTCTCCTGCCTCAGCCTCCCGAATAGCTGGGACTACAGGCACTCACCACTATGCCTGGCCAACTTTTGTATTTTTAGCAGAGACAGGGTTTCACCATGTTGGCCAGGCTGGTCTCGAACCCCTGGCCTCAAGTGATCCACCTGTCTCAGCCTCCCAAAGTGCAGGGATTACAGGCATGAGCCACCGTGCCCTGCTTAAATCTAATTTTATTTCCCTCCATGTCTTTCATTCTATGGAGTTTTTCTACTAAGTGAAGCTGAGAAAACAAAAGTAATAATTGGAGGGATGTTTAAGACAGAATTCGAAGCCAGCAGTTCCATATGCCAGCTTTTTGCAACAACTTAAAGGAAATAGTAAAGAAGCAACATTGGTTAGAACAAATGTATATTTCACTACCCAAACCCCCAAATCACACAAGAAATGGGGCACCCATGTTCTTCCATACCTTTGATGCCCATTATGACAACCACAAAAGCCACTGGAAAAAAAAATTAAACATTTATGGGATCTGTTTATCCAGAAGTTGAGTAAGGAAAGAGGTGGGGACAAGACACAGCTCCCAGTGGATGTGAGGAGTTTCCATCTCCCAGGAAGGAGCGACTAACACCAGCTTGGGGCTTCTTGCACCCCAAATATTAAATAATTCATTCTGTATTGTTACATTTCCTGACTTCTAAAAATCAAACATATATTTAAGATATAACCTGAAGTGTTAAGTAGGTAATGGGTACCAGTAATTCCCATAGGGGATAGAATCGGTTTACTCCGATGACCTCTCTCCTGCCTCTGCAAGACACTTAAGGAACAGCAGCTTTCACAAAGTAGAAGGAAAGGAAGGATGACTGTCGATTATGGACTTATCTCTGCCTCAGATGAGGCTGGCCAGAGTACACACTCAGTCTGTGGGTAGGGTGGGGCAGAGGAAGGAGGTATTTCTCTCTGGGAGTCATGGGGCAATGTACAGATAGGTAAATACTGAAAACCAAGTCCCTGGAAGAATGCAAAGTCAGGGCCAAAATAAACATTCCAAACTGGGACAGCAATCCCAGGAGCCAAACAATGAATGGGAAGTAAGGTAAGGTGCCAAATGGGTTAGAAAAACAAGGCAGAAGAGAACCGCGGAGAGAGAGTATCGGGCAAGACCCAAAGAGGGGGCCATGACTGAGAAGTCATGCAGACCACATTTAGAAGAACTAAAATGGCTCAGAACTAACACCCGCCCCCGACCCCTTTCCCAGCAGGCCTTCTCCTTTAGAATGTCTCTAGGTTTGCCTGGGAGAAGCCTCTAAAGATTTCTGGAGCCTGCATTTCAAAGAAGGAAAGTGGGCTCATTGTCACAGTGGATCAATTCCTGGAGCCCCTGTTGGGTCCTTGGCGGGTGCTCTTGGTGTCGCAGGGAGCTATGCAGAGTGGTGTGGATGTTTTCAAAAGAGGGAAGCTAGAGGCAGAAAGCCATAGGGTTGGTGGCCTCAGACACCTTGAAGGGCCCAGGAGGCCCTCTGGTTTCTGGAATATCAGCTCTGCAACAATCTGAAGGAGATTCAGGCATCTTCCATTGAAATGTGTTCCCTGGGGGATGGACAGCTACCAGATTATGATTTATTTTGACCTTAGCACACCACAGGGTTGACTAGGGGTCTTTTGAAGTGGAACCCCCAACCTCTAGGTACCCATCAACTGCCAGGCCTATTGCTATAGAAAGGGACATTCTTGGGGAGGTACACAGGGCATTGTGACAGTAAAGGCCACTAAGTGGAGACAATGAACTAGTTATTTTGGTCCCTGTAGAGCTGCAGAAGCTTCCTTTGGGTTTGCCCTTTTACCAAGCTAATGATTAATTATTTATATAAGTCAACACAGTAATAAGCAATTTATGTGCAATTCCCACTGAATCCTTCCCACACTCTATAGCAGACCCTCCCCAGCATCCACGACCCTGTTTTTCCCTCTATAGCACCCCAATTCTGTTTTGTTCTCCACCTCCACCCGCCTTGTACCCCAGAAGCAAGATGCCTCCTTCTCTGCTGTACAATGGCTCTGGTTTGTTTGAGGGCCTCCCATTTCTTTGGCTAGTTTCTCTTTCAGGAACAAGCATATGACCAACTTTTGGCTAACAGGACCTTGAGGGGACGTGTACCAGAGATCTAGGATGCGCTCCTAGGAGAGAGCTGTGAGAAGGGGGAGCTTCTCTTCTTTCCCTGTTGCACACTGTGCCTAAATCTAATTTTTAGAGCTGCCATCTTGCTACTTGCCTGAGGTTGAAACCTACAAAAGGAGAAAGATGGACCAAGAGGGCCACAGAGAAATGCAGCCAGGGATCTGCTCTTCCATCCCTGGGGCAGATTACGTTTTCTATAAGATAATGCATCTCTTTATTTTTTAACCAATTTAACTGTAGATTTCTGCCTGCTGCAGTCAAATCATCTTAACTGCCACAACAATATGAGGCACACTTTTTTTTCCTCCCTATTCTATACATGAGGAAATTGCAGCTTAGAGAGGTTGGGCAATATTTCCAAGGTTATACAGCTTCTTAGGTGGGGTCAAGACTTGAAGCCAAGGTGGCTCAACTCCTAAGCCTGTTTTCTTAACATGCAATTCTGAACCCATGTGATATCACACCTGGGTGATATGACTCATCTGATTCTGAGTCAGAAGGTCGTAGGCTATGGACACAGATGCAAAAGGCTTTGAGTATGCTGGGGGCTCCCAATTCAGGGTCGCTGACTTCTTGTCAGTGTGCTGGTCCTGGAGTTGGCCCAATGGGGATGGTGACAATGGAGGTCCAGGACAGCTGGAACCAGGGGGTCACATGTGAATAAGAGAGGAATTCATATGGATCAATAGGAATCTCTCTACATTATATAAAGACTTTCATTCATCCTACATGAGTCATCTTAAATGCCATTTCATCAGAGATGGTTTCCTTCTACACCCAAGACTTGGCCAATCCCGGCATCACATGCTTTTGGAGCACCCTAAATGTATTATATGAATCTCAATTGTAATTAGGTGATTGGTTCATATTTGCCTTACCTATAGACTATAAATTCCTTCCTTTTTTGCTTCTTTCCTCGAATCCCACCTAGGTCCAAGCCATTTATGTGGTTTTCATACCAAGTGAGAAGGGAGCATTTGTCAAAACAGACAATACATCTACAGGCAATGGGCCAGTCCTGAGTGCAGTGCTACATGTAGGCAAGGAAGTGGGGGTTCCAAGGTCAGGCTGCAGGAGAGGGCTGAATCCCTAGGGTCTAAAGAGAGCGTGCCACCATGACATATATAGCATGCATACATGACAGCATGGCAGAGTAAAGACAGGAAATCAAAGAAGATCAAAGATAACCCCCATCGGTTTCAAAACTTTGATTTTAAATTCCATATGTGGAAAAGAAGGAGCAGCATTACACAACCTCTTTACCAGACACACACACACACACACACACACACACACACACACACACGAACTTGAACTAGTTCTTTTGTAACTACAATCAAATTAAGATTTTGGGGACTGGTTTAAAAACTTAATTGTCATTTGCAATTTAATTCTTATTGGAAAACGCTTTGAGAGTTCCTACAAATATGTGTTGCCTACAGAGTTCATAAAATCCAATTATTGCTTTGCGTTGAAGTGAATTTTGTTGATTTCAGCTCCTTCTAAAGACAAGTGTAATGCCTGGAACCTAGCAGATGCTCAATAAATAATTATTTAAAAAGGGAAGAAAATTGAGTATTGACTATGTGTTATGTCTATGCAGAAAATAGAAAGAAATGCATTTACTTTAACAAAGAGTGCATACGTTACTAAGGATATGGTTGCAGATGGAATTCTCTTCAACCAATATTGGCTGAAGAAGAAGAAAGAAAATAGCTAAGAAACCTCAATGTTGTTAGAAGCAAGAGGAAGCTGTAAGAAACTAAGGCCAGTTTAGGGCCTGCTGTTCCTTCCTTCATCATGAATAGGTGTCTATTCAGCACAATACTCATAGTACTCCTGTAGATATCACTTAATTGTGAAGTGCACATAAAGAGATATAATACATGGTATAATACACCACAATCACACTGCCCTTTAAAGTCATTATATGAGCATGTTATTCTCCTGCTTAAAGATACCACATTGCCCATAGGATAAAGAGAAGAATCTTTAGTTTGCATGTTCAACCTAACTCACCAGCCCCGTCTCAAGTTGTTCTCCTGCCCACTTTCTGCCTTTCAAACCTACTGGGCTTTGGGTCCTTTGAATGCTTCATTCTCCTTTCCACATACAGTACAGTTTTATGCACATGATATCATCACCCTCTCCCTTCACCTAGGTAACGCCTACTCACCCTTCAGAGGTCAAATGGAATCTTGCTTATGGAGGAAGACCTCCCTAAATCTCCTAGACTGGTTCCAGCTGCTCTGCCATGACCTGTCATGCAAGCTCTGTGCCTCTTCATCCAAATAGTGATTAAGCAGATGGGCAAATTATGTGTTTAATGTTTGTCTCCCCTCTAGAATTCAAACTTGAGGAGAGCAGGCATGTTTTTCTTATGTTTTTCTTATCTCTGTTGAATTTGTAGGGCCTAAAAATTGCTTTGTGCATTTTTGTTGAATGAATGAAAGAATGGATGCTGATTGCAGTTATCTGCTCATGCTCAAGCTTCTGTTGTGGGCTTCTTTTCTCAAAAAAAAGTCAGAGTTGTTTCGGATTCTTCCCTGAGTCCTTATTTTTCTCTCTTTAGTTAGCCTTCC
The DNA here is from genome assembly GCF_000001405.40 of Homo sapiens. Classification (NCBI taxonomy): domain Eukaryota; kingdom Metazoa; phylum Chordata; class Mammalia; order Primates; family Hominidae; genus Homo; species Homo sapiens. The sequence continues at coordinate 8,266,797 of NC_000008.11, read as the reverse complement.
AGTGAGATGCCAGGGCGTCGTTCACCATCCTGATATTTATTTATGTATTTATTTTTGAGATGGAGTCTCGCTCTGTTGCCCAGGCTGGAGGGCAGTGGCTCACTTGGCTCACTGCAGCCTTCGCCTCCCGGGTTCAAGCAATTCTCATGACTCAGAGTAGCTGGGATTACAGGCATCCACCACCATGCCCAACTAATTTTTGTATTTTTAATAAAGATGGGGTTTTGCCACATTGGCCAGGCTAGTCTTGAACTCCTGACCTCAAAGGATCTGCCTGCCTTGGCCTCCCAAAATGCTGGGATTACAGGCATGAGCCACTACACCCATCCTCATCCTGATGTTTATGACTGCAAAATGTGTATCTCCTGCCAAGACTTCTCTCCACAATTTCCCACCCTCAGAACAACTGCTTCTCGGACACCCTCATGTTGGTCTCACACACAAGTACCTATACTTCATTTTTGGTACAAGCCCCTTTGTAAAACTCTCGTCTAGTTATTCCAGTAATTTCTTTGTTCACTTTCTCCCCAAGCTTTCAGAACAACTGGCAACTCTAGAATGCAGCTTCTCCCTGTTGCTGATGAGCCTTTGCGCAGCTGTGTTCAAACACGCAGAGAGGAGTTGGAGGAACGGTGAAATGCAGGATATTTTGTAGGAGAGTAGCATAAGGACAGTATTTCAGACAGCTTTATTTCCCTTATTCTGGAATCTTAAGCATTATATTTCCATCAATGACTTGGATGATGAAATAGCTATATTCAGGAAGTTTGCAGAAAATATTTACAAGCTTTTAATTGAAGGACACTTCATGAATTGGAAAAATAACAAGAACATAATTAAATGAAATGAGAGGAAAAGCAGAGTACTGCAAGAAGGGGAGAAACTTAAGAAAGGGAAAAGAACATTTGCTCCAAGAAAGTGTGGCTATCAAAGATTAAGAAAAGCAAAATGGCATCTGATATGGCTGGGCTGTGTCCCCACCCAAATCTCATCTAGAATTGTAGTTCCTCTAATTCCCATGTGCCATGGGAGGGACATGGTGGGAGGTAATTAATCATGGGGGTGGTTACCTTCATGCTGTTTTTGTGATATCGAGTGAGTTCTCATGAGATCTGATGGTTTTATAAGGGACTTTTCCTCACCTTTGCTCTGCACTTCTCCTTGCTGCTGCATGTGAAGAAAGACATGTTTGCTTTGACTTCCACCATGATTGTAAGTTTCCTGGGGCCTCCCCCGCCCTGCGGAACTGAGTCAATTCAACCTTTTTCCTTTATAAATTACCCCATCTTGGGTATGTCTTTATTAGCAGTGTGAAAACAGACTAATACAGAGTCTTAGTGGAAAATGCTACAGCATCACACTTCCAAAGCTGATTTGCTTCTGGTTGCATAAACACAATGCAGGCAGGAAGGAAAAGGAGCTGATTGGTGCAATGAAAACATGCCTGATCCAGGAGCCTGAAGATGAAGATAAATTCAAGTCCTAGTTCCTCTGTACGTGAGGCCTCAGCAGACTAGGAGCCCATTCAATTTGGGAGAAAACAGAGATCATCTAATAGAAACTTCTCACTAAAGACAAGAAATTTGAGCCCACAGAGAAGGAACTTCCAATGTCACACACCAGGAAATTGTAGCGAGAGACCCTCTTTCTTCCAAACTTGGCTATCTCATAAACTTATAGGGAAAAACACCTGAGATTCTGTTTGTAAGCAATTATTTCAGCATGCAATTTCAATGGAAGTATTGTTGAAAGGAGCAGCCACTTGTAATCCTCATTTATAAAGTAACAGTGGTCAAGTTAAAAATAGCTGTCAACACTAAAATATACAAGTGGACCTATTCCACTTCTCAAGAGCCAAGAGAGCACCTAAAAGAGAGCCAGAGAACTGAGGAGTAAGTGGTACAATAGAAAGCTAGGAGAAATAGTTAAGGACACCTATTTTTATTAGTGGATATTTATTAAACATTTATTAAGACATTGAGGTAGGTGTTGGGGATCCAAAAATGACAGGCACAGCCCCATCTCAACAGAACTTACAATCTAATAATAGCAGGCAAATGCATAACAAATACATTCACTAATGCAAAAGAATTAGAACAGAATTGTGCTCCGTGTCACAGAATTATGTTCTGGGACCAACGGGGGCACTAAGGAAGAAAGGACAGACGTTCCCGTGAGTGGTGATCTCATGAGAGTAATTATTAAACCAGAAATGTGTCCTGCCCAGGAGTGGCTCCTTTAGAGCAATGACAGATCTAGTTACACTTGAAATTAGGAGAGAGGGGCCGGGCGCAGTGGCTCACGACTGTAATCCCAGCACTTTGGGAGGCTGAGGCAGGTGGATCACGAGGTCAGGAGATCGAGACCATGCTGGCTAACACGATGAAACCCCGTCTCTACTAAAAATACAAAAAAATTAGCTGGTCGTGGTGGCGGGCGCCTGTAGTCCCAGCTACTCGGGAGGCTGAGGCAGGAGAATGGTGTGAACCCTGGAGGTGGAGCTTGCAGTGAGCTGAGATCTCCCCACTGCACTCCAGCCTGGGCGACAGAGTGAGACTCTGTCTCAAAAAAAAAAAAGAAGAAAGAAATTAGGAGAGAGGATGAGCTTTTGTTGTAGCATCAAAAGAGATGGGCAATAATGAGGAAAAATAGCTTTACAATGAAAGTTATTCCAAAAATTATTTGCTATAAATGGTATAGAATCTTCTTTCTTAGAGAAAGGATACACTGTCATCTGGCTGGGGTGGCTTAACTATGTTCACTAAGGTTCTCAAGACTGCTAAACTGTTATTTTTGCAAAAACACAATAACTTTAAAAATTGGCTGTAAGCATGCCTGCTTAAGCACTCTAAATGCAAACAATTACTGCTTATATAACAGTGACTCATACCCTATGGTGTCACCTAAAACCTGACTATTCTCCAAAGCTTTCTAGTTATAGATGGAAATTCTCATACTTAAAAACTTGTAACTTACAAGCCATCACAGGTGCAAAGCTATTTTCCAGAGCAAAAGCATATCAACTCCGTCTGGCAACAAGACATGCAGTAACAATTATGCACCATCCTTTTAGTTCAAATATACTTTTGCCCGAGGCATTAGCCATTATTCTAGTGTGTATTTGCTATGTTTACACTTAGTTTTGAGATACTTTATGAACATTTACTCCAGTGTCTCAAATAAATGCAAAAACAATAAAGCTTGTAAAAAAAAATACTAGATTGAAGAAGCGGACAATCACAAATGAAACAAAAGTAGAAATATGGTATTAGAAAAAATTTTAAGAAAATGATATGTGCGTAAGACGTTTCTCTTTGGCTCATAGGAATAATTCAGTATGACAAAGCAATTTGTAGAAACTGCTGCTCTAATCATCTTTAGCAAAAGATGAGAAAGAATAACTACCAAAATGGAAAAAAAAAACAGAACAAAAAACCACAGTGAGCGTGGCAAAATTTAATGAAGAAGAAGCCTGGAAGATTATCCAAAGCTTCAGCATGGTAAAAGTAGCCAGGCACTAGGGTGGCCAGCCACACTTGTAGGTGCCTAGGTCTTTTCAGATCTGCATAATGCAAAAGTCACTGGTGACATGTCCATCACAAGCAAAAGTGAGTGGTGACACATCCATCACAAGCAAAAGTCAGTGGTGACATGTCCAACACAGATGGGGCAGCGGTTCTCTGTTGGTAGACTCCGTCCCATACAGGGGAACAAGGCTTAGTGATTAGAACAAGGCTGCAATCCGGCTTCCATTTGCCACCTCAGTTGGGTGGCCAACCTGCATCTACAAATTGCTTGCTAGAAAACTCCTCACAACACAAGTGGCACTCATCCTGAAGTGGGGATACCTACCCAAAATATTTTTGTTATAGTGAAAATCGATCTGGTTTGGAAACAGATGCCAAGTGGAACTTACAATATCAAGGAGGAAAAGACTCTGATTGTAAAGCTCTTAGAAGAACAATTCACTGTCCTACTGGATGATAATGCAGTGAGGAACCACAATCACAAGCCTCTTGTAGCCATAAGAACCTACATGGGGGAAATTGGCTTATTTACAAATTTTTAGGTATGGTTGGTGGTAGGCAAACATGTTCACCAGCAATTCCTTCTACCACTGGTTGCATGCGCCGTTTCTTCCATTAAGAAATGAAGTCTATTTCCTTTCCCCTTGAACCTGGCCAGATCTTTTAACTTGCTTTACTTGCTTTGATTTCTCCCCCTAAAAGAATATAACAGAAACGACACTCTTGAACCTCCGAGCCCAGGACTTAAGATTGACAGTTTCTTCTTTCTCCCTCTTGGAAGCCAGCTGCCATGTACATAGTCCAACTACTCTGAGGTCAATATGCTACAAAGAAGCTCAGGCTACCAAAGGAAAGATCAAATAGAGGAGAACCAAGGAACCCCAGCTATGCCCCCAGCTCATCAGCCAACTAAATGCAGTTGCTACAATGATCCCAGGCAAGACCATCAGGAAAACTTAACTGGTTAACTTATGAAATCAAGAGATATAATATATTGCTTTACTTTTAAGCCACTAAGTTTTTTGGTTGTTTCCTTTGCAGAGCCTAATTAGATCATAAAAGTAGAGGAGCTTTTGTAATAACAGATGTGTGAGCCAAAAAAATATATAAACAGATTCCTCCACAAGATTCCATGGAAACCACAGTGAGTGGCAGGATGGCAATAATCCACACATGAAGAAACAAAGGCAAAAAGAAAAATTTTCTATAAGAACCTCTGCAAATAGAAGGGCTACATTGTCACTGGAGGAACAAGAACAATGACCACTGATAAAGTCCGTTGGGAGAAGATTCCTACATGGGGTAGAAAGTTTGCATAGATCAGTGGTTTTCAAACTATTTAGCAATGGAACCCCGATTGCAAAATTAATAAAATTATATTTTATTAGTAAATTATTTTTAAGTTTAAAGCCTTCCTTTTACTTCCTATAAAAGCCACTGATATGGTTTGGCTGTGTCCCCACCCAAATCTTAACTTGAGTTGTATCTCCCAGAATTCCCATGTGTGTGGGAGGGACCCAGGGGGAGGTAATTGAATCATGGGGGTTGGTCTTTCCTGTGCTATTCTTGAGATAGTGAATAAGTCTTACGAGATCTGATGGGTTTATCAGGGGTTTCTGCTTTTGCTTCTTCCTCATTTTTCTCTTGCCACCACCGTGTAAGAAGTGCCTTTCTCCTCCTGCCATGATTCTGGGGACCCCCAGCCATGTAGAATTATAAGTCCAATTAAGCATCTTTTTCTTCCCAGTCTCAGGTGTGTCTTTGTCAGCAGTGTGAAAATGGACTGATATAGCCACTATCCATGAGATCAGTAAATGCATTTCAGTGCAAACAAACCAAGTTTAATGGCAGCTGTATTCTTTTTTTTTTTTTTTTGAAATGCATCCTAGGTCTGTCACCCAGGCTGGAGTGCAGTGGCACGATCTTGGCAACCCCCGCCTCCCGAGTTCAAGTGATTCTCCTGCTTCAGCCTCCCGAGTAACTGGTATTACAGGCACATGCCTCCATGCTTGGCTAACTTTTGTCTTTTTAGTAGAGACAGAGTTTCGCTGTGTTGGCCAGGCTGGTCTTGAACTCCTGACTTCAAGTAATCCACCTGCCTCGGCCTTCCAAAGTGCTGGGATTACAGGCATGAGCCACCACACCTGGCCTATAGCAGCTATATTCTTATTCCTACTATCCGTTTCATGTCCGTATGTTGTTTTGGATGTACTGAATAGAGGAAATTCACATTCATCCAGAAGTAGGCTAAGGGGAACTGCAGTTCAAGGGCATGTCCCTCAAGCAAAGCAAAACGCCCAAGACATGACGGGTGCCCAGTGAATACTTCCTCAATGTGCAAAAGAGAAGTAGGTTGCAGGAAGGGAGTTCCTGATCAGGTGCCTGTTTCCAGAAGTGGCCACTTGTGTGGCAGCTGGCAGTGATGAAGAGCCCTTTGGCTGGAACTGGTCCCAATCTCAGCCCCTTCACTTGCTGCTTAGTTCTGGAGCCACTTAAGAGAATCTGTGCCGCCTTTATCCACTCAAGGCATAGAGAGCTCTCAGCCTCTCTCCCTTCCTTTTTTGCCAGGGAGGATGCCCTCTCTGATACAGGCACAAGATCAGCACTGTCTCCTTCCGTAATCAGCCTGTTTCTTTTTCATTCCTCTGCCCACTTTAATACAACCAATACAGCTGTTTTGTTACCTTTGCCATTTTATTCCCAAAGTTGCAGCTTATATTGGGTGAACCTTCCCAAAGGAGATAATTTCATTAATGTCCATTTCATTCATTTTAAATTCATTCATTTAAAATTCAATTTCATTAATTTCCATTATGGAAGCTTAGGTGATGAACAAAAATCAATGGACTTACTTTATAGCCTCATGGGTTAGTAGTCTCTGAAGGGTGATTTTGTTTGATTAAGCTCAGCTGATGATATGAATTCCAAGCAGCAAATGATCACTGAGTACCTGTTTTGTGGAAGGAAGGCATTGGTGTACACACGTGGAGGCTGTGGACTTCATATGTTGTACTTGGTTTCAGCCTTTACTGAAACAAGTGCGGACACTAAATGGCAATGGGGTCCGTTTAGCTGACTGGATATTAGCTGCTCAGGCTATTTTTACAAGGACCGTTCTAGCCACATCACCACATGTAGTGCCCTGTGACGCAAAATGACTCCATTGATGGAAATGCTTTTCTCCTCTTCCTCTGCCTTTTGCCAAGGCTAAGGGAGCTGAAGGAGACGTTAGGTAAAGGGACCGAAGAAAATGTAACAGACAGCAGCTCTAAACAGACTGGCCTCTAGGAGACTTGCTAAGAGGAGGTCCTTCTGGGCTGAGTCAAAGCTCCCATTATTTTGGAGGTTTTCTGGAATCTTCTGCTTTGTCTGTCATTCTCCCCTCCCTCAGGGTCCATAGCAGTGTACACATTACCTTTTCAAAAGCCACTTATCACTTTGCATGGCCACTGTGAATGTACATGTCTCTCACACATATTGTGAACTCCTCGAGGGAAGGAACTCTGCCCTGGACGTGTTTGTAACCCCTGTCCCTAGCTTGGTAGATACAACAGGCCTTGCTTAAATAGTATTTTAACAAAGAGCCCTGTGTCCTGTACAGTTCTAAGACAAAGAAGAAAGCAGTTACAGTCTTGTGGAAAAGGTGGGAAAATGTGGGAAGATGGTAAAATCTGTTCCCTGATTCTTCTGGTGCCTGCTGGTACCTTCTCTGGGCTGACAAACAACTGCCATCTCTGGTAAGGAAGGGTTGCTGTCCTGCTGCCAGGCACACAGATGCTGAGGCATACTGCTGCCCTGAGCTTTCCGTCTTTCTAACTTAATAATCCTCAACATTTTGGAGAGAAAGCTTTTGATTTCCTTCAAGGTGTACAGGGAAATTTTACCAAGATAGATCATATTCTGGGCCATCAATTACGTTTCAATGAATATGAAAAGATTAAAATCCTACAAAGCGTGGTCTCTGATCACAATGGAAATAAAGTAGATATAAATAAAAGATATTTAGAAAATCCCCAAGCATTTGGAAACCAAGTAATACAATTAAAATATCCCAAAAAGATATAGTAAATAGTTGAAAAAGAAAATTTATGAGATGCAGTTAAAACAATGTTTAAGGGAAATTAAGCACCAAACACCTATATTAGAAATGGAGAAACATCTTACTCAATATCTTCAGCCTCCATTTGAAGAAAGAAGTAAAAGAAGAGCAAAGTAAACCCAAAGTAAGCAGAAGAAAGGCAATAATGAAGAATATAAATCAATGAGATAGAAAACAATAAAACAATGAGGAAAAATCAATAAAACCAAAAGCTGTTTTGTTAAGGAGAAAAATTAAAATGAGAACCTGTAGCCAGTCTTATTAGGAAATAAGAGAAAAGACACAAATTACTAATGTCAAGAATAAGAGAGGTAACATCACTATGGATTCTATACATCCTAAAGGGATAATAAAAGAATGTTCTGGCTGGGTGTGGTGGCTCATGCCTGTAATGCCAGCACTTTGGGATTCTGAGGTGGGTGAATCACTTGAGCTCAGGAATTCAAGACCAGCCTGGCCAATATGGTGAAATCCTGTCTCTAATGAAAATACAAAAATTAGCTGGGCATGGTGTTGCATGCCTGTGGTCCCAGCTACTCAGGAGACTGAGGTGGGAGAATCACTTGAACCCAGGAGGTGGAGGTTGCAGTGAGCCGAGATCATGCCACTGCCCTCCAGCCTGGGAGACAGAGCGAGACTCTGCCTCAAAAGAAAAAAAAAAAAACAAACAAAAAAAAACCAGAATGTTCTAAAAACTTCATGCTTTCATGCTAATAAACATTCAACAACTTAAATGTACACATTTCTTGAAAGACACAAATGAGCAAAGTCCACTCACAAAATAAATAATATGAATAGCTCTCTATTAAAGACATTGAAGTTGCCATTAAAAACCTTCCTCAAAAAACAAAAAACAAAAAACTTCAGGCCTACATGGCTTCACTGGTGAATTTTACCAAATGTTTAAGAAGCAATGACACCAGTTGTACACAAACTCTCCCAGAAAAGGAAAGAGATAGAACTCCTTCTTAACTCATCCTATGAGGCCAGCATTACCTGCTACCAGACAACAACATGACTAGAAAAGGAAACTACTAACCAATGTCCCTCATAAACATAGATGCAAAAATTCTTATCAAAACTTTATTAAACTGAATCCAATTATATACAAAAAGCATAGTAGATCATGACTAAGTGAGTTTCCTCTCCCATGAATGGAAAGTTAGTTTAACATTTTAAAACTGATCAATGTAAGTAAATATATCAACAATTTAAAAAGTAAGAATCATACTATCATCTCAATTGATGCAATAAAAGCATTTGACAAATCCAGCATCTATTCCTGATAAAAACTCTCAACAAACTTGGAATAGAAGGGCACTTCATCCACCAGATAAAGGATTTACCTTTATCAGATAAGAAAAACATAGACTCACCCCTACTTAATGGTGAAAGACTGAATGCTTTGTCCCTGAGAATAGGAACAAGACAAAGATTTATGTTATCAATTCTCTTCATCATTGTCCTGAAGGTACTAATCAGTGTGATAAGGAAAAATAAATAAATACAATAAAAGACATTTAGATTTGAAAGAAAAAAATAAACTCTCAATTCACTAATGACATCTTGTTAAAAATGCGAAAAAAATCTACCAAAAAACTATTAGAACTACTATGTGCATTTAGCAAGGTTGCAAGATATAAGGTCACTATACAAAAATCAGTTACAATTTTATGTACTAACAACAATTGGAGATTGAAATAAAAAAAGGTCACTTGACATTTGACAAAAATGTCAAATACTTTGGGATTCATCTGTCAGAAGATGTACAGGACCAGTAAACTGAAAATATCAAAATATTCCTAAGAGAAATTAAAGATCTAAATAAATGGAGATATATACATTGTTGGTAGATCAGAAGACTCAATAATATTATAATGTCAATTCTCTCAAAAAAAATTTTTTTTTGAGACAGAGTCTCTCTCTGTCGCTCCAGGCTGGAGTGCAGTGGAGCAATCTCGGCTCACTGCAACATCCACCTCCCAGGTTCAAGCAATTCTCCTGCCTCAGCCTCCTGAGTAGCTGAGATTACAGGTGCACACCCCCATGCCCAGCTAATTTTTGTATTTTTAGTAGAGACGGAGTTGCACCATGTTGGCCAGGCTGGTCTCGAACTCCTGACTTCAAGTGATCTGCCCATCTTGGCCTCCTGAAGTGCTGGGATTACAGGCCTGAGCCACCGCGCCTGGCCAATTCTCTCAAAACTGATCTAAAGAGTCAATGCAGTCTGTAGAAATTTTTGTTAAAATGTACTAGATTATTACATACTTTATAAGGAAATATAAGTTATCTTAAATAGCCAACACCTTTGAAAAATAACATAGTTGGAAGACTTACATTACCTGACTTCAAGGTAAATGTTAAAGCTAGAGTTGTCAAAACAGTGCCGTATTGGCATAAAAATAGACAGATCAATGGAAGAGAACAGAGTCCAGAAATAGGCCCACGCACATACAGTCATTTGTTTTTTAACAAAGGTGCAAAGGCTATTTAGTGGAGAAAGGATAGTCTTTTTAATAAATGGTGTTGGAAAAATTATATATTTTTATTTTTAAAAAAATCTTGTTTCATACATCACAATATATACAAATATTAACTCAAAATGAATGAGGCCTACTTGGAATGACAAGTAAACGTAAAACAAAAACTGTAAAATTCCTAGAAGAAAACATGCAAGAAAATTTTTGTGAGCTTGAGTTAGGCAAAGATTTCTTAGATATACAACCCACAAGTGAAAAGCTGATAAATTGTGCATCATCAGAAATACCTTCTGGTCTTTGAAGAATGGTGTTAAGATAATGAAAATTATATACAGTAGCTGAAAAACATAGCATTTAGATTATATAAAGAACCTCTAGAAGACATTATTAGAAAACAAATAATGCACTTTAAAAATGGGCCCAGATTTGAATGGACACTTTACCAAAGAAGCTATATGAATGGCAGATGAGCAAGTGAGCTGATTCTCAGCATAATTAGTCATTTGGGAAATGAAAATTAAGGTGATTTCGGACCACATAGTTATTAGAATGTTTAAAATTTAAAAGTCTGAACATACCAAGGACAGGATATATCCATAAGGTAAGGATAGGGAGGAAGTGGGACTCTCATCCACTGCCAGTGAGAAGGTAAAATGGTACAACCAATTTAGAAAACAGTTTAACAAGTTCTTTAAAAATTGAATATCCTTCTCTCATATGACCCGATCACTCAATTTCTTGTTATTTAGCGACAAAAAAAAGAAAGCATATGCTCATATAGAGACTTACATACAAATGTTTCTTGCAGTTTTATATATCGTAAGTAAACTGGAAACAAGGCAAATGTTTATCACCAAGTAAAAGAACAAACAACTTGTGGCGTATTCATATAATGGAATTCTAGTAAGAAAAGATATGAAACAAACTACTGGTGCATGCAACAACATGAATTAATCCCAAAATAACTAGGCTGAGTGAAAGATGTTAAGCAAAAAACAAAGAATGCTTAGTGTATGATCACGTTTACATAAAATGCTAGGAATTGCAAACCGATCTCAAGTGACAGAAAGCAGATCAGCCAGCAATTGCCTGCCTTAGGCAGTGGAGCAGGAGGAAGGGCGTGAGAAAACATTTGGAGGGGGTGGAGGTGTTCAGTCTTGACTGTGGTCACAGTTTTATGAGTGTTATCCAGAAGTCAAAACTTATTAAATCTTGCAGTTTAAACATGTATAACTTTTGCATATGAATCAAAGGAGTTTTATCTATACCTGCGAATATGGAAAGATTTCCAAAATATGTTTTATATAGAAAAAGAGAGAAGGCTTATAGCAGTATTTATGGTATACCACATTAGTTGTTTGGTTTTTTTAGAGACATCCATATGTAGTCTGGTCATCGAATGAAATTTCTGAAAGGATTCACAAGAAACTGTCAATAGCAGTTCTCTGTAGGTAAAGGGAACTGAGGTTTTATGGGGGTATAGAAGGAAAATAATCTTGTTTTTCATTTTGCAGAGTTCTATACTATTCGGAGGTTTTACGTGATTTACACATTACTTTTATAGAAATGATTCTCGAAAAAAGAGATCTGGAAAGTATTGGGCAAAAAAGAAACATTGTAAGAGTAATTTCTGCCTAAAGCAAATGTTGCTGGGGTTAGTGCTCAGTATCTATGTAGGTATCTGTAAAGCTTGATAGTTGTGCGTCTTCTGCAATTTAACTTTGTGATTTATTAAAGCACACACAAAGAACTTGAACATTGGTGAAAACTGCTGCACTGCTGCATATATTGGGGTGGAGACTGCTATTTGTCCCCTAATATATTTTGGAAAGTTTCCTCCCTTCCCATCTCTCTTCTGCTGTATCTTTTTCTTGTAGAGACCTCATGGTGGTCAGACTTCGTACAGGATGGCTGAAGGGTCCCAGCATAAGTATCTTAAGAGAGATGGCAAAGGTTTCGTTTACTACCTACCTGATGAATCATGCAGCTTCACTTCTGCCACATTCTGAAGGGCTGCCCAGGTTTGAGTGGAAGGGGCATGTTCCCCATTTCTTGATGGAATGTCCAGGGGTTCATGGATACATTTCCAAACCCTTACAGAGACATTTTTTTCTAAAGATAGTGTATGCATGTGCCCTTTCCCACTTCCTCATCTTTTTCTCCATCCCGTTGCCTGGAACGTGGCTTTTCCCAGGCTAGACCATGAGGCTGCTTCCAGGCCCCGCCCAGGAAGAAGATGGAAGGGCTCTGGGTCATGTTGGAACATCGCAGCAGCCCCTTGACACCTACTTAAGCTCTGACTGCTAGTTTGTTTGAGAAAATGTAATTTTGAGTTTTCCATCACTGAAAGCCAAACATAATCTATACTGATTACCAAAGTCAGCAGGACTCGACAGTGAAGGCCTTAAAAGGATTGGTCAGTAAGAGTAATCCGATGAGAGCACAGGAAAAACAACATTCCACTAGCCTACCACTCTTGAAAATGTGGGGTTATTTTATTGACCTTGCAGGGAGAAATCCAATGTTGACTCGTGATGGGTAAAGTCCTCAAGCATTGGGCTAGCTTTGTTGGATTTGAATTGCTGTGAGTCTGCTGCACGTCTGGGGGTGGTGTGTGTGTCTTGAGGGCAGTGAATCTGAGAGCCTGGGATGCATGTTTATCTGGCTTATCTCATTAGATTCTTTGATCAAAACTCACAAATTCTGAAATCAGAGCACTTCCATCACCTCTTAACCCAAAGCAGCATTTCGAATCATAAATGAGATTTGGGGGCAGATTCCAAGGTCTGCTTAAGGTAGGTAGTTATTCAAGTAGGGGAATTATATGATGAGTAGTTATATATAATTTATATATGAGTAACACAAGTTCGATCCACTCCCACTAGGATTAATATTTTTCTGTGTAAAATATTCATGCAGTTGCTTTTTTGAGAAAAAACTTAACAAAATGCCTCTGAAATTATTTTGTGAATTGCCTATTCTTTCCCCATTGGTCAGCTGGAGTTTTCCTCTGTGTGGTATCTATGTGTTTCTTTCTAAATCAAGGGTTCTAGCAGAATTAATTTCGGTGCATCGAATGTCAGTCTTAGAAAATCATAAATGTTCCATGTTGGGTATTGTCAAATGTTGGGCATCATGGTTCTACATGAATAATCTTTTGGTTGATAATTGCTAGAGAGACTTATGGTTTACTGACCTGCTGGGTTCATGCAGATTTATTGACTTAGAGCTAATTAAATTGTTGTGTGTTGCTTTTGAGATTCTACCATAGAATCATGCCTGTCATTAGCACAGATTTTGTGCAGGAGGCTTGAATTGGATTGACACAGACATTTTTTCCTAAGTGCTTCCCTGGAGTGGGGTAGAGGTGAGGAGAGAGGAGAGTAGGATGGCTTCACAGAGGTTAAAGATGTACATACAAAAACTTCAACTTGGGCACTTGTTTTGGTTTTTTGGGTTTTTTTGGTTTGTTTGTTTGAGTTTGGTTTTTGGTTTTCTTAGATTTTGAAGCTGTATGTCTAAGCTTGCTGCATTTCCCTCCAGAATTATCTCTTTGAATAGGAGCTTTGTTTGGCGGTCATTCTGATTTCTTTCAGCATATAACATTTAGGAAAAATTTAAGTATATACTATGCTGCAGGCTGCAGGGTTGTGAATAGATGAGTCATTTGGGATAACTTTACCAAAAAAAAAAAGGGTATGTTTTTCCATTTAGGATATAACTGAAGAAACCATAGGAGTGGAGCTAATCAGCATCCATGGTCAAATCAAGTCTATAATGTCCCTTTGCATCTGGTTTTTAGGATTAGAGCTGATCAAGAAGCCAAGCTGGGACTTGCAGTCAACTGCTTTGCTCTTCCGGCCACTAAGTGTGTGGCCTTTTTGCCAGTGACTGAGTGTTCCTCAGTTTCTCGGTTTCTTCCTCTGGAACATGGTGATAGTAATCATACTATCCTATAGGATTGTTGTGAAGATTAAAAGACCACATATGCAAAGGCTTTAGAATAACAAGTAAATGTTGATTGGTATTTGTATTAATCCATTCTTGCATTGCTACAAGGAAATACCTGAGGCTGGGTAATTTATAAAGAAAAGAGATTTAATTTGCTCATGGTTCTGCAGGCTGTACAGGAAGCATGGCTGGAGAGGCCTCAGGAAACTTTCAGTCATGGCGGAGGGCAAAGCAGCAGCAGTTTCATTTTACATGGCCAGAGCAGGAGGAAGAGGGCGAGGAGGCAGGTGCTACACACTTTTAAACAACCAGATCTCATGAGAATTTGCTCACTTCCAAGAGAACAGTACCAAGGGGAGTGGTGGTAAGCCATTCATAAGGAGTCCACCCCCATGATCCAGTCACCTCCCACCAGGCCCCACCTCTAACACTGGGGATTACCGTTTGACATGAGATTTGATGGGGACACAGATCCAAACCTTATCACTGTTGCTCATTTTAATTTTTATCATCATCATTAAATGTGTAATAAAACTCACATTTATACTGACCTTTTACAGTTTGAAAAGTTTCACAGCTGACATCTCCTTTGACCTCAATTGTCTGTAATGAAATTGTGTACTAATTTTGCCAGTCTGTTTTAGAGATGAGGAAACTGGGGTTAGAAAGGTTAAGAGTCTTTCTCAAATGACCACTAAGTGATCAAAGAGGAAACTCAGAACGAGCTCCGCTGAATCCAATCTTAACTCTCTATTTACTGCTTCACCCTGCTTTTCCATAGTATTGTCAAATTTAGAACTGGAGGAAATCTCAGAAAACATTTAATTTGCGCCTTTCTTTATATGGATGGAAAAAATGAGGCTCAGAAATAATGAAGACTTGCCTAAAATCACATATCTTGGAGCAGACCCAGAATTCTTGATTACTATCTAAAAGCCCTTTTTCCACTACCATATATCAGATAGTAAAAATTCCAGCGAGGCATTGAGGAAGTGGTGATAACATTCCCACACAAAGAATAAGGTTTCCTTTTAGTAACTTGAGATTCTTAATGTCATTGCTTTTCTGCAAGCCAACTGTTATAAAATTGCTGTAAAAGGCAAATAACATCCTTTCCATAAATGAGTTATTGTCGTACATAGAGGATCCCTTTAATTTCCCTTTTGTAGCAAAGACTTCAGTTGCATCTAGTAATTTCTCTCTGTCTCGTGGAAAACAGAGAATGCTATGGTGTGATTGTTTGCATGTTTAGTGTTTCCAGGAGATATGAGGTGTGTCTAAAACACAAGAAGGTCAGTTTTCACATGTGGCTTCTGGAAGCAGAAAAGGAATAAGGACATGTTGGAACATATTTCATCTTGCAACCTCAGCAGAATAAGTGCGTATGGTTTTGTGGTAGCAATTTTCTTATGCATTTCAGGATACAGCCAAATAAAAGTCCATTTGGTACAAAAGATAGGTATCAAATTTTCCATAAAATCAACTCTTTCAGGCCTGACCCTGTGTTCTAGGAGACATAGGGAGGAAGAAATGTCTAGAGCAAAGTTTATGACTGGCAGAAACAGTGCTTTAAAGATAGACAAACAAAACAAAAGCATGTGTCTACTACCATGCCTAAAGGGGTGATCTAATTGCTCATTAGAATGGAAACATTTCTGGGAAGGGCTTCACCTCCCAACTCATCACCAGATTACTCTTTCCCTTTGACTTAGGGGAAGGGCATTTCTGAAAGGTGACCTTCTGGCTTTCAAATATCTCAAGACCTTTCCCACCTCAGAGCCTTCACTCATCCTGTCTTTCCATCTGCAATGCTCCTTCTGTGCCCGGTCTCATCTCGTGCTTGTCAAAGATGTTTTCCTCGACCACTCCATTTAAAATAGGTCACCCAGCCCTGTTCTTTAAATTTACATCCTAGGCCGGGTGCAGTGGCTCATGCCTGTAATCCCAGCACTTTGGGATGCCGTGGTGGGTGGATCACCTGAAGTCAGAAGTTCGAGACCAGCCTGACCAACATGCTGAAACCCCATCTCTACTAAAAATACAAAAATCAGCTGGTCGTGGTGGCAGGCACCTGTAATCCCAGCTACTTGGGAGGCTGAGGCAGGAGAATCGCTGGAACCCAGGAGGCGGAGGTTGCAGTGAGCCAAGCTCGTGCCACTGCACTCCAGCCTGGGTGACAAAGCAAGACTCCATCTCAAAAAAAACATATATACATATATATGTCCTATTTGCTTCTTGTACAGCACTTATCACAATGTGAAATTACTTACTGTTGTTGCAGTAGATAGTCTATTTCTCCAGCTAGATGTTAATATCCATGAATGGAAATAACATTTAGCCTCAAATTCAGTGCCTAGAAGGTGCTCAGTAAACATGTGCTGAAAGAAGATAGTTGGCTTGGTCAATTAGATAGAGATGTGAGATCATTGCTAAAGAGTTAAATTTAACTGAAGCATTTAGAAACAAAATTGAACTAGATGAAATTATGGTGTGGCTATAAATCATCAGCAGCTGATGGGTATTTTTGTTTTTGTTTTGTTTTGTTTTGTTTGAGACGGAGTTTCACTCTTGTTGCCCAAGCCAGAGTGCAATGGCGCGATCTCGGCTCACTACAACCTCTGCCTCCCAGGTTCAAGTGATTCTCCTGCCTCAGCCTCCCAAGTAGCTGGGATTACAGGCACCCGCCACCACATCCTGCTATTTTTTTTGCATTTTTAGTAGAAACCCAACAGGGTTTCACCATGTTAGCCAGGTTGGTCTCGAACTCCTGACCTTAGGTAATCTGCCTGCCTCGGCCTCCCAAAGTGCTGGCATTACAGGCATGAGCCACCATGCCCAGCCAGCAGCTGAGGTTTTCAAACCAGAAAGTTGATTTATTTAAATTTGTCCTAGAAGTGTAATTCCAGTGTCAGAAGTAGCTTATCTTTTGAAATCAAAGTAAAACCGATTTAAGTCTACACCACATGTGTGTAGTCATAGCTCTAAATCCCCCCAATTCTCTCTAGATTTAGGAGAGGAAGTTGGTTTATAGTAATCTTTGGTCATCTCTAGGTCCACCTTTCATTTTTCTTGCATTGGCGTAGCTCGTAGATATTGATCTATATCTATATTCGTATCTATCTATATATATATACACACTCTCCTATCAAAATTCCATATATATGGGATGAATGTACATATTCATACTGCCCAATCCTTCCAGATCCAGATGTGGAACTTAGTCTGGTTCTGTACCCTGCTCCAGATGTGGAACCCAAGTACATACAAACACATAAACTGTGTTGCCCTTCCCCACTTTCAAATTCCCACTCTTTTCTTTTGTAGGAGTTCTCTCTCTCTTGCCAAGTTATTCCTTAGGGATTTTACCATAAACTCTAAGCTACTTTTCAAGGTATTTTTCTCAGGCAAAACCAATTCCATCTCTAAAAGAAATTGTGGTGCTGTTAAAATAATTTATTATTAATAGTTTATTGCATTAGTTAAAGTTCATTTGGTTTTAAATAAGAGAATCCAAATTAAGCTAAGGTGAGCAGGTTAAGGAATTTATTGTAAGGATACCATCATTTCTCTCTCTCTCTCTTTCTTTGTCTTTCATTTTTTTTTCACCTCAAGGATACTGTGGTTTTAATGGAACTTAAGGCAGAATGAAATAGCTAGACCTTAAGACTGTCTCATGGTAAAAATGCAGATGTTACATATGTAGTCTCTGAGGATCACAGGTAATTCCTATAGAAGGAGAAATTAGTGTGACCTGGCCAGACACCCCCAGAAATGTTTATGGTGTGACCTAATGAGTGTACAAGATTTTATTCCATTTGTAGAGATCAAGTTCGCGTGAGTCATTTACAATAGAACACTTCACAGACTCCAGAGCACATTCACATAAAACCATTTTCAATTTTTTAAAAAATGTAGTCATTATTTCACCTTATTTTTTTAAAAAATTTTTTACCATGCAAGTGAAATATGCATGAGACTGACAAGAAATAATTTTTTTTTTTTTTTTTTTTTTTTAGACAGAGTCTCACCCTGTCACCCAGGCTGGAGTGCAGTGGCGTGTTCTCGGCTCACTGCAACCTCCACCTCCCAGGTTCAAGTGATTCTCCTGCCTCAGCCTCCCTGTGAGTAGCTGGGACTACAGGCGCACACTACCATGCCCGGCTAATTCTTCTATTTTTAGTAGAGATGGGGTTTCACCATATTGGCCAGGCTGGTCTCAAACTCCTGACCTCAGGTGATCCGCCCACCTCGGCCTCCCACACTGCTGGGATTACAGGCATAAGCCACCGTGCCCAGCCAATAATTTATTTTTAAACAAAATTGTGCCAGAAATTACCTTGACCTTTGAAGTGATCATCTTAAAAGCATCTTTATTCTAATGAAGTTGTCATTTTTGGCATTTTTTTGTACACGCACTCTGTGTCCCTACGAGGGAGGTAATAAATACTTCACTCCTACAAAACATGACATATATTATATTTTATCTTATTACAGATGAGAGAATTCAGGCTTAGAAAAGTAAAGTGACTCAGCTAAGATTTCCTATCTAGTAAATATTTGTAAGAATATTAATTCATGGTTCAGGCTCCAAAGATATTATTAAAAAGTGTTCTACTTCTAATAATAAAAAAAATAGTTCCTAAAAAACACAATGACCATATCTAAGCTGGTATTTTTTGTCCATATGAGAGAAAAGGCTTTAAAACATAGATCTGCCCTGGCCAGGCCTTTCATCTTGCAGATGTCGCAGTACCCTCTAGTGGCACAATGAAGACACAGACCTCGAGAGAAATTTTTTTCATTTGAAAACTGAGCCCTTCATTTTTAAGGGTAACAGGGGTTAATGTGGGACTTCCAATTAAAAATAAAATGACCAGATATGTTTAACATCTTTATTTCAAAAACTCCACTAAAATGGAGATAGCAAAATTAAAATATTATTAATCCACAGAGGCAAAGAGAACTGGAGATGATCCCATAAGGCAGTGGGCCCCAACTTTTTTGGCACCAGGAACCAGTTTCATGGAAGACAATTTTTCCACTTACCAGGGTGGGGGAGGAGAAGATGGTTTCAGGATGATTCTAGCACTTTACACTTATTGTGAACTTTATTTCTATTATTATTACATTGCAATATATAATGAAATAATTACACAACTCTCCCACTGTAGAATCAACTGGGAGCCCTGAACTTGTTTTCTTGCAACTAGACGGTCCCATCTGGGGATATTGCGAGACAGTGACACCCGAAGTGTGCCGCTTATGTCCAGTCTACATAATCTCATTTTGGTCGCTATCACTGCAAAAAATCCTGCTTCACAAAGACAGGGTGTTGGAAATGGAACCAGGCTTTTCAGTGCTTTTGTGGCAATTTCAAGATATTCGGCCTTGACTTTAATCCGGAACGTATGGAGATTTGAAATTGTCTCAAACGCCCTTTGTGTGTGTGTGTGTGTGTGTGTGTGTGTGTGTGTGTGTGTGTGTGTGTGATGGGGTCTTGCTCTTGTTGCCCAGGCTGGAGTGCAATGGCGTGATCTCGGCTCACTGCAAGCTCCGCCTCCCGGGTTCAAGTGATTCTCCTGCCTCAGCCTCCCGAGTAGCTGGGACTACAGGCATGCACTACCATGCCCAGCAAATTTTTTGTATTTTTAGTAGAGACAGGGTTTCACTATGTTGGACAGGCTGGTCTTGAACTCCTGACCTTGTGATCCGCCCACCTCGGCCTCCCAGCATGTTAAACATACTTTTAAGGGCACCAAATACAACTGTGCAACTGAAGCACATCAACTCACTTTCCACTATAAAGCCTGCCACCAGATGCAGGTTGTCACTTCCCACTCACTGATAGGGTTTTGATACGAGTTTGCAAGCAGTTGATTTATTTGGTCTCTGTGCTGTAAATCCTCTCTGCTAATGTTAATCTGTATTTACAGCCACTCCCCAGCGCTAGCATCACAGCCTCGGCTCCACCTCAGATCACAGGCATTAGATTCTCATAAGAAGCTTGCAACCTAGATCCCTCACGTGTGTAATTTACAATAGAGTTTGTGCTCCTATGCGAATCTAATGCTGCTGCTGATCTGACGGGAGGTAGTGTTCAGGCAGTAATGTGAGCAATGAAGAGCGGCTGTAACTACAGATGAAGTTTCACTTGCTCACCGGCTGCTCACCTCCTACTGGACCACCTGGATCCTAACAGGCCACTGACTAGTACCAGTCCATCGCCCAGGGGCAGGGGACCCCAGCCATCGGTGACAAAAGACTTCAATAAAATCCTTAGAAGACAGGAAGAGGACAGATGGGGGTGACTGACCTAACAGGACAGAAGAAGTTAAGGCCAGTGGCCTGTATGAGGCACAGCTGATGAAACTGGTTTGTCTTGCTCTGAAGATCACCTACAGGGTTCAAAGCTTGAAGCCACTATATTCTGTGAGCAGACAGATGAGGCAATGGGCTGCAAACTGAGTGGATTCAAATTCCGTTCACCCAGCTACTCACATGGGAGTCAGGAGGTTCACACTCAGGACAGTTTCAGTCCCAAGGCTCTGAGCTCAGGGATAGCAGTCCCAGTATAGACCAGGAGAAGAGAGGATGGGAAATGAGGGAAGATCCACACACTGAATGGCAGGTCTTCAGCCTCTCATGGACTGCTCCCATGCTCCTTTCTGGAGAAGCCGAAGAGTACAACCATCACAAGTCCCTCAGGAAGAAGGCTGGCTAACTGGTGAGCCTTCTGTGAAGCCAGCCTTCAACAAACCCAGCCTTGTTTGTTTAGGTTTTTCTCTAAAATATGAATAGATGGTCAAAGTGAAGCGGCATCATATTCTGGGGTAAATACCCGAGATTTGTTGTCTCACGGCCATGGAAAACTAGGACACAGATACACCAAGAGTGAGCTTAAGGCGGAAGTTTAATAGGCGACAGAAAGAGAAGATCTCTCTCTGCTGCAGAGAGAGGGGTCCTGAATGGGTTTCCACTTCCATGGTGAAATGCAGAGCGTTTTATAGATGAGCTTGAGGAGGTGGTGTCTGTTTTACATATGGCATGAAAGATTGGTTGGACCAGGTGTGCCATTTTACTGGGTGTGAAAAGGTGGCTGCCCACCCTAATCTTTTATTATGCAGATGGTTCTCTACCTGGCGAGTGCCATGTTGCCTGTTTCTTTACTGTACACATGGTGACAAAGAAAAGGGAGGATGGAGCCTCCATGTTGAACATGCCTGGCCCCAGGTAGCCTTTTCCTCGTGGACAGCTGCCGTCATTCACCCGTGGAAGCTTCCAGCTTGCTCACCTATATTTGCAGCTCGATTTTTTCAGGCTGCTCTTTGTTAGAAAAGAACAATTTCTTGGGCTGCTTTTTGTCAGAAGGGAAGCATTGTCGAGGACTCTTTTACCATCACTATCCGCCCAAATAATTTCTTTCTGCCTTCCGTATCAAGAGGTCATCACACATTTCAGGAAAGTCATCACCATGAAAAATGGAAACCAAAACCAACTTAGTGGAAACAAAAGACGCAGGAGACGGTAAAAAGCTACACTTAAATCAGAAGAGCATGTTATGTAAAGATAAATAAGTAAATTTTAAAAAGTAAAGACCTCTTCAAAGTTTATAAAGATGGTAACTGAAGTAACAATTCATTATAAATTTTGAAGGCTAAAGTTGAAGAATTTTCATAAATGTTAAACATTTTTTTAAAAACTAGGCGTTGCTCTGAACCTACTCTGGTTCTAGGGATACCTGATTCTCCGGTTGTTTTTTGCTCAATTAAACTCTGTCAAATTTAATTTGTCTAAAGTTTTTCTTTTATCAGATGGTATTGTAAGTTTCTTGTATCGGTTTGAACCTCGAGAGCGCGCCAACAGACAACACGACAGTGTGGAGCAACATGCTGTTTTAATGAGAGCCTGGGTGCTGGCGGGCTGAGGCCTAAAACGGCGTCAGCCCCAAGTGAGGATGGGGCAAAGGTTTTATAGTCTCCTGTAAACAGGAAGTGTCCTGGTCTGACGTAACTGCAACGTTGTACCCAGATGGCCTCTTTCTCCATCTTCAGAGGTACTTGTCTTCCGGCTGGCTCTCTTCCTGCTTTTGCTATCTTGCTGGCGCATCTGCTCACGCACGCTGCTGATGCAAGCGGCCTTGCGCCCTGGGGCTGGGCCTGAGAAGGGAGGAGTTGCTCAACCCCTTAAGCTTTCAGGCCCTGGAGAGAATCTTACAATATCAGAAGTGGGATTCACATAGCGCTTCCCGTGACCCTCCAGGAATATCAAGTGACCCAGCAAGGTACTGTAACCACCCTATGGGTTCATTTTGCCCCCTGCCCAGGTAGAGACAATTTATCAAGACAGGAAAATTGCAATAGAGAAAGAGCTTAATTCATGCAGAGCTGGCTGAACAGAAGACTGGAGTTTTATTATTACCCAAATCAGTCTCCCGGAAAATTTGGAAGCCAGACTTTTTCAATGATAGTTGGGGAAAGAGAGGGGAGGTGACTAGGCAATAGGTTCTTGCTGCTGGTTGGTTGGGGGTACAATCACAGGGATGTTGGAGATGGTCCTCATGCACGCTGAGCCACTTCTGGATGGGGCCGCGGGAGTGGTTGGCAGGTCTGGGTGGAGCCATCAGTCATCAGACAAGCAAAAACCTGAAAAGACATCCGAAAAGGCTGATCGTGGGTTCTACAATAGTGATGTGATTTGCAGGAGTAATTGGGGAAGTTCCATGTCTTGTGACCTCCAGAATAATGGCAGGTAATCATTTATGTCTACACCTTAGCAGAAATCAGGCTCCTCCCATCCTCTTACCCTGGCGGTCTCTCATCAGCTTTACAAATGTGGTTGAGCTTTGGAGAAGAGCTATTATCATTTAAACTATAAACTAAATGTCTCCCAAAGTTAGCTTGGCCCATGCCCAGGAAGAATGAAGGGCAGTTTGAAGGGTACAGGCAAGATGTGGGATGGTTAAATTTTCTCACTGTTAGAATTTTTGCAGAGGGAGTTCAGTACTCGCCTGCCCACTGTGTCCATTGCTGTCTCACAACTGGGGATTACTGCTCAATTCTCTCTCAGATTCTGAAGCCCCGCTGATTTATGATTTGAGCTATCTGAGTTTGTTTGAGCAAATTTTTTTATCCAAACTGCATTCAGAAGTTGTGACAGAAACTGGACTGGGTCCAGGATCAGATTGGATCCAAGAATTAACTAGCCTGGATCCAGTTAGAGACCTCAGGTGTCTGATTGGGTCAGACAGGAACTGACAGTAAATGGCAAAATTGCGGTGGAGTGTGAACTTTGGCTTTTGGAAATTCGCAGGAATTTTTGTATTCTGTCACCTTTGTTTCTTTTTCTCACATGCTTAGTAGGGAAAATCATTGACAAAGTTGATCAAGGGGATCTGAGAGCCAAAGGCAAGATTCAATGTAAAATGAAACCCTTAATTTCTGAAGAGCTGAATACACTCCACCTTCCAGCTATGCCTACATTTACATGGATAAATATGAGTCCCTGGAAGCAGCAAACACTTACAAAACTGTCAAAATCTTACTAAAGATGATTTAAAATCACAGTGGAATATTCCAAGTGAACAATACCTCACTTTAAGAAGTGCATTTAGAAATGAGATTGTAAAATGTTTCTTACCAGACTTAAAGTCTGCGTTGATATTAATGCCTGACAGGTATCATGAGGCATATTTGACCCCGACTTCCCGGCAATGCCTGAAATAGTCTCTCAGGTTAAATTTTAAAACAGTCTTGGCTGAGGAGGAAGTCTATTCAGATGGTTGGGGGGGCCTTAGAATTTTATTTTTGCTTTACAGACCTGACACCTAATGAATGTGTGAATAGAAAACACCTAGATGCTCAGAAGAATGGGTAGTGAAATATTCGTATTCATATACCAATCAGAGAGTTTTGGCTGATCACAGGCTGCCAACTGTTCAAACCACATTCAAATAAGGTAAATGCTGAGCTGTAACCAATCTGTCTGCTTCTGTACCTCACTGCCTTTTCTGTACATCATTTTCCTTTTTCTCTTCATCAATTTTCTCTGACTACGCAGCAGCGCAGAGCTGCTCTGAACCTATTTTGTTTCTGTGTCTAATTTTTGAGTCTGATTTGTGAATCATTCTTTGCTCAGTTAAATTCTGTTAAATTAGGCCAGGTGCAGTGGCTCACACCTATAATCCTAGCACTTTAGGCACTGAGGCAGGCGGATCACTTGAGGTCAGGAGTTCAAGACCAGCCTGGGCAACATGGCAAAACCCCGTCTCTACTAAAAGTACAAGAATCAGCCAGGCATGGTGGTGAGCACCTGTAATCCCAGTCACGTGGGAGGCTGAGGCAGGAGAATCACTTGAACCCGGGAGGCGAGGTTGCAGTGAGCTGAGATTGCACCAAGGCCTTCCAGCCTGGGCGACAGAGTAAGACCCTGTCTCAAAAAATAAAGAAAGAAATAAAAATAAATTGACGAAGGATTGAGCATGCAAAATAGAATCAGCTTTTGACCCTGAATACCCTGCAGTGAGAATTCCCCTGTGGTTCTCAGGCTTCTGTAATTCCAGCAATACACTCTTCCTTCAGGTTCACTAAAATGCAGATATTGTAAGATAATGCTCATTTCTCACAGCTTGCTTCAATAATAATGATCATCATAGTAATTTACAACTTAATAGTCAACACTGCCTTTTTAACCCAGTCTGTGAGACTGAACCATAAACGTGACATTCTTTGAAGTAAAGCTCTCAATTAATATACCAGACTGCATAAACTCCAATAACTTACCTTTCCACGGAAAGAGAATAGGTGGGTATTCTCTCTGAAGACAAATGGTGGAGAGTAGACTCTCATCAAAGACCCTCTGGCAGTAATAAGTTGCATTCCAGAAGGTTCCAGAAGGTTCTGTGGAAGGCTGCAGTTTGGGATTGGTTCTCAGATGTCTGTCTAACTGCTTTCTAAGGATGAGGACTCCTGGTTTGTGCTTTAGCTACACCCACAGGAGCAACAGACTAAGACATTCCTCCACACAATAACAGAACCAGGGAGTGCAGACCATGTGGGTCTTACCTGGCCTGTTGTCCACCGTCTGGTTTTATCTTAGACCGAGCCTGCTGCAATCCATGTTGTGTATTGGCACTCCACTTAAGTTTCCTGTTTGTAAAAAGCCCCTTTCATTCGGTGATTCCTCAGGGCTTTAGGGGAACTTTCTGGAAACCAGGCAGAAGGAAATAATGGTGGTTTTGCTGAGGATGGGTGACGTTGGGCACGGGACCCAAATGAGTGGTTTGAGCAGAAAGTAGCCTCCACGCTGGACTAATGCAATAGTCCTGCCATGATTTCATTGCAGGGCTGTGACCGTCTACGACAAGCTGGCATCTTTCTTTAAAGAGGCACCTCTGGACCTGCAGCACCGGCTCCTCATGAAGGTGGGCAGCACGCACTCTCTGTTCAGGGCCTGGTAGGCCTCCCATCCTCAGCTGCCTTCTCTCCTGCTCGCCACTGCCCTGGCCTCTCCCCTTCTCACTGCAGACCTGGGAACCCACTCATCCAGGGGTTGGCAAACTAAGGCTACAGGCCAGTCTCCTGCTTTTGTAAATCAAGTTTCATTGGGACACAACACACTCATTAACTTCTGAGTTGTCTATAGCCGCCTTTGAGCTACAATAGCAGAATTGCGTTTTGCAACAGAGAACGTCTGGCCTGCAAAGCCTGAAGTATTTACTCTCTGGCCCCTTAAGAAATGTTTGTGGACCCCTGCACTGTCTTACTCTCCTGCCAATGGGTTCCCAGGCCTGTGGCAGGATCTGTGGACCTGTGTGTCCCCTGGGGTGTCTCATGGGGCTAAGGAAGGGACCTTTGTGCAGGTCCACATACCCTGAGGTGTGCCCCTGGGTAAGCTGGGGTGGTGTGGGAGGGCATCCTAGCACCCTCATCTTGAGTCCAGGGGATGATAAGACAGTAAGTCCCGTGGAGAAAAGGAATGAGTCAGTCTTGTTTGCTGTTGTAACCTTAGCACCCAGAAACAATATTAGAGAAAGCAAGCCCATGCCTCGATTGGCAGGGGTGGCCTGGTGCTGCTGATGCGGCTGGGCACCCCAACTGTTGGGAGCCTGCAGGCCTTGCCATGGCAGGAGATGCCCGTTCTGGGTCCTGGGCCTGCTCTGTGGCCTCTCACAGGGTTTTTTTCTCCTCCTTCAGCTCAGAACCTGAGGACCCAGCCATGGAGCGGTCAGCCTTCATGGAGCAGGATGCTGGGAGCGGGCTGGTGATGCGTCTCCATGAGCGGCCAGCCCTGCTGGTCAGCAGCACACCTGGACAGGTCTGCACGACCCCTGGGGCACTTGGGGCTGGTGTGACGGGCACCTGGCCAACCTGTGTTCTCCTTACCCCTACCAGTCCTGGATGCCCCCACCCCGCCACGGTCTCAATGAGAAGGGGAGGGTGTGTGAGCTGGAAGAGTGCTGTCTAGAAACAGGCCCCTGACATTCAATTCTCTTCTCATAGAGGACGAAGACTTCTCTATCCTGCTGGCAGCTTTAGAAAGTAGGTGTGTGGCTGCGGTGAGGAGCTCTGGGCTTGTCCGGGCCACTGAGCTGTGAGCTGCTTGCCTGGCCTGCAACATGTTCCTGTCCTGGGCTACTGGGTGGGGCAGCCTGGGGACAGTAGGGGTGGTGGAGGTGGGCCTCCCTGAATCCCCATTTGGGTCATTGAGTGACCAGGCCCTTAGGCTGAAATGCGCCCTCCAGGAGAGTATCTCACAGAGGCTGGGGGCCTCCCTGCCAGAGCAGTGCACTTTCTCCACCTGACCAGGGGACTCTGGCTATTGTTTATTTAAAAATTTTTTTCTGAATGGGCATGGTGGCTCACACCTGTAATCCTAGAACTCTGGGAGGCCGAGGCAGGCAGATCACCTGAGGTCCGGAGTTCGAGACCAACCTGGCCAACAGGGCGAAAAGTGTCTCTACTAAAAATACAAAACTTAGCTAGGTATGGTGGTGGGCACCTGTAATCCCAGCTACTTGGGAGGCTGACGCACTAGAATTACTTCAACCTGGGAGGCAGAGGTTGCAGTGAGCTGAGATCACGCCATTGCATTCCAGCCTGGGTGACAGAGCGAGAGTCTGTCAGGAAAAAAAAAAAAAAAAAATTCTATCAGAAATTCCATGTAGAATTGCTTCTTTTTTTAAACACAGAGTTTGAACAACTGACTCTTCACGGACGCAACCTTCCTTCTCTTGTCTGTGTGATAACAGGTACTGCCTGGGACCCTGGGTGTCTGTTTGGCTGGGGGATGGCAGAGGGGGAGGGGCACGCAGCCTTCACCCTGTGCTTCCCACGATCTTGTCTCCTTAATCCTCACTGCAGCTCTCTGCCATAGGGTCTTATACTGCTTGACACGTGGGAAACTGAGGCTCAGAGGGTTTCACAGCAGGGCAGGGAGCCCAGATGTGAATCTGTAGATACCAAGCTTTCTACTTTTTCAGTAGTTTCCAAGCATCTTTTCTGTTGTTGTTATGTCATTGGTGTCTTTTTTTTTTTTGAGACAAAGTCTCTGTCTCCCAGGCTGGGGTGCAGTGGTGCGATCTCAGCTCACTGCAACCTCTGCCTCTCACATTCAAGCAATTCTCATGCCTCAGCTTCCCGAGTAGCTGGGACTACAGGTGCCCACCACACCCAGCTTATTTTTGTATTTTTAGTAGAAACAGGGTTTCACCATGTTGGCCAGGCTGGTCTTGAACTCCTGACCTCAAGTGATCCACCCGCCTTGGCCTCCCAATATGCTGACATTATAAATATGAACCACTGTGCCCGGCCATGTCATTGGTGCCTTAACCAAGCCTCTTTTAATTTTTCAAATGGAAGAGCCCCTGTCCCACAGTTACTGCTGCTGAGCCCTTTCAAGATGACTCAGTGAGGAGGGAGAAAAGCGGAAGTGGTGTAGGAAGAGGCGGGGTCTGGGCCAGCTGCTGGTCCTGCTCTCCTCCCTCCTCTGGCCTCTAGGCTCCCAGGAGTGGTTTGGAAAGCGCGCCATGTGCTCTGGAGGCTGTGGCAGGGCAGGCGCGGATTGGAACCCGCACCATGTGCTCTGGGGGCTGCGGCAGGGCAGGGGGAGTCCTCGTGTCCCCTGTGCACAACACAGACAGAAGGCTGGGTCCACCCAGTGGGTGGTCAGGTGCCAGGCCAGTGCTTACCCCACCATGTTTGCAGCCCGAGGCCAGCTGGCTGCAGGTGCAGGGCTATGCATCAGGGGTCAGGGTGCACACACCCCTGCAGGTCTCGGGGCTCCTGGGTTGCTTCTGGAAGGGCCCAGATGGGGCCTGACTGGAGCTGCCGAGGGGTGGAGCTTCTGGGAAAAGGATCCCTCCTAGGGGGAGTGTCTTGGGCCTGGGGCCATGTGGCAGGGACAGAGACGGGTCCATGGCAGTGTCTGCTCTTCTCTGTGAAGGCAAAGGGCCTCTGAGGGAGTATTACAGCCGCCTCATCCACCAGAAGCATTTCCAGCACATCCAGGTCTGCACCCACTGGCTGGAGGGCCGAGGACTACCCCCGCTTCTAGGTGAGAGGCCAGCAGGAGGCTCAGGGAGGAGGCGGGGACTTAAGCAGGGGTAACAGGCATGGGCATGATGTACTTTTTCTGAAAAGGTGGCTCTGGAGGCCACTTGGGGACAGGACTTGGGCTCTGGCTTAACTCCCAGGAGGAGGCTACTTCCTGGTGTGCCAGCCCCTCCCTGCCAGGTGGCCCCAGAGGCCCTTTACCAAGGGGTTTGAGGAGGCCACGTCCTTTCAGCCTGCCATGCCCTCCATTCAGTCCTCTTCCTTCCTGCAGGAGGCCTGGGCCTGGGGTTGGGGCCACTGTTGCCCAGGTGTGGGAGGGCAGTGGCTTTGGGAGGGGGTCGGGGGTCGCTTGGCCTCTGTGTGTCCTACTGTCTTTGTCGGTGAGATGGGACAATGACAGCACACCCTCACAGGTGCTGGGGGCTGACAAATGTCAGGTCTGAGGACAGTGGGTGGCCCACTACGGGGCCAGTTCCCCTTCTCTATAGTCACCCTGCTCGTCTTCCATCAACTGGGTGCTCAAGACAGTGGAGTGGAGGATCCGCCTGTACAGCCTGTGCTCCAGCGTCATGCAGGCCACAGCTCTGTCCAGCCCTGACCCCGACTGCCCCTCCTGCCACCTCCATTTTATAGATGAGGAAACCGAGGCCCAAGGGCTTAGGGAACCCTGCTCTGAAGCACACAGTAGGGCTGCTGGGCTCAGACCCTCCCTCCCTGTGCTGAGCTACCCTCCTCCTGCTGCAAGCCCCCAATGCCCCGAGCCCACCCTGCTCACCGGCCTCTGCCCGAGTTCCCCTCATGGTGTCGGAGTGTGGGGCATCCTAGCTCTTCCCTGGTGCCCAGCTCTTTCACTTCCACTGGAGTCCTGCAGTGACAGCTCAGGGACATACAGGCCCAGGCTGGGGTGGGGGCTCACCTAGCTCGGTGGTGAACAGCTGGCACGTCTCTCAATTGCGGACAGCGAAGGCCACGTAGACCTCAGAAGCCCGCTGGTGCTCCCGGCAGGCAGCCAGCCTCCGCAGGACCCTGACCAGTGACACAATGGCTTCTGGGCAATACAGCACATCTACGGTGAAAGCTTCAGGTTACTGAAAGGGACCAGCGGACAGTTCCAGGTCACGCTGACCTCAGCAGCAGGGCGAGGCCAGAGAGGCAGCGATCATATGAGACTATTAGATGCCTTTTGACCATTTGAGCCATTAGATGGAAAGGCAATTACTTGGGTGAAAAAGGAGAACCCTTAGTAGAGAAAGCTGCAAAAGACCGAAGCAAAAGAAAAAAATCTCCAGACTCACTGGTGTTCCTTACAAAAACAGCTCTGGTTCTCGGCCTATCTAGAGGGCTTCAAATGACACAAAGCCTGACCCTGCTGTGAACTTCGTGTTTCAGGTGTCTGCTGATTGGTCTGCTGGCTTGCAGGGGTGGGCCTTTGTCCCTGGCCAGCGCTGGACCTGTGGATTTCAGGACTGTGACCCAGGACCACAGGCAGAGCTCTGTTCGACCAGAGAGGGGACTGAGTGTGCTGGCAGGGCTGAGGGGTTTTTGGTGGCCCAGCCAAACACCACCTTCTCTCAAGGGCCCTGTCCTCGTCCCAGAACTGGTTGTTTTCCTCCTGTGGTCTCTGAAGGACACAGGGCATGGCTCTGGGACAGAGCCATGTGGTGATGACTGTAATGGGAGTATGCCTGACTCCAACAAGAGGGCTGTGGCTTGAAGGTCACCTTAAGAGGCACCCCGTCCTTTGATTTCACCCTGGAGGCCCAGAGTAACTCTTCTGGAAGCCCCATCATGTCCATGCCTGACAGCGCCCATTGTTCCCTTTTCCCAGAGCCAAGAGCTGGGTAGAGCTGCAAGGACAGTGCCTGCACAGGGTGCTCAGGGCTGGGCATTACCTGCTGCAATGACAACATCTAGCTGGAAGGCAGAGCGCTGATGGACCGTCACTACGTCCCAGTCCAGCGCTGGGCCATTGTCACCCTAGGGCTGTCTAAGTTGGCAGTGATGTCTGCCTCTAATGAGAGGCCATTGAGAAGGACATTTCCTTGGAGCTGCTCGAGGACTCGGCTGTGACAGTCGCTGAAGATGTATGCCCGGGGGCGGCATATCTTGCAGATGGCCAGGCCTGTGAGGCTGGCACCACTGCCAAGCTCTAAGACAGACCTGGCGAGAGGAAAGGGGACCGTGTCTGCGACTGCACCAGGGTAAGCCCGCCTCGGTGCCCTGCCCTGCGCCCCAAGGTCACCTGTGAGTGAAGGCTGCCGGGTTCTCGATGGCCCATTCTGCAATGTAGAGGGCGGCATCCCATGTGACCAGACCCGTGGTGCTGTGGGAGATGATGGCCATGCTTTCGGAGAGTGTGACCGAGCCTCCCGAGGGCTGCACCAAGAGAGGGCGAGAGAGTCAGTCCAGCAATCAGAAGGCAAGTGGCTTAGAAGACAAATAGCCATCCACCACATGGCCAAATAAACCATGACAGGACCAATTGCCAGTCAGCAATGAGAAGCAGCTAACTGTTGACATGCCAAAAGCTTGCACGGGCCTCAAGGTTGTCATGCGGCATGAAAGACACTCATCTCAGGCCACACAGGATTCCATTTATCCAACATTCCTGAGACAACAGAATTCTGGTGATGGAGCAAAGGTCAGCGGTGGCCAGGGGCTGGGTGTGGCTATGAAGGGGTGGCTGCCTTGTGATGATTCAATATGCTATGTTTTTCCTTTGTGGTTTTCTGTATCTATGTTTTATCTTATTTTTTTTGAGCTCTGTCACCCAGGCTGGAATCAGTGGCACGATCTTGGCTCACTGCAACCTCCACCTCCTGGGTTCAAGCAATTCTCCTGCCTCAGCTGCCCAAGTAGCTGCGACTACAGGCATGCGCCACCATGTCCGGCTAATTTTTGTACTTTTTTTTGAGACAGAGTTTCGTTCTTGTTGCCCAGGCTGGAGTGCAATGCCGCAATCTCGGCTCACTACAACCCCCACCTCCTGGGTTCAAGAGATTCTCCTGCCTCAGCCTCCCGAGTAGCTGGGATTACAGGCGCCCACTGCCACACCCCGCTAATTTTTGTATTTTTAGTAAAGATGGAGTTGCACCATGTTGGCCAGGCTGGTCTCAAACTCCTGACCTCAGGTGATCCACCCGCCTCAGCCTCCCATAGTGCTGGGATTACAGGCATGAGCCACCATGCCCGGCCCAATTTTTGTATTTTTAGTAGAGACACGGTTTCACCATATTGGCCAGGCTGGTCTCGAACTTCTGACCTCGGATCCACCCGCCTCAGCCTCCCAAAGTGCTGGGATTACAGGTTTGAGCCACTGCGCCTGGCCCTGTCAAGTATTCTTTGAGGACTGGGCACCAGGTCCTTGTGAAGCAGGTAGTGTGTGTTACCTATTGGACAAATGCCCAACAACCCCACAACACATGTTATTGTTGTTGAAGTGCTTGATTTACAGACAGGGAAACCGAGGCTAAAGAAGGTTAACGGACCTCATGTCTAAGACTGCAGAATGGGTGAGTCAGGATTTGAACCCACACCCATGTTTTCACTTTGTCTGTGCAGGAAGGGTATCTGGGCTGTGAGGGGGAGGAGGGTGCCCTTCTCATACCAACAAATAGCTCCGGTGGCCCTGGGGGGACTCCTTGGCCATCAGGGTCTCCGCCAGCGCCTCGTACAGCTCATCCAAAGGCTCCGTGTGGACAGCCTCGTGCTGGGGGCAGACAGAGTGAGAGCTTGTTTGCTTTTGTTCTAATCTGTAAAAATGGCCAGATGATTTTCACCAAGTTTGCAGGGGAGATTTGGGATGGAATGGTGTGATACCAGCCAGCTTGCATATAAAATATTCACTTTGTTGGGCGTGGTGGTGTGTGCTGAATAGCCCCAGCTACTCCAGAGGCTGACATGGTAGGACTGCTTGAGCCCAGGAGTTTGAGGACAGCCTGGGCAACAGAGATCTTGTCTCTAAAAAGAAATAATTCCACTTGGTAGGGAAACGTGGATGGGAGGGCCTTCAGCAAGAGGTGTTCAGAGGGTAGGGTTAGGTGTAGTCTAGGGCAGGAGACAAGGATTCCGTGAGAGCTGCCACATGACCATGACAGAGAGCTCTGTGTTTGGATCAAACACAGAGAGGAGGAAAACAAAAGGTGCTTTTAAGTGAGCCCAGGCAGAACTGTGAGGGCGGCCCATGCTGCAGGCTGTGGCTGTCAGCAGGCTGCTTCTCCACAGCTGGCCCAGTCCTAGGATTCACAGGGCAGCAGCAGGGTACACTGGGTGACTGCTGCCCTCTCGTGGTGGCACAGGGCAGACCTGCTGGTGACCAGAGATGCACCCTTTTGGGGAGAACTAGGGAGAAAGCAGGTATTGGAGAAGCAGGGGATTGTTTATTTGTTAAAAGTGTGGCCCTTTCACTCAGCAGGTCTGCTACTGCCTACTAAGGAATGGCCTCTCGACATCCTCATGTCAAACCCTGCATGTTCGGGCCCATCTTTAAAATCCATCCTAGGCCAGGTGCGGTGGCTCATGCCTGTAATCCCAGCACTTTGGGAGGCCGAGGCAGGCGGATCACCTGAGGTCAGGAGTTCGAGACGAGCCTGGCCAACATGGTGAAACTCTGTCTCTACTAAAAATACAAAAACTAACCAGACATGGTGGCATGTGCCTGTAGTCCCAGCTTCTTAGCAGGCTAGGCACGAGAACTGCTTGAACCCAGGAGGCAGAGGTTTCAGTGAGCTGAGATTGTGCCACGGTAATCCAGCCTGGGCAACACAGTGAGACTCTGTCTCAAAAAAATAAATAAATAAATAAATAAATAAGTAAAAAATAAAATCCATCCTATATCAGTCAGGAAAGAGCTCATTCCAGCAGGATCAATGCGGAGAATTCACCAGAGGAACTAGTTCCAAAGGTATGGCAAGAGCTAAAACTTCCAACAGGGGCCCGTGGGGCAACCCAGAGACGGACAAGAGCAGGAAACTCCAAACCCTTTGGTGGGCAGGACAGAGGGTGTGGGTGATGGTTCCAGTGCTGTGGGCTGGTCCAGCCTGGTAGGAATGAGAATCCATATGCTAGGAGCTGGGGCCCCAGAGAAGCAGCTGCTGTGGAAACCCCAGAGGGCAGACTCAGGGAGAGACGCTGGCCTCCCCTTATTCCCACCCTGCACTGTCTCCCATGGGTCACACACACCTGCAGCCAGTTGCCTGGGGAGGCCCCTGCCATGCCGGGGTTTGCAAAGCAGGCCCAGGGCCTGGGAAGGACGGGGTGTGCAGCACGCCGGTGGCTATGCTGTCCAGCTACTGGGCGGACACTGCCCATAACTGACCTTTTTGATGAGTTCTGAGAGAAAGCACCAGGCATACTTGACTGACGGCGGGTGCTTCACACACACAGGATGCCTCACAGTCTACGGCAAAGGACAGAACGTTGGTTGCTCGAGAGCCCATCTTAAGTCTCCTATGAGCTTCAAGCCAACACAGCAGAGGGCAAACTCCAGGCTACCTGATCCCTCAGCAAAGATGCAGATGGACACAGCGTTCTGGCCCCACGCATCTGAAGTTTGTCTTAAGATATAAGCCGTTTCCTAAAGATGCTTCCACTGCAGTGGCACAGGCTATGGCAGCATTTCTAACGCCCATTCTGAGCAGGAACACAGGGCATGTGGGCCCAAACCACCTCCCTCCCAGGGGAGCCAGTGTGAACCAGGGTTTGCAGTAAGGACAGTCACCAACTATCTGGCTTTATGGAAGAGGCGGGGAGGC
The DNA here is from genome assembly GCF_000001405.40 of Homo sapiens. NCBI lineage: Eukaryota > Metazoa > Chordata > Mammalia > Primates > Hominidae > Homo > Homo sapiens. The sequence goes on along the minus strand of NC_000008.11, from coordinate 8,232,438 downwards.
CCACTCAGCAACTGCTCTCTGGGAGCGTGTGTCCCTGGGGACAGGATGGAGGGGAGGGGACGCTCAGGGTGACTCCAGCTAAAGCCGAGAGAAGCCAAGTGCAGGATGAGCAAGTTCCAGGCAGTGGGAACAGCCTGTGCAAGCTCTGAGGTGGCCACGGGCTGGCACTTGGAAAGGAGGGCAGAGGGACTGGTGCAGCAGGAGGGGGGACGGCGGGAAAACAGGAGACTGGAGGGAGAGGGAGGAGACGGTCCGCAGCGCCTGCTGCCTGGGAGGGATGCAGATTCTGCCCAAGGGCAGCAAAGTACCCCACGCAACACACAGACTCTTCATGCTGGTGCTGCTTTTTCATTTGTTCTGACACAGAGTCTCGCTCTGTTGCCCAGGCTGGAGTGCAGTGGCCCGATCTTGGCTCACTGCAGCCTCCACCTCCTGGGTTCAAGCGATTCTCCTGCCTCAGCCTCCGGAGTAGCTGGGACTATAGGCGTGCACCACCACGCCCAGCTAATTTTTTTATTTTTAGTAGAGCTGGGTTTTTGCCATATTGGCTAGGCTGGTCTTGAACTCCTGACCTTAGGTGATCCGTCCATCTCAGCCTCCCAAAGACCTGGGATTACAGGTGTGAGCCAGTGCACCCAGCCTTGTGCTGGGTTTTAAAGCAGCTCTCCCTACATCTCATGCTTCACCACCTACGAGAGTGAGGCTCAGGGTGAAACTCAGAGCAAGGTGCGAGATAACTTCAGGTATCTCCATCCTCGAAGCCCTGACCTACTGTATTGCCCCGAAAGTCTTCCCTGCTGTGGCTGCATCTTTTCCACGTGGATAATCTTGGTTCACCTCTAGCACAGGAATTCTTCACCGGGGCTCCTAGGATGGGCTGGGTGGGTGGGCGTGGAGGATGTCTGCCTCCCCTGAGTTTGTATGGAAAATGTATTCTGGTGCACTTCTTTCTGGGAGGGAGTCTATTGCTTTGTCTTTTCAGAAGGGCTCATGGCCCTTCGAAGGTGAAGACCCAGGATGCAGGGTGATCTGCACTTGGCCCTCAAGGCCAAGGTCAGCCTGTGGCTGGGCCGCGTGGTGATCCTGGCTCTCACTTGCATGCAGATGCACTTGAGTCCAAACCCCACCCTGGGCAAAGCAAGGGCCCATTTAGGTCTAGAAGAGACAGGAGTGGGCGGGACAGGCCTCATGAATGCAAAAAAGAAAGTCTCTGAGCATCTACCAAATGCTAGAAGCTGTTTTGCACCTGTCATCTCTGTTTTTGCTGTGGATGGTTTAAAAAACATTCCCTAGATTTCCCCCCCTTGCAGATTTTTGTATATTCTGATGTCTTTGTCTAAGTCTTAGATAGAAAACGAAACCGTAGGAGCTGTCGGAGGTGCTGACACCCTCCTGAAGTGCTGACTCAATGGTTTTGTTCTTTGAAGAGGGCTGTTTTTAAAGGGTACAAGCACACCTCTGCTGCTTCTCTCAGGTCTTCCGGAGAGATTCAGGAGGCAGGATCATGAGTCCCAGGGACTCTGGGATTCTTACCTTCTGCAAAATATCCTGCAGCAGCTCAGAATCTGATGAGTCTCTTAACTTTGCCTCTAAGCTCTGTGTGGATGGGAGAGAGAGAAATCTCAAGGGCCCATTCACAGGAACATTAAACACGCAATAGAATGTGTTGGCAAAGCTCTATGTGATCCCTCCCTGGGGACGTGGAGCCAGTTGGAAGTGGAAGCCACAACAGCTAAAAGCCTGACCTTCAGATGTCGCAGGGTGCACCTGGATGAGTCACAGGAAGAAGGCTGACTCTTGGTCGCATTAGTCCTGGCTACTCAGCTGCCACCCAGGTCATGGGCCAGCTCCCTGGTTACACTGGTCAGCCAGGAATTACCAGGGCAGCCATGGCACCAAGGTTTGATGGGCTTGCCATCTGAGTTTAAGTGGAAATGCAGAATGTGCCCATACCAGCCTGGGTTACATTGTCCTCTTACAGGGGCCTCAAGCCCAGCAGTGAGCTTTGGCTCCCGAGTTAGGCAGACTGTCTCGGCTGGTATGTGACACATGGCAAGGCACTTCATTGCTTCAGAGCTCCTTCTATGCCATAAAAGGCCCTACAAGGCCTGCTGCTAATCCCCCTCTCTGGACTATTCTCCCTCATCCCTGGCCCACACTGCTCACTCCACTCCAGCCACACTGGCTACCTTGGTGTTTTTCCTCAACCACAGCTGGCTTGTTTCCACCACAGGGCCTTTGCATATCCTGTTCCCCAAACCCTTCCCATGGCTGGCTGCTTCACCACTCAGGCCCCAGTTCAAATGCCACCTCTTTGGGGAAGGCTTCCCTGATTCCCCGACTTTGGTGACTCTTCTCCCCAGTTGCTCCATTCACCATTCCCCTGTTTTCTTGGCTTTAAAGCCACTCTCATCTGGTCTTTTCTTGTTTATTCATTTATTTGTTTATTCTCTGTCTCTCCCATGCAAGCAGAGCCTCATCTATCATGGGTACTGCTGATCCATGGTGCTTGGCTCACAGAAGGCATTTATTAAACATTTTGAGACTGAGTAAAAACACTAGCTAACACCGACATACATTTACCATGAGCCAGGCACTGATCCACAGGCTTTTGTACTCAACGCTGACAACAACCCTAAGAGGTAGGTATCATTATATCAACCATTTTATGAATAAGAAAACAACAGCACAGAGAGATGCAGTCACTTGCCCAAGGTCACACAGGGCCAGGGGTTGGGCCAGGATTCGAAGCAGGCAGGCTGTCTCCTGGGTCTGAACTCTCAACTACTACACCCTAATCAAACAATCCCTCTGGTCAAATGTGAGTGATAATAATAGTACCCACCTCGTGGGTGTTGAGGGTGAGCCCAAGTTAGCATTCAGCGTGGGCATGTGAACAATTATAGTCAATATTGAATGGAGACCTATGATGCTTTTATGAAGGTTTCTATTTTGGGTTAAAAATGCATAAATTTCTCCTGACCAGAAATGATCTCTGAGTGCTAAATATTTTATATCAATGGAATAACGCAAATGATTAAGCAACACCCCATAAAATGGGGCAGACCCAGGGAGGAATATATATCCAAACTGACTCATCCCAGTGAGCTCACTGCACATGAATTACAAATGGAACGGGGTGCATTAAGCCCCTCTGCTGGCAGAAGGGAGGCTGCTGCCTGACATGTGCCTGTGCTGAGAATGGCAGGTCCCCAGGGAGAGGAGAGGCCAGCCCCTTCTCTATCTCTTCCATCACAGGCGTGAAAGCCTCAGCGCATGAGCTGATTCTATGTAGTGCTCGACATACAGATGAGAACACTGAGGCCCTAGGGACAGCCTTTGACCTGGTCACCGCGCTCAGGAGGAGGTGGTTACCCGCGGGCCTGAGGGCGCTGACTTTTTAGAATGGGCGAGGGCAGATGTGTCCCAGTGACCAGAACGATTACTGCCTTTAAAAAGTCATGAAAATGATCGTGAACTGTACCCCACACCGAGCGCGCGTCTGCACCCCAAGACTGTGGAGACGCCCCCAGCTTCCGCCGCCAGCTCGCGGGGCAGGATGGGTGAGAGCGACTCTGGCCAGGCCCCAGGGACGGGGACCGGGTCTCGCGGCCCTGACCAGGGAGAGCCCAGGAACTCACGTGGCAGGAGCGCCGGGGGTTTCAGCACGGAGACCCATCCCGTCTGCCCCTGGACTCCGCGAGCCCCGCGGGCCTCTCCGCTCGCCCCGCCGCCCACCTGCCAGGGGAAGGAGCGCAGTGTGCGCGCCACTAGGAAGCGGCTCTCAAAACCCTGCAGCAAGAGTTTGGTACCCGCGTTCTCCTCGGGCGTCATGATGTGGGCGGGGCCGCAGCGTTGCCAGGAGATCGGGCGGAAGCCGGGCCTGGATTGAAAAGGGAGCGGGCCCAGGGTAGTGCGCGGGGGCAGAGAGGGGGCGGGGCCTGGGGGCAGGGTCAGGAGGAGCGTCCTGGGGGCGGACTCTAGGGCGGGGCCAAGATGAGCTTATAGGAGGGCGGGGCCTGGGGTGGGGCCAGGATGAGCGTCATGAGGGCGAGGCCTGGGGTAGGGCCAGGATAAGCGTCGTTGGGGCAGGTGCTGGGTAGAGTCCAGGTTGGCGGGTCCTGGGGCGGGGTCAGCATAGGGCGATCCTGGAAGCTGGTCTTCGGAAGCGTCCAGGTTGGTCGCGTCCTGGAGGCGCTGCCTTGCGTGGGGGCAGGATAAGAGTCCTGGAGGCGGGCATTAGGGCGGGGATAAACGCCATTGGGTTCAGGAGGCGGGACTCGGAGCAGAGCCCAGGAGACAGGTCCTAGGGCGGGGCTAAGGCCAGACCCAGAGAAGGGCTCAGGAGGCGGGGCCGGGGCAGGGCGTTGACTATGTCGTACCACATGGCCAGGCGGTGCGCGGACTCTGGGAGGCGGAACTTAGGACGGGCCCACTTGGGGAGGGGTCCAGGGTCCGGGAGGCGGGGCCGAGTCCGGGCTGCAGGCTGCGCTCAGGAGGCGGGCCCTGGGAGGCGGAGCTTAGGGAGGGGCCGGTGTCGGGAGGGACCCAGGGACTGGGAGGCCGGTCGGGGCTGGGCTCAGGGGCCGAGACCTAGCTGGGCTTGGGGCGGGGCCGAGACGGAGCGAGGGGTCCAGGGCGTGGGAAACGGGGAGGGGTTTGAGGAGGGGATCGGAATGTGGCTCAAGTTCGGGAGGCGTTACCTGCGGAGGGTTTGAGGCAGGTCCAGGAGCGAGCCCACGGTCCGCCGACGCGGGACCAGGGGCGGGCCCCAGGATCCGGAGCTTCGGGCGGGGCCGAGTCCGGGTTTGGGGCCCGGAAGGCGGGGCCAGTTAGGGCGAGGGTCCCTGGGATCGTCAGGTCAGGCCTTGGGCTAACGTAGGCACTCTCGCAGTTCCTCCGCCTTCAGGAAAGTCTTTTTAGCAGGGGCCTTACGGGTTCGCGCTTTGGTCCTGGAGGCCTTATCCTAGCCTCCTCTGTATCAGCGCCACCAGTCTGGGGCCCGAAAGGAGGGAGCTTTCCCTCTGTCCCCCAGCCTTTGGACTGTCACCAAACAAGCCATTCGTTCACCAAATACTTATTAAGCGCCTACCATGTGCCTGACAAGGGAGATGTAACGGTGAGAAAAACTAGGTGTGGTCCATGTCCTCCAGGGGCTCAGGGGCTCGTGGAAGAAGTGGACATTGAAGTATTTATCACACAAATGAGTATAAAAGTACAATAGCGATATCTGCCACGAAGGTGAGCAGACAGAGCTAGCGGGGCTTGCAGGAGGAGTTTTGATCTTGCAGGGACAGGAAGGAGGAGTTAGCTCCTGCGGGGTGGGATTGGGGGTGGTGGTGATATAGACGTGGGGACAGACTGGAAAACAACAAAAATATAATTATTTTAGTTCAAAGTTATTGTGTCTTGAGTTGAAAGGCAGGACAGTTAGCAACACAGTTCAGATTTCAGTACTGCCCCTGAAATCTGAACTGTGTACAAAGTCTAAAACGTTTACCGTAGCAAATTCCTCATAAAACTCCATTTGGAAGAGTCCCGAGAGCTAATTTGTTAAGTATACTTGCAGAAGGTAGATGAGGAGACAGATAAAATCTTATTACCTCTTTCAGATGAGAGGCACTTGAGCCCTGCTCAGCTATGAGAATAAGAGAGGGGGAATTAATTCTAATTGAATACACTTGTTCTCTTATAGCTGTTGTTCCCCACCAGAACCAAATGAGCGCAAGATCTGACAAAGAAAAAAAGAAGTTCATCTTTTATTCCCCCAAACCCTTTCATTTAAATCAAGAGGGTGGGATGTGGTTATTGCTGTGTTTTTAGGCAGAATCAACGGTTTCTGGGTCTGAGAAGTTGCATACACACTCTCAGTCCCTGTATCCTGAGATGGAGTCACCTGAGGATCCACAGCAAGTCCTAACCAGGGATGGGTCTGGGTGATTAAGGAAGGTTGGCTTCAGAACTGGGCCAGAGGCACTGCTTTGCTTTTGCTGTTTTGATCAGCTCTGTGCCTGCATGAGACAAGGAAAATCAATGGGAACAGGTTAGTTATAAATCCTGGGCTTATTTTATTAACTCACATAATAGCTATTAATTGTCTTCCTCCAAGGAGAAAAAGGGCATATACGGTCAATGCCATAGTAAGTAACACTGTATTATGTTATACTAAAATATTAATCTAGGTTCGTTCAGTCTTTCCTGATTCCATAGATTGGAAGCGGATTGAAGAAGGACGCTAGTGGACCACAGACCTGAGCCATGCACACAGAAGAAATCTTTTTTTCTTTTTTTTTTTTTTTTTGGAGACGGAGTTTTGCTCTCTTGTTGCCCAGGCTGGAGTGCAATGGCGCGATCTCGGCTCACTGCAACCTCCACCTCCCAGGTTCAAGCGATTCTCCTGCCTCAGCCTCCTGAGTAGCTGGGATTACAGGCATGAGCCACTATGCCGGGCCACTTTTGTATTTTTAGTAGAGACAGGGTTTGAACACGTTGGCCAGGCTGGTCTCAAATTCCTGACCTCAGGTGATCCACCCGCCTCTGCCTCCCAAAGTGCTGGGATTACAGGCGTGACCCACCGCGCCTGGCCAGAAGAAATCTTTATCTTGGTGTGCAGTCTCCGGAGAGGGACAAATGTCATCTCTCTTGGATTTGAATCTGGAAGGATCAAGGCACTGAAGGGATTTTTTTGTTTCAGACAGTCTCCCTCTGTCGCCAGGCTGGAGTGCAGCGGCGCGATCTCAGCTCACGGCAACCTCTGCCTCCCGGGCTCAAGCGATCCTCCTGCCTCAGCCTCTCGAGTAGCTGGGACTACAGGCACGCGTCACCACGCCCAGCTAATTTTTGTATTTTTAGTAGAGACAGGGTTTTACCATGTTAGCCAGGATGGGCTCAATCTCTTGACATCATGATCCACCTGCCTTGGCCTCCCAAAGGGCTGGGATTACAGGCGTGAGCCACCACGCCCGGCCTCACTGAAGGGATTTTTTTAATGTCACGTGGCTCTCACAGGTGCGGTGTGTTTGGGTGCAAGTGAAGATTACGACTGACGCTTAAAAACAAACGTAAAATTCCAGGTGGTGTTGCTATGCGGAGCAGCATTAGGACAATCTGAGTGGTTTCAGTTGCAAGAGTGTGCGTGTACGTGCAAGTGCTACAGTCAAGATTCAACTTCTGGCTTTGAGGGTCTCTTTAATAACAGTAATAGCAACCTAAGTCAGTTTAAGAGTATGGAATGGTTGCCTTTTAGAAGTTAAGCTATGGGCATGGAAGTTCAATCAGTACTTTGAAGTTTTTCCTTTATCTCTCCTATGGTTAATGGTTTCTGCAGAAAAGGACCAATTGATTTCTTTCTAAAATGTTGCTTCAGGGTGTAGAGTCCTTTATAGGTCATGTGTCAACTTACAGAAAATTTTTATAGTTCAAATATAAATTACGTTCAATGTAGACTTTGTAATAGAATTTAAGGTTAAGTAAAGTTTCCACTTTCCTTAGGCTGTTTGCAGTGCCCAGCAGGCCCCATCATATCGAGGTGGAAGTTCTGTTAAAGGAGGAGATTGATCAGGGATGGGCAGAATAAGGAATATGCGCAGCTCAGGCTAATGATACAATGATTGAGATGTAGAAAGAGGGTCAGGCACGGGATAACGCCTGTAATCCCAGTGCTTTGGGAGGCCAAGGCAAGAGGATCGCTTGAGGTCAGACCAGCCTGGTCAACAGAGTGAGACCTAACCTGTACAAAAAAAAAAAAACAACACAAAAAAAACAAAAAAATTAGTTGGGCATGATGGTGTGCACCTGTAGTCTCAGACACTTGGAAGGCTGAGGTCAGGGGATCCCTTGAGCCCAGGAGTTTGAGGCTGCAGTGAGCTATAATCACATAACTGTACTCCAGCCTGGGTGACAGGGTGAGGCCCTGACTCAAAAAAAAATTGAGTCAGGGAAAAAATTTGAAATCTTAATCCTCAGTACCCAGGAATGTGACCTTATTTGGAAATGTGGTCTTTCTAAATGTAATCAAGTAACGATGAGTCATCCTGGATTGGGGGCTGCTGGTGAGGGGGCAGATGCAGTGACTGGTGTCCTTATAAAAGAAGAGAATGAGGGCTGGGGATGGTGGCTCATGCCTGTAATCTCAGCACACTTTGGGAGGGTGAGGTGGGGGGATCACTTGAAGTCAGGAGTTCGAGACCAGCCTGGCCAATAATAACAATAAAAAAGCCATTTTAGGTTCCAATCCACTGAAAGAAAACTGTCCCTTAGTTAATGTCATGTTTATTGGATCCATGAAGTCTTTGAAAATTTAAACTACATGGACACTGCTGTCTGTGGTGGTGGAGAGAATACCAAGGATTTAAAGGTCTTTAAGAAAGAGAATGTAGAAATCGTACCCATTGGAAACAGCAAGATGATGAAAATCGTACTGACAGTAATAATAAGCTCAAATATATAGAGCTTACTATGTATCATGAATTGCTCTGAATGCTTCATAAATATACGTTCCCTCCTTTACCCTCATGGCAGCCCAGTAAAGTCGCCATTCCCCATTTTACAGCTGGGGAAACTGAGTTACAGAGCTTTTCTGCACTGAGTCATCAGGAGCAAATGCTAGATCAGGTAATTGAACCCAAGCAATCTGGTTCCAGAGCCAAATAGATGTATTTTTTATGGTATAAAACATATACATACATTTTTAGGGGAAGGGTGGGGTAGGATGGGATGAGGATTCTGGGTAATTGCTTGGTAAATGCCAAATACCTTTCTTGTCTGTCCCTCTTTTCAAATGATAAAGTAATGTCAATTGCAGCACTTTTTTTTTTTTTTTTGAGACAAGGTCTAGCTGGAGTACAGTGATGCAGTCATAGCCCACTGCAGCCTCAAATTCCTGGGCTCAAGCGATCCACCCACATCAGCTTCCCAAGTAGTTGGGACTACAGGCCCACACTACTATGCCCAGCTAATTATTTTAATTTTTGTAGAGATGGCAGGTGGCTGTGTGGGGGTGTCTCTCTATGTTGCCCGGGCTGGTCTCGAACTCTTGACCTCAAGTGAACCTCCTGCCTCAGCCCCACAAAGCTCTGGAGTTATAGGTGTGAGCCACTGTGGCTGGCTACAATACTATTTATTTATATTTTGGACCAACAGATATTCTAGCATATAAGAAATGTGATGCTCTCTGTACACTGAAGAGTTGGTCTAATATTTGTCCTGGTGGATACAGAAATTGCCTGTCTGCTCCGCTCTGGGTGAAGAAACAAGTCCGACTGTCTCTGAGGCTATGGAGCAGTCCATCAAGAATGAAAGCCCTCTGCCAGGCACGTTGCCTCACACCTGTAATACCAGCACTTTGGGAGGCCGAGGCAGGTGGATCACTTGAAGTCAGGAGTTCGACACCAGCATGGCCAACATGGTGAAACCTTGTTTCTACAAAAAATAGAAAAATTAGCTGGGCCGGGTGATACATGTCTGTAATCCCAGCTACTCAGGAGTCTGAGGCAGGAGAATCACTTGAACTTGGGAGGCAGAGGTTGCAGTGGGGAGCTGAGATCACACCACTGCATTCCGGCCTGGGCGACAGAGCGAGACTCTCTCAAGAAAAAAAAAAAAAGAATGAATATCCTCATGATGGCCTCAAGCACATTGGTCCCTGAAGAGAGTCAAGGAAGGCCCACTTTACTCTGCACTGCAAAGCAGGCAGGTGGACAGGAATCTGATAAGTGGATTCCGTGAGAGGCATTGACCCAAAGGATTTTCTCCCTAATGGTCAGTTCAGCAGAATATTAAACTCAGCACAGCATCCTGTTCCCTGAAACCATCTGTTTTGTCAGTGGGGAATGTTCTTGTCTCGTTAAATGTCCTCATGCTACTGTCAAGATATCCTGTTACAAAATGTCATAAACCAGGTTTACAAATAGGCCAGGTGATTGTGGAATTTCTCCTTGGCAAGGCCTTAGCTACGGGCGTGCGATTGGGGTGCAATAATCACTGTGTTCCGGGCCACTTGAGGGATAAAATATACCTTAGGTGATAAACTGTTGTATTTTAATGTGAATATTTCCACCAACATTAGACAGTAACCTCATGAGTTTTCTGTTACACTGTGGAGTTGCAACAAGCTAACAAGCAAGTTGCAAACATAATGATCGCATTTGGCTCCTATTCACAGCAAGGGTTCTTCAAGCTGTACCTGGGACAGTCTTCCCTCACATGAGGTTTATAGCATCACTTATTTCATTATTTATTTATTTTTTGAGACAGTGTTTTGCTCTGTCGCCCAGGCTGGAGAGCAATGGCGCGATCTTGGCTCACTGCAACCTCCGCCCCCCCGGGGTTCAAGCGATTCTCCTGTCTCAGCCTCCCGAGTAGCTGGGATTATAGGCACCCGGCACCACACCTGGCTAATTTTTGTATTTTTAGTAGAGACGGGGTTTCACCATGTTGACCGGGCTGGTCTCAAACTCCTGACTTCAGGTGATCCACCTGCCTCAGCCTCCCAAAGTGTTGGGATTACTGGTGTGAGCCACAGCGCCCGGCTATAGCATCATTTAAACTGTGTTTCTGCCATGAATTGTTAGTTGGTAGTTAACAAAAAATAGACCACCTCATTTATGTCTCACAGTTAGCATTGGTTTTTGTGTTTTCTTTAGGCTCGTTTTTTAATTGTTTTTAAAATTGTGCAACAGGGTCTTGTTCTGTTGCTGAGGCCAGAGTGCAGTGACACAATCTTGGCTCGCTGCAGCCTCAACCTCCTGGGCTCAAGCAATCCTCCCACTTTAGCCTCCTGAGTAGCTGGGACTACAAACACGAGCCACCACCGCTGGCTAATTTTTAATTTTTAATTTTTTTTTTTGAAATGGAGTTTCACTCTGTCGCCCAGCAGGTTGGAGTGCAGTGGCGTAATCTCGGCTTACTGTAACCTCCACCTCTCGGGTTCAAGCGATTCTTCTGCCTCAGCCTCGGCACCCACCACCATGCCTGGCTAATTTTTAAAAAACATTTTTAGTAGCGACAGGGTTTCACCATGTTGGCCAGTCTGCTCTTGAACTCCTGACCTCAAGTGATCCACCTACCTCAGCCTCCCAAATTGCTGGGATTACAGGCGTGAGCCACCACGCCAAGCCTAAGTTTTAAATTTTTTGTAGAGACCAGGTTTTGCCATGTTGTCTAGGCTGGTCTTGAACTCCTGGGCTCAAGTGATCCTCCTGCCTTGGCCTCTCAAAATGCTAGGATTACAGGCATGGCCCTTATGTCTGGCCCTTAAAGCTGCTTTTTAATAACAGCTTTATTGAAAGATAATTCATATACCATACAATTTACCCATTTAAAGTGTATGATTTGGCCGGGCATGGTGGCTCACACTTGCAATCCCAGCACTTTGGGAGGCTGAGGTGGGAGGATCGCTTGAACCCAAGAGTTTGAGATGAACCCCTAGCAACATGGCAAAACCCTGTCTCGACCAAAAATACAAAAAATTAGCTGGGCATGGTGTGTGTGTCTGTAGTCCCAGCTACTCAGGAGGCTGAAGTGGGAGGATGGTTTGAGCCCGGGAGGTGGGTGGTGGAGTGAGTTGAGATTGCACCACTGCACTCCAGCCTGGGCAACAGAGCCAGAACCTGTCTCTAAATAAATAAATAAAGTGTAAAATTCAGTGGTTTTTAATATATTCACAGAGTTCTGCAGCCATCATCACCATCAATTTTAGAAATTTTAATTACCCCAGAAGAAACCCTGTATCCATTAGCAGTCACCCCTTATTTCCCCCGACTATCCCCACCCCTGGCTCCTGGCAACCATTAATCTACTTTCTGTTTCTTTGGATTTTCATATTCTGGGCATATATATATATATACATATATATATATATATGTATATATAATCTAATATTTGTCTGGCTTCTCTCACTTAGCCTAACGGTTTCAAGGTGTATCCAGGTTGTAGCATGAATCAGCCCTTCATTCCATATTGTGGCTGATTAATGTTCCATCACACGGGTGGACTGTACTTGTTTGCTTATTCATCTGTTGTTGATGGGCATTTGCGTTGTTGCCACCTTTTGATAATTATGAATAGTTTTGCTACGAGCATCTGTGTGTGTCTTTGTATGAACAGACTTGCATATTTTTTGATATGGGCAAATGAGAACCAGCGGCGGGGGGCCTCTGTGGTGACTTTTTTGGTGATCTTTGTGTACTCTGTATAATGATCAGCCACTCAGGCTTGGGGGCAGCACTTAACCTTGCATTTCTTTCTTTTTTTTAAGATAGAGTCTCTCTCTCTGCCACCCAGGCCAGAGTGCAGTTGACGCAGGGCAGGGGAGCCCCGAAGTGGAGCATAGTGTGTCCGGAACTGGTGGGTTCTTGGTCTCCCTGACTTCAAGAATGAAGCCACGGACCCTCGGGGTGAGTGTCACAGTTCTTAAAGGCGGCGTGTCTGGAGTTTGTTCCTTCTGATTCTCGGATGTGTACAGAGTTTCTTCCTTCTGGTGTGTTTGTGGTCTCGCTGGCTTCAGGAGTGAAGCTGCAGACCTTCAAGGTGAGTGTTAAAGCTCTTAAGGCGGCGCGTCTGGAGTTGTTTGTTCCTCCCGGTGGGTTCATAGTCTCGCTGGCTTCAGGAGTGAAGCTGCAGACCTTCGAAGTGAGTGTTACCGCTCATAAAGGCAATGTGGACCCAAAGAGTAAGCAGCAGAAAGATTTATTGCAAAGAGCAAAAGAACAAAGCTTCCACAATGTGGAAAGGGACCCCAGTGTGTTGCCACTGCTGGCTGGGGCAGCCTGCTTTTATTCCCTTATCTGGCCCCACCCACATCCTGCTGATTGTTCCATTTTACAGAGAGCCGATTGGTCTGTTTTACAGAGAGCTGAATGGTCTGTTTTGACAGGGTGCTGATTGGTGCATTTACAATCCTTGAGCTAGACACAAAAGTTCTCCAAGTCCCTACTAGATTAGCTAGACACAGAGTGTCAATTGGTGCATTCACAAACCCTGAGCTAGACACAGAGTGCTGATTGGTGTGTTTACAAACCTTGAGCTAGATACAGAGTGTCGATTGGTGTATTTACAATCCCTTAGCTAGACATAAAGGTTCTCAAAGTCCCCACCAGACTCAGGAACCCAGCTGGCTTCACCAAGTGGGTCCCACACGGGGGTCGCAGGTGGAGCTGCCTGCCAGTCCCGCACCCTGTGCTGGCATTCCTCAGCCCTTGGGTGGTCGATGGAACTGGGCGCCCTGGAGCAGGGGGTGGTGCCCATTGGGGAGGCTCGGCACTCATCAGGGAGGCTCAGGCCGCGAAGGAGCCCATGGAGGGTTGGGTGGAGGCTCAGGCATGGCGGGCTGCATGTCCCGAGCCCTGCCCTGCAGGGAAGCAGCTAAGGCCCAGTGAGAAATTGAGCAAAGCAGCTGCTGGCCCAGGTGCTAAGCCCCTCACTGCCTGGGTCCAGCGGGGCTGGCAGGCCAGTCTGAGTGCCGGGCCCAGTGAGCCCATGCCCACCCGGAACTCACGCTGGCCCGCAAGCGCCACGCCCAGCCCCAGTTCCTGCCCGCGCCTCTCCCTCTACACCTCCCCGCAAGCTGAGGGAGCAGGCTCCAGCCTCGGCCAGCCCAGGAAGGGGCTCCCACAGTGCAGCGGTGCACTGAAGGGCTCCACAAGTGCCACCAACGTGGGAGCCCAGGCAGAGGAGGGGCCGAGAGTGAGCTCGAGGGCTGACACCGTGCTGTCACCTCTCAGTAGCACGTGAGGGTTCTTGCCTTTACCCAGGAAAGAATTCAAGGGCAAGCCGGAGGTATAGAAGAAAACAGTTTTATTGAAGAGGCAGCATTACAGCCCTGTGACTGCTCCTGTAGGGCAGGGTTACCCTGGAGGCAGAGAGTAGCGGCAGAGAGTTTGCAATCACATTTATACCCACTTTTAATTGCATGCAGATTAAAGGGCAGTTTATGCAGGAATTTCTAGAAAATGGGTAGTAACTTTTGAGTCATTGGGTCATTGCCATGGAAAGGGGCAGTAACTCCCGGGTGTTACCTTGGCAATAGTAAACTCACATGGCACACTGGTGGGCATGTCTGATGGAAAGCTTCTTCTGCCCCAGCCCTGTTTTAGGTAGTCCTTAATTTGGTCTGGTGTCTAAGCCCTGCCTGTGGAGTCAAGTCCTGCCTCCTATCTCACAGTGGCATGATCATGGCTCACTGCAGACTCAACACCCCCGGGATCAAGCAGTTCTCCCACCTCAGCCTCCTGAGTTGCTGGGACCACAGGCACGTGCCACTACACTCAGACACATTTTTTGCATTTTTTGTAGAGATGGTGTTTCACTGTGTTGCCTAGGCTGGTCTCAAACTCGTGGGCTCAAGCAATCTACCTACCTTAGCCTTCTAAAGTGCTGGGATTACAGGTGTGAGCCACTGCACCCAGCCCAACCTTACATTTTTAATCTCAAGTCACTTCTCTCTAGGTTTTGATTTCTTCTTTAAAGTGGTGGAAATAAGAGCATCTATTTTATAGGGTTGTTGGGAAGAAAAAAATGAAAGAACTGCTATTCAATGTTTAGTGAAGCTCTATGCACGATTTTGAATAATGAAGTTGGTGTTTATTTTTTATTATTTGTTTATTTATTTTTTAGAGACGGGGTCTTGCTCTGTTGCTCAAGCTGGAGTGTAGTAGTGCAACCACAGCTTAGTGCAGCCTTGACCTCCTGGGCTCAAGAAATCCTGCCACCTCAGCCTCCTGAGTAGCTGGGACTACAGGCATGCATCGCCATGTCTGGCTATTTATTTATTTGTTTGTTTTTTGTAGAGATGGGGTCTCCCTGTGTTGCCCGGGCTGGTCTTGAACTCCTGGCCTTAAGCAATCCTCCTGTCTTAGCCTCCAAAAACACTGAGATTACAAGTGTGAACAACCATGGCCAGCCTTATTTTTATTTTTAATCAGCCTTATCAAGTTGAATTGGTCATTAATCTTGTATAACAGTAATTTGGGGCAGCATTGGTTGGGCGGAGGGTGGGAAACATTTAGGACCCTGTGGGCTACAACTCGTAGTGTGTGCACTTATTTTATTTTGTTTTGTTATATTATATCATATTATATTATATTATATTATATTACATTACATTACATTACATTATATTATATTATATTATATTATATTATATTTTTTTGAGACAGGGTCTCACTCTGTTGCCCAGACTGGAGTGCAGTAGCATGATCTTGGTTCACTGCAACCTCTGCCTCCCAGCTTCAAGCGATTCTCCTGCCTCAGCCTCCAGAGTAGCTGGAACTACAGATGTGCACCACCACGCCCAGCTAATTTTTGTATTTTTAGTAGAGATGGGGTTTCACCATGTTGGCCAGGCTGGTTTCAAACTCCTGACCTCAGGTGATACACCTGCCTCAGCCTCCCAAAGTGCTGGGATTATACGCGTGAGCCACCGTGCCCGGCTGTGCGCTTATGTTTGATTTTTGCAGAACCACCCTTCCCTAATGGTTGTCTCCTAGATCCAAGGTGACTTTATTCATTTTAGAATGAACTTACCCCTTTGATACTGTAACCAGAGTTGGCATACATCACGATTGGCAGAACCCGGTCATGTTTAGCCATATGGAAGTGTTCTGGAAACTCCTCCTTCTTGTAGATGTGGAGGTGAGGGTACGCATTCTTCAGTGCCTGGTAAAGGGCTTCCTCTTGCCCCAATTTGGGCAGGGGCATCCCAAAGCCACCGTAGCCCACGATATCAAACTTGACTAAGTCCCTGAACTTGATGTAGTTGGACAAGGGATCTTGTTGACATTGGGTCTCTTCTTCACGGTGGTCATCCCACGGTCTCATGTGATGATGACGCTGAGGTGCTCTGTAGGCTGTGCTTCTCAGTGGCTCCCACCAGATACCCGATGGCGCTGTCGATTTGCTGAATCATCAACTTCCTGTTCTCTGCCTCTGGCCCGAATCGGTGTCCCACGTTATCTGGCTCTCTGTAGCACAGAGCCACAAAGTCAAAGTCTTCCTTGGTGAACCAGTTCATGACGGTATCGATGTTCTCCCTCCGCTCTGTCTCGCTGCTCTTTGGGTGAGTGTAGGACTCCACCAGGGACCGCTTGACAGCCTCACCCTCGTATTTAACACCTCCCTTGGAATAGTGGAATGATGCCACTTTGTTCCCCTTCAACTACAAGAAGAAAATTCCATCGGGGCCATTTCTCATACCTTTCTCACAATCAGCAAAGCTCAAGTTGTCTACATCTGTGCCCCAGTCCAAAGGCATAGGAAATATGTGGTCTTTGGAGTCAGACAGGATGGAGTTAGATTCTGGGCTTCCCCAGGATCTCATAGCATCTACAACACTGTTAGTTACAAGATGTGCTATTATTTTATGGGCTACTAAGCAGAAAAATGCTGCCAACGAGACTGTGACATTCTAGTGATTGTAAGGTGTATTCCAACTTCAGAGATGGCAAAATGAAAAATAGTTCCTTAGAATAGAAGGAGACGGTAATTTCTGAGTTGTTGGTGGTGAATTTGTGCATGTGTGTTTTATATATATATATATACACACACATATACACATGTACATGTATACATATGCATATATATACATATATAATATACATGTGTATATATAAACATACATATATACATAAATATGTTTACATAGTGGTGCAGGGGTACTATCATAGCTCATTGCACCCTTGAACTTCTGGGCTTAAGTGATCCTGCTACCTCAGCTTCTTGAGCAGCTGGGGCACAGGCATGTACCACCACACCTGTTTTTTTTTTGTTTTTTTTTTTTTTTTGAGACACGGTGTCACTCTGTCACTTAGGTTGGAGTGCAGTGGCACAATCTCAGCTCACTGCAAACTCTGACTCCTGGGTTCAAGCAATCCTCGTGCCTCAGCCTCCTAAGTAGTTGGGATTATAGACATGTACCACTATGCCCAGCTAAGTTTTGTATTTTTAGTTGAGATAGAGTTTTGTCGTGTTGGTCAGGCTGGTTTCGAATCCCTGGGCTGAAGTGATCCACTTGCCTTGGCCTCCCAAAGTGCTGGGATTACATGTGTGAGCCACGGCGCCTTGCCCTAATTTTTTTTTTTTTTAATATTTGTAGAGATGAGGTCTCACTAATTTGCCCAGGCTGGTCCTGAACTCCTGGGTTCAAGTAATTCTCCTGCCTCAGCCTCTCAAAGTGCTGGGGTTACAGGCATGAGACACCATGCCCGGCTGGTGGTGAGTTTTAAGATGTCCCAGTGTCTCAACCTGTAGAATGCCAAAAAGTAGATGGCATCTTTGTGAGGATTAAGCAGGCTAGCTTTTTATTTTTTTATTATTATTATTTTTTTTTTGGAGACAGAATTTCTCTCGTCACCCATGCTGGAGTGCAATGGCGTGATCTTGGCTCACTGCAACCTCCGCCTCCTGGATTCAAGTGGTTCTCCTGCCTCAGCCTTCCAAGTAGCAGGGATTACAAAGCCAGCTAGCTTTAAGATACGGTGTTAGGCATCACATTTTGGCATGGAGCAGGCACTCTTTTCTTTGCCCCCAGGTGGGACTAAGCCACCACAAGCCTTCCCTGGTGTGTGCAGTGGGTGATGAATGCTTGCCTGCTCAGCACCCACTTCCTGGTGGGCTGGGTCACATTACTATGACTCCCCCTTGAGCTTCAGTCCGCGCCTGGTTCGAGATTATTGGCTCAACCCGGGGACCCAGAGGTAGGATGTAGCTCTGGCCTGGCCAGAGGACCGAGGATGCTGCATGCCATGGCTACAGCTACTGGTTCAGCTTTGGGCTCATGTCCTAGTCAGAGCCAATGAGATGTAATCTTGGGATATCTGCTGGGCTGTTGGGAAGGGGACAGGCTGCCCTGCACATCCCCATTCCTGATGCTGAGGGATCTGAGAAAATCACTTGTAAAATTTGGGGGTGTTTGGAAGAAGGGGAGATTGATGTCTCTTTCTCTCTACAGACATCTGATCAGCTACAGAGCTTGACTAACCTACCCAGAGGCAGAATGATATGGTGGTTAAAAGTGTGCTCTGGGCCGAGATTTTGCCACTGCACTTCAGCCTGGGTGACAGAGTGAGACTCCATCTCAAAAAAAAAAAAAAAAAAAAAATCTGCTCTGGGCTGGACGCGGGGGCTCACAACTGTAATATCAGCACTTTGGGAGGCTGAGGCAGGAGGATCGCTTGAAGTCAGGAGTTTGGAATCAGACCCTATCTCTAGAAAAATGTTTTTTAAAAATTAGCTGGGTTGGTGGTGAATGCCTCTAGTCCCAGCTACTCGGGAGGCTGAGGCGGGAAGATTGCTGGAGCTTGGGAGTTCAAGCCTGCACTGAGCTGTGATCAGGCCACTGCACTCCAATTTGAGGGACAGAGAGAGACCCCATCTCTCTGAACAACAAAAATGTGTGCTCTGGTGCCACACTGCCTGGTTAGATCCTTTGTCCACCACTTAGATGCATGTTATATAAATGCTCTCCTCAGTTTCCTCGTCTGTAACTTGGGGATGGTAATGCTGCCCCAAGAAGTGGTTATGGGGACTAAATGCATGTGGGCATATTGGTTAGTATTCAACCAGCTTGATTTTTCCTGGAGAGGGAGAAAGAGCATGCAGTGAGGTGGCATGGTCAGGTGCATTGGGACAAGGATTATTTCCTCTGGCTTCTGCCTCCTGGGAGGTATAAGGACGGATCTGAAATCTGTCTGCAGACCCCAGAGTTGGGGACTGCAGAGGGAAATTGAGATCAGGGACCCTAGTCTGGCAGAAATGAGTGCAGCATGGGGCATTGGGTTCCTTCCATCAGAGGCATGGGGTGTGTTGCAGACAGTCATGAAATGTGGCTGAATCTTGCAAGGGACCCGTGGTCCCATGGTTGCTGCTTGAGACAAAGACCCCGGTCAGTGGAACCTGGTGACCTTCACCCTTCTGTGTCAGGCTGCAGACAGCAGGAGATGGCAGCAGATTACACCCAACAGGAAAAGGGCCATTGCCACCCCACAGGTTGCCATAGAAGGAGATGACATCTCTCCCTCTCCTCCTCCAGCAGTGTCAGCTGGGGAAGTGGTGGGTGGATGTGCACAAAAGAGTAGACCACAGACCATGCTCCTTCTCCTCCGGTCTGCTGGGGCCCCAAGAGAGTCTGCAGCCCTTGGCCAAGGACCGGCTGACACAGGGGAACAAAAGACCTGAGGCTGGGATAACATGGTGGTGCAGTTCATCCTCTGGAGCTCCCTGTGAGATCAGACTGGAGCCAGTCTCCAGCTGAGACCACATCTCACTTAGCTCCTTCCCTGCCATATCCTGTTTTCCTTACTCCTATCTCCTGAGACTTCTTCCTGAATGAATTACATGCACTCAATCCCTGCCTCAGTCTCTGCTTTTAGGGAACTTGACCTAAGACAGAAATCTTAGTACCAAATACTTTGCAAGGCCTCAGAAGCTCTGCTATCCACAAGCAGGTGAGATATTACCTTCCCTACAACCTGGCAGTCATAGTCTATGATGCGATTCAGCTTTATGGAAGTGCTTCTCTAAAGAACTTCCCCCAATTTAAGACGATCTTAATTTGCTTACTTGTTTACTGTCCATTTAGCTGCTCTAAAATGTGAGCTCCAAATCAGGGGCCGTGTCTGGTTGGTTACTCATTTCCTGAGACCTGGAATGGGCCTAGCTCAGAGAAGGTGCTCACTATTGATGGAATGCATGTTGAAAGAATGCATGAATCTCATGTCTTTTTGTGGGTGAAAAACTCATCCTATTCTCACCCTGATTAACTTTATTTATTTATTTATTTATTTTTTTTTCAAAATGGAGCCATGATCTGTCACCCAGGCTGGAGTGCAATGGTGTGATCTCAGCTAGCTGAAACCTCTGCCTTCTGGATTAAACCAATTCTCCTGCCTCAGCCTCCTGGGTAGCTGGGATTACAGGTGTATACCACAACGCCCGGCTAATTTTTTTATTTTTAATAGAGACAGGGTTTCACCATGTTGGCCAGGCTGGTCTCGAACTCCTGACCTCGTGATCCGCCCTCTTTGGCCTCCCAAAGTCCTGGGATTACAGGCATGAGCCACCATACCCAGCCACTCTTGATTAACTTAATGGAAATATTTACAGAGATTCTTTCTCTTCTGGGTTCTAACGTCTTATCTGTAACCTCTGCAGGTAATACATTTTCCTTCCTGATGATAGCATTTCTATGGTTGCTTTCACTTGCAAATCCTCTAATACTTATTTATTCCATTTCTGATTGGCATTAGACATAATTCTCAATTTTTAGTGACAGCACTTCGTTTAACTTACATATAAATCGACTTTGCCTTGAAATGTGACATTGACTAGAAGGATGAAACTTCTAACATGCTGTAGAACATAGTTTGACTGGCTAACTTATTATTTAGAAGAAGCTAATATTGCCATTATGAGGGACTTAGGTGACTCTGAAGAACCAGTTGCATTTGTAATGTTTGCAATGTTAAATCACAGATATTGCCAACGTGAAATAGTTTCCATATGCTGTGTTCTCAATACACACCTTTTCCAAAGATATCCCAAGCTGTAGTCTTAGAAGACTGTGATTTTTCTTATTTGTTCTCACAGGAATTTGGGGAGCTATGCGGGATCTCCATAAAATGAGCTCCAGAAAGACACGTGTGCACACACACACACTCACACATGTCCCACACCGCACTTGACTCTGTTTATTTGGGACCCATGATTATCAGAAGTGCTATTTTTAACAAATACTTCTGAGAAATAATCTGAACACTTAATTGGATGCAAAAGAGTGGCTATTTACTCTTCTACCCTTTAATTAGCATAATCAGTGTTTCCAGCAGCAAAAGCAATTGGAAAATCGCTTGTTTTGTTAGGTTCATTCTTCTCCCTTAGCGTAGTGTGGCATCAGCATGGTTATTATTCTTAAATTGCCTCTTTAAAACAAGAGCTGGTGCTTCTTACAGGCAATTCCTAACTCTTGGGTTTTGTAGAGGGTCCAAAACTCTTTAGAACCTATAATTCAAGGAAAGGCTCCACTTTGGTTTTGCATTTTGTCTGGTCTCTTTGGGTGACAGAATTTATGTCACAAGGTGCACATGTTTTGGGGAGGCTCATGGACAGCCCATCGCTCTTGTGCTTTGGTAGGAAATATGTGCAGTTATGGGGAAGGAGTTAGTTACTCATCTAGGGAACAATTGGGTAGAAAGAGATGGACTCCCTGTATTTGAAATTCAGAACTCAAGCTTGGCTCTAAGTGTTTCCTTGCTTTGCTGTGCTCCACGGGAGGCACTGAGCAGAAGGAAGCGAGTTGCCTGAGATTCCTCAAAGCCCGCAGCCCTTTTGGAGGTTACATTGTTATTCTCAGAGCCTTTATGATACATAATAAAGACCTAGCTTGGACCAACATTAGGATGAGTTATCTTGCTATTAACATTCTTTCAGGTAGAAGTTGCTTTTAGGTAGAAGTTGGTCCCATCTTGCTCACAATCCTCCAAAGCTTGGAAGTTACTTTCCAGGAGACTTAGCTTGCACTGAGAGCCGCCCTCCCACCCTCTCTCCAAATTTCCTCTTGGGAGTAGCCTAACAAGGTGCTGTCCCAGACCCTTGCCAGCCACGATGACCCCACCCAGACCATCCCTCTGCTGTTTCACTCTTTGATATTCTCTGGAGCTCTCTGGGGAGGGGTGAGACCTGCTGTCTGGTTTGTACGGTTTGCCCAAGTCTTACAGTCATGGCTGGCTGCCTCTCTCTGAGAACTGGGACTCCTGAACTTGGTGAAATGCCTCAGCCATTGATCATGTGAAATTATCGGTGACACTCATTTAAAATCCGAGTCTGCTCCAGATGGACTCTGACTCTTTCTGCCCTGACTATGAGAGAGAGAGATCGTGAGAGACAGAGACCATGAGAAAGACCGTGAGAGAGAGACACAGAGCTAGAGAGAGAGACCGTGTCCTGACCTGCTGGACAGTGGAGATGCTTGTGGGCTGTGAGCAAGGGATGCAAAGGCTGCCGGGAATCCCATCTTTCCAGCATCATCTGCCAAGGCACATCAGTTCCTGAGTGTCTTGATGGGTTCTGGCAGCATTACTGTCATTGAAGGAAAACATTTTAGCCATATTAAAGGTGAATGCAGCAAGCTACACACAGGCTGCCTGGAAGGGACGCGGGACAAGGGTGGGTTTTCCCTGTGATGGACAGGAGGCAGGCGGCCCTCCCACAGCCCTGCCTGGCAAAGCAGATGTGTCCCAAAAAGGCAATGGGGGCAGCTGGAGTGCTGTGCGGAGGCGGGCTCACCCGGGCCCTGGGTTCGCTCTGATTGCAGCGGTTTCCCGCCAGCTCCTTGGAGAGCTGGCAGATGACCCAGCCCCACAGCAGGAGCTGTGAATGGCAGAACGAGATACAACAATTTGATATCCACTTGCCAGATGAGCCGGGTGTCGTCAGTCGCCTGGCCCTGCGCCAACCTCTTTTTGCACAAACACTTATGAATTCAGCCAGGAGGAAAAGCACTCTGATTATGAATTGAGCAGAAGGAAACAAAGTTCTGCGGATAAACACCAATGAGACAAAAAACCACGAATAAGAAAAATGACAGAAAAGGAGAACCTTCCCAGAAGCCTCCTGCCAGTGAACAGCCACCGTAGCAAGAGCTTGGAGGCCCTGGGTTTTGAACTGTGAGATAAGGAAGATGATGAAAACCTCCCTAGCAGCCAGGCAAGCACAAGATTCCTGTAAAATCCAGGTCTAAGTGTTTTAACCACAGAAGTAATATTATGTCATAGGTGAGAGCTGTGAGTTGCTGAACCCAAAGTGAGTTCAAATCCGAGCTCTGCCTCCTGCTACCTGTGTGTCCTTGAGAAGTTCCAGCACTGCTTTGTGCCTCAGTTTTGTCATCTGTTAAATGGGCATAATCACAGCTCGTGCCTCAGAGTTGTTGTAAATTAATACATGTAAAGCACTGAAATCAGCCTGGTATACAGTTAGTGTTATGAACGTTATTTTCTTGGAAGGACAGAACTTATTTTCATGGTCTAAGCCTGAAAGTCTAAAAAATGTGAGAGAAGAGGAAAGAATCTAGAGTCTCACCATGAGGGAGAAAAGTCAACTTGAAGCAGGACAGGGTCATTGACAATTTCCTGTGATTCTACAGCTGCCTTGTACACTATGGTAGCTCCTGTCCACTTACTGTTTAGATTTTGTGATTTAGAAATGAATTAAGGGTGGGCATGGTGGCACACCTGTAATGCCAGCATTTTGGGAGGCCAAGTTGGGCAGATCACCTGAGGTCAGGCGTTCAAGATCAGCCTGGCCAACATGGTGAAATCTCGTCTCTACAAAAATACAAAAATTAGCCGGGCATGATGGCGGGTTCCTGTAATCCTGGCTACTCAGGAGGCTGAGGCAGGAGAATTGCTTGAACCTGGGAGATGAAGGTTGCAGTGAGACGAGATTGCACCACTGCACTCCAGCCTGGAGGATAGAGTGAGACTCTGTCTGAAAAAAAAAAAAAAAAAAAAAAAATTAGTTAAGAGAAAATTGAAAATTCAGTTCTTCATTCTCCCCAGCCACATTTCAAGGGCTCAAAAGCCCATGTGGGCGGCTAGCAGCTCCCA
The DNA here is from genome assembly GCF_000001405.40 of Homo sapiens. Taxonomy (NCBI): domain Eukaryota; kingdom Metazoa; phylum Chordata; class Mammalia; order Primates; family Hominidae; genus Homo; species Homo sapiens. Next base: position 8,208,844 of record NC_000008.11, on the reverse strand, counting down.
TGTTGGACAGTGCAGAGTAGAGCAAGCCTGCCATTGCAGAATGTTTGATTGGACCATGACTGAATAGTCTATTGCAGTGGTCCCCAATTTTTTTTTAGCACCAAGGACCAGTTTCCGTGTACTTGTTGGGGGGAAGTTTCAGGATGATTCAAGTGCATTACATTTATTGTGTACTTTATTTCTATTGTTATGAACATTATAATATATAATGAAATCATTATACCACTCACCATAATGTAGAATCAGTGAGAGCCCTGAGCTTGTTTTCCTGCAACTAGATAATCCCATCTCCGGGTGGTGGGAGACAGTGACAGATCATCAGGTGTTAGATTCTCATAAGGAGCACACAACCTAGATCCCTTCCACATGCAGATCACAATAGGGTTGGTGCTCCTATCAGAATCTAATGCCACTGCTGATCTGACAGGAGACAGAGCTCAGGCGGTAACGCTAGCCATGGGGAGCAGCTGTAAATACAGATGAAGCTTCACTCATTAGCTCACTGCTCACCTCCTTCTGTGCAGCCCAGTTCCTAACAGGCCACAGACCGCTACTGGTCTGTGGTCTGGGGGATGGGGACCTCTGGTCTATTGGATAACACTAGCTTTGAGGGTACTGATCAGCCAAAGAAGCACTGAGATGATTTGTCCTCCATTAATAAGAATGATGGACTTTTTTTTTTTTTTTTGAGACAGAGTTTTGCTCTTGTTGCCCATGCTGGAGTGCAGTGGCACCATCTCGGCTCACTGCAACCTCTGCCTCCCAGGTTCAAGAGATTCTCATGCCTCAGCCTCCCAAGTAGTTGAGATTATAGGTGCCTGCCACCATGCCTGGCTAATTTTTGTATTTTTAGTAGAGTCGGGGTTTTGCCATGTTGACCAGGCTGGTCTTGAATTCCTGACCTAAGTGATCCACCTGCCTCAGTCTCCCGAAGTGCTGGGATTACAGGCGTGAGACACCGTGCCTGGCCAGATGGACTTTTTTGGAGCATTTAGTTCCAAGCACCTTCCCTGCATTTTCTCAGTTAATCCTCCCAGTGACTCTTTGAAGCAGGGACTATGACAATCGTCATTTCACAGATGGAGCAACTGAGGCACAGAGAGGAAGTCAATGGCCACGGTCGCCCAGCTGAGGAAGGATGGAGCCGGCTGAGATCCTGTTCTGGGGATCTAACTCTGCAGCCTGCATTCTGGGCTGCTGTATTCTCCCTTGTTGCTATCTGACGAGCACAGCATGGGCTCAGAGTACAGACAGGAGGAACCAGCTAATAAGGAGAGGTCTAGGGTGCAGGCTGGTGCCTTGGGGAAGAAGAGAGAGGTCCCATTCTAGAGGGATGGCATTGGAAGTTCATAGTGATAAAACAAAGCCAACAGGTTTTGGGGCTGAGAGTTAAACACACAGCTCTGGTTTCTGCCTTTTCACAGTGGTATGAATGAGCACTGAGAGCCTCTCGAGCTAAAGTTGTCATCATTGCTCTTCATAGTCTGAAGGTGCATGAAATGGTCAACTTTCTTCCAAAGGGCTTTTATGCCTAAGTCTGTGGTTAGTGTATAAACAGATATTTACTGAAGTCCTGCTGGGTGCAGACACTGTGGCCAGCCCTGAGGCTACAGTTGAGATGAAGCTAGTCTCTGTCCTCATGGAGACCTGTCTATTGATAAGAAAAGAGAAAGCTCACTGAGCATTGACCCTGTGCCCACTGCTTTTGATACATCTCTCATTTAATCCTTCTATCAAATCTGTGAAATAAACACATCACCATCATCCTATTTCACATTTAGGGAAACATATGCTTAGAGAGGGTAAGTAACTTGGTCAAGGTCACACAGCTTCGATCTCTCATCCCACAGGCGCAGGAATGGGAGGCAGCAGCTGGGGAAGCCAGAGTCTCTGGCAGTCCTTGTCTCTGGGCGGTGATCCAGAGAGAGAGAGAACACGATTGTCTCAGCACTGGGTCTTCTTCTGAGTCGTCTTGAAGGAGCAATTCCAGAGCGTCTCGGTGTTAAACATCATGTTGTGAATGACTCAGTGATCTCTGACCCAGAGACCTTGGGGATAAAGGAGGGGAGGTACGGAGAACCCGTTTGAATGAATGTTACCGGGGTGTCAGTGTTCTTTGAGGCCACAGGCCATGTGTCACCAAATTGAAGGGGTGGCCTGCCCCTCCACACCTGTGGGTATTTCTAGTCGGGTGGGATGAGAGACGGAGAAAAGAAATAAGACACAGAGAGAAAGTACAGGGAAACAACAGTGGGTCCAGGGGACCGGCACTCAGCACACCAGGATTTGTACGTGCACTGGCCTCTGAGTTCCCTCAGTTTTTATTGATTATGATTTTCATTATTTCAGCAAACAGGAATGTAATAGGAGAGCAGGGTGATAATAAGGAGAAGGTCAACAAAAAACATGTGAGCAAAAGAATCTATATCATAATTAAGTTCAAGGGAAGGTACTATGACTGGACTTGCACGTAGGCCAGATTTATGTTTCTCTCCACCCAAACATCTCAGTGGAGTAAAGAATAACAAGGCAGCGTTACTGCAACATGTCTCGCCTCCCGCCACAGGGCAGCTTTTCTCCTAGCTCAGACTTGAACAAATGTACAATCGGGTTTCCACCGAGACATTCAGTTCCCAGGGGCAAGCAGGAGATAGTGGTCTTCCTCCATCTCAACTGCAAGAGGCTTTCCTCTTTTCCTAATCCGCCTCAGCACAGACCCTTTACGGGTGTCAGGCTGGGGGACAGTCAGGTCTTTCTCATCCCACGAGGCCATATTTCAGACTATCACATGGGGAGAAACCTTGGACAACACCCTGCTTTCAAGGGCAGGGCTCCCTGCGGCTTTCCACGGTGCATTGTTCCCGTGGTTTATTGTGACTAGAGAATGGCAATGACTTTTACCAAGTATACTGCTTGTAAATATTTGGTTAACAAGGCACGTCCTGCACAGCCCTAGATCCCTCAAACCTTGATTTTATACAACACATGTTTTTGTGAACTCCAAGTTGGGGCAAAGTGACTGGGGCAAAGTGGCTGGGGCAAAGCTACAAATGAACAACATCTCAGCAAAGCAATTGTTAGAGTACAGGTCTTTTTCAAAATGGAGTCTCTTATGTCTTCCCTTTCTACATAGACACAGTGACAGTCTGATCTGTCTCTTTTCCCTACATTTCCCGCTTTTCTTTTTGACAAAACCGCCATGGTCATCATGGCCCCTTCTCCCTGGTCGCTGTCTCTCCGGAGCTGCTGGATACACCTGTAGACTAACAATAGAGAGGACAGACATACAAGAATTAATACAAAATTTGCAATAGTGGAATTTCCAATGGTTTTAACCCAAGTGACAGGGTTAAGATTTGTGAGGCTATCAACAGCTTTTACCATTGCCTCCGTTTCTGACACCAGATTTAACTGGGCTTTTGATGTTTCAAAAATTTGTTCTTTCAATTTAGAAATATCTAAGGTAAGATTATCTTCTCTTCCTTGTAGATGGCTTCTAACCATGTCCCAGTGCTGTTCAGATTCATTACAGGCTCGAGGTGTAATAGAAAAATCTGACATATTCCAGTCACACTGTAACTGAAAAAGATATTCTAAGCTCATGAGCCTATCTCCCATCCAAATAACAGTTTGTCTAAGATCATTAATTTGATTTGCCAATTTTTGACCTGTTTGAGTCTAAGAATTCCTCAATTTTGAGGAATTCTTTTGCCAATTATTCACATATTCTGCAGTTTGAACAGAGGAGTGTAAAGCAATTCCAGCAGCCGCAGCAGTAGCTGTGACTGCAATAAGACCCATAATCACTGCAATCAAAGTAAAAATGAATCTTTTAAATCTAATTAGAACTCCTTTTAATACTTAAGGTATGTACGGATGGAGAAGCCTCCCATGGTCGATCCATGGACACAGGGATCCACACGCCTTCTCTTGCCCTTACTAACAGAATAGCATTCTGCCAATCGAAAGTTGAATCAATGCAAGTAAACAATCTACAATTTTCACTGGTTGTAGTTTGGGAATCTGGTTTAATAGCTATGTTTTCTACAACTAGCATATAAGGGGGTTTTACACAACTTTGCAAAGGAATTTTCAGATTGGAATTTAGGTTAATAGTTAATATGGCTTATGATTTCTTGTTCCCATAACTTGATTTCCAGACCAAATTCTAATGTGGTACGAGGCCACAGTGAGCTTCCATAATTCTGGGTGTTCAGGACCAAAAACAGGACTAACTAACTTTGGTCGGGGTGATGAAATCCTCTTTTCACCCCATTTCCATGGATAGGGTGATTCTAGCCTTCTATAAACCTGGTCTAGCCTTTTAGTTAAATCACTATCACAGGCCGGATTAGTGGGCCAGACACATGGGGCCTGTGAACATGAGTGGGTCTGGCCCATACAGTCATAATATAATTGGCCTTGAGGGGCCTAGTCTATAATAGTTTCAAATTTATTGTTTTGTAGTACCACTGCAGTATCAGCCACACATTCTTCCCAAACTAAGACTACTGGGTCTTTTGATTCTTTTGGAATTTCCTTGGGGCATGGTTTCCCTTTAGGCCTAAATTTTAATGATCTTTGATAGGAAGAATTCTGTAAATTATTCATTTGTGACCTGAGCGACATTCCTCTTATCATATGATAAGTAAATTTACTGGTGGCACTGACAGTAGGTACTTCTATCAACCAAGTTTGGATTGTAGGCATTAAGCATCCTGGTGCTTTTCCCAGGCAAATAGGAGGATAATGATACCCAATGGAAATGTTTATCATCATTCCTTTTTCTTCAGGTTGGGCAGGGCCACGGTCATCTGTGGGGCCTGGTACCCATGCACTGTTATTAACATATACTTCAATAGGATTATCTATCCAAGTGACTGCTCGAATTAAGGGTGGGAAAATCACATAGGCCCAGTAAGTATAGTTAGCTGTAGCGGCTCCTGAAGACATAGGGAGACTTACCACCGCTGATACAATCATTAAATCTGCAAGTAGCATATTCTCTGGAGTTTGTGTTACCCTTGTGTTTTCCAGGCTTTTTTCAGCTAACTGTGTCAGCTTCTTTAGCTGGGCCCAGGTCGGCGGCCCCACTTTCTTGGTGGATGGCAACTTCATCTGTTCTTCTGATATCACCATTTCGTTCACCCTGCGAGTCGATGATGTTCGATTGCGGGTTCTCTGTCTCTGCGGAGGTGCCTTCCCTTGCACCTCTGATGGGTTCATTGTAGAACTTCAAATGTCTAGTGGGTACCCAAAGAGGAAGCTGATTTTCTGCTGCTGGAACACAAGCAAAACCTCACCCCCATGTTATCACCTTACCTATTTCCCATGTTTTATTTTTGTTGTCTTTCCACCAAATCAGTTTTCCCTCATGTGGGCTGTTCTTTTTACCAGTAAAATGTTGTTCTGCAGAAGTAGTGGTCTGATTTCTATATATATTTAAAAAATTTAAAGTATAGAGTGCTAGATTAAGTTGCATCTGGGGAGTATTGTACTCCTTACTTTTTCCTTCTTTTGTTTAACCAATTGAGCTTAGAGTGTTCTATTAGTTCTTTCAATTATGGCCTGTCCTTGGAAATTAAGGATTCCTGTTGTATGTGTAATTTTCCACTGATTTAAGGATTTTTGAAATGCTTTACTACAGTATCCTGGCCCATTACCTGTTTCAATTTTTTCTGGAAATCCCATGACTGCAAAACAAGATAATAAATGTCTTTTAACATGGGAAGTACTTTCTCCTGTCTGGCAGGTTGCCCATATGAAATGTGAATAAGTATCAACTGTCACATGGACAAATGACAATTTTGCAAATGAAGGTACATGTGTGACGTCCATTTGCCATAATGCATCAGGACATAAACCTCTAGGATTAACTCCTGCCTCTTGAGCGGGCAGGTGTAAGACTTGACACTGAGCACAATGTTGTACAACATTTTTTGCTTGTTTCCATGTGATATCAAATTTGTTTTTTAATCCTGTTGCATTTACATGAGTGAGGGCCTGAAGTTCTTGTGCTTCCATGAAGGCAGATGATACTAGCAAGTCAGCTTGTTCATTTGCCTTAGTTAAAGGCCCTGGTAAATTAGTATGTGCTCGGATATGAGCAATATAAAATGGGAAATTTCTTTTTCTTACAGTTTGTTGTAACAATTTAAACAGCTGATTTAACTGATCATCCATACTATATTTGATTAGGGCTGTCTCAACATCTTTTGTAGCCTGTACTAAATATGCAAAATCTGAAACAATGTTAATAGGCTGATTAAAATCTTGTAACACTGAAATGACAGCAACCAATTCTGCTCTTTGAGCTGAGTGATATTGAGTTTCAATGACTTGTTCTTTTGGCCCAGTGTAAGCCACTTTTCCGTTGCTGGAACCATCAGTAAACACCGTCAGAGCATTTTCTAGAGGTTTTTGTCTGGTAATTTTAGGTAAAATCCAAGTAGTCAATTTCAAAAACTGGAAGATTTTTGCTTTTGGGTAATGATTATCAATAATTCCCACAAAATCAGCAAGACCAATCTGCCCTGCACCAGAATTGATAAAGACTTGTCTATCCTGTTCCTTGTTTAAAGAAACAATGATTTTATCTGGGTCATTTCCACACAATTTTACTATTCATAGTCTTGCCTGACCAATTAATGTAGCCATTTGATCTAAGTACAATGTAAAAGTCTTAACTGTACTGTGAGGAAGGAATGACCACTCCACAAGATCTGTATTTTGAACAATAATGCCTGTTGGAGAATGTGCAGTAGCAAAAATTAAAAGTTGGAGTGGGGCTAAGTGATCTATTCTATTTACTTTTGCTGACTGAAATTTTTCTTCAACTAATTCTATTTCTTTAGTTGCCTCTGGAGTTAATATTCTTTTACTATTTAAGTCTGGATCCCCTCTCAAGATAGAGAACAAATTTGACATGGCATAAGTAGGGATGCCTAGAGTTGGCCGAATCCAATTAATATCTCCTAGCAATTTTTGAAGTCATTTAATGTTCTTAATGTGTCTTTTCTTATTTCTACTTTTTGTGGTTTAATTTTTCTCTCCTCTACCTGCATTCCCAAATAATGAAAAGGAGTGGAGATCTGAATCTTATCAGATGCTATTGTCAGGCCTGCGTTTGCAACCTCTGTCTGCAGAAATGTGTAACAGTCAATTAATTTGTCTCTTGTTTCTGCAGCACACAAAATATCATCAACATAATGAATGATATAACAGTCTGAAAACTTGTCTCTAACTGGTTGAAGAACTTGAGCTACAAAAGTCTGACAAATAGTTGGACTATTAAGCATTCCCTGAGGCAACACTTTCCACTGAAATCTAGTGGCTGGTTCTTTATTATTTATGGCTGGTATAGTGAAAGCCAATTTTTCAAAATCCTGTTTTGCCAGAGGAATGGTAAAAAAGCAATACTTCAGATCAATTATAATTAAAGGCCAGTCTTCGGGGATCATGGCTGGAGAGGGCAGCCCAGGTTGGAGAGGCCCCATGGGTTGAATTACTGCATTAACGGCTCTTAAATCAGTTAGCATGCGCCATCTGCCTGATTTTTTCTGAATTACAAACACAGGAGAATTCCAAGGCGAAAATGAATGCTCAGTATGTCCCTTTTCTAATTGTTATTTTGCCAATAAGTGTAAGGCCTCCAGCTTTTGTTTTGGTAGTGGCCACTGATTTACCCATACAGGCTTTTCTGTTTTCCAAGTTAATGAAATGGGTTTTGGAGGCTCTACAGTGGCCACCCCTAAAAAGGATACCCTAGTCCTTTTCTTTCTGGATTTCCCTTAGCCTCAATTGGAACTTTAATGCCTTCTCCATTTTTCCCTAGTCCTTTGCCAGGGAGCTATCCCATTTTAGTCATGATTTTTTGACTCGTGGGGCTGTACAGAGAGACTGGAATAGTAATCTCTGCATGCCACTGTTCTAATAAGTCTCGGCCCCATAAATTAATTGGAATAGAAGTAATCATAGGCTGAACTGTACTCTCTTGATTATCAGGTCCTAGACAATGTAAAATCCTGGCACTTTGATACACTTCTGAGGCAGTGCCCACACCAACAAGTCCTGTAACAGGCTTTTGTTTAGGCCAATTTTTTGGCCATTGATTTAAGGCAATGATAGAAACATCAGACCCAGTATCCACTAATCCTTCAAATTGTTTTCCATGAATAGTAACTGTACACACAGATCTATTCTCTGAGAGCTGACTAGCCCAATAAACAGCTTTTCCAGCAGTGTTGGTACTTGCAAACCCTCCTGTTCTTTCTGTTTTGCTATCCCCAATTTTAATATAAGGCAAGAGCAGTAATTGAGCAATTCTATCACCTGGATTGGCACTCCAGGGAACAGTACAGCTGATCACTAACTGAATTTCCCCTTTATAATCTGAGTCAATTACCCCAGTATGAATTTGAACTCCTTTCAAATTTAGACTAGATCTTCCTAAAATAAGGCCTACCATCCCTTGTGGCAGCGGGCCATATACCCCTGTAGGAATCTTTTGCAGGGGCTCTCCACGGAGTAAAGAAATCATTTGAGTAGAACATAAATCTACTGCAGCACTGCCTGCTGTGACAGAGGATAATTGTCGTATTGTAATTGGCTGATTTCCTGAAATGGTGGTATTTACTGTGGGGGTTGTTGTCCCTGAAAACCCTGAGGAACAAATGGCTGAATCGGGAATGCCCCACTTTGTTGCGGGGCCTGGGGCTGGCCCCTCTTGCCGTTTCCCGACAATGGTTGTCCATTTTTATCAAATTTAGAACGACATGCCTTAGCCCAATGTTTTCCTTTTCCACATCTTGGACACAGGCCAGGTGGCTCTTTTTTTTTTTTTTTTTTTTTTTTTTTTTGCTGTTTATTTAAGCTCGGGCAATTCTTTTTTAGATGACCGATTTGACCACAATTATAACATTTTCCCCCAAATGTTTTAACTTGTCCTCCTATAGCAACCCCTGTAATTGCTTGAGCCAATGGCATTGCCTTATGCATAGCTCCTCCAATCCCATCACAAGCCTTCACATATTCTGTAATTACATCAACTCCTGCTGAAACATTTCCTCTTAATGGCTTTATGGCTGATTGACACTCTGAATTTGCGTTTTGATAAGCCATTATTTCTACAATAACTTTTCGGGCGTTACCTGCAATGGATTTTTGAGCTGCATCTTGCAACCTTGCCACAAAGTCTGGATATGGCTCTTTAGAGCCTTGTCTGATTGAACTAAAAGAAGGGCATGAGGTTCCTGGGTCCTGAATGTTTTCCCAGGCCCTGAGGCAAATAGCCCTTACAGTTGTTCAATAGCCTCATTTTCATTACTGATTGTTGGTTAATAGTGTCCCAGTTTGGACCTCTTCCTAGCAATTGGTCTTCATCTATATAAGCAACAGGATTAGTAGCCTGATTTTTTCGTACCTGTTCTTGTACCCCATCAATCCACCAGGTTTTAAACTGGAGATACTGAGAGGGTGAAAGGGAAGATATAGCCAGAATTTCCCAATCATAAGAAATAAGTCTATTTCCATGAGCAATGGAATTTAATAATATTCTCGTATAAGGAGAGTTAGGTCCATATTGTTTAACTCCTGCTTGACTCCCTTTCCCGGCCGGCATCGGTTGTAACATTACCGGATATTGCCATGCCTCAAGATCTCCCTGTTTTCTGGCTGTAGCAATGGTCTCATGCAGTGCACTATCTTGTCCACTAGGTGGTACCGTAAGATCAAACGCCATCGCCGTGGGTTGATATAGTGCCTTGCTATTTGGCACAGGACGCACCGCCTGAGATCCATACTGAACCTCTGGAGACGGCGGATACTGAAATGCGGCTGGCGGCTGGTGTTGATAAACTACCGATGGTTGGGTTTTATTTTCTACTGGCTGGTATTGCGGATACTGTGCCTGGATTGGCATTTGAGATTGTGACATCACAGGCATCTGAACCGCGGGAGAAGGAGTTGGTGGCCATCGTGGTCTAAACTCTGATGGTCCAAATAATTCTGGACCTCCTTCCCCCAATTTTGATGATTCAGGATATATTACCTCCTGTAATTGATTATAGTCAACATTCTGCATTGACCAAGTCAGTACAGGCTCTACTGCATTTTTACAATGTGAACTTTCCATTCCTTTCTTAAACTCTGTTCCTGCCTCTTCTTCACAATCTATTACACAGCTTTCAGGGGCATCAAAGACTGAAACCCTATCTTCTTCTATTTGAAGTTGTTCTAAAGTTGCTTTAATAGTGGCCCAATCACTCCATACTGTAAGTGGGATGATTTTACCTTCCCTAATTGCTTGTTTTAGTTCTTTGCCAATTTTTTCCCAATCTTTTAAATCTAAAGTTCCCTTTTCTGGAAACCATGGGCGGAATTGTTCTATTGTTTGAAATAGCGTAACTAGATTTTCTGTAGAAGCTTTAACTCCCCCTCTTCTTAAGAGAATTTTAATGAAGCTGAGATAAGAAGCATATTTACTTTCAGTTTGCCCCATTGTTATCCTGGATTCCTCCCAGCACACAAGCTAACCGCAAGGCTGACTGTGGACGTACTCGGGAATCTCTCATCGGCTGTACTCAATGCTCACGTTCTTAGCGTACCTTCACCCTAGAGAAGGGCCCCACGCTGGGCTCCAGATGAAGGGGTGGTCTGCCCCTCCACACCTGTGGGTATTTCTAGTCAGGTGGGATGAGAGACGGAGAAAAGAAATAAGACACAGAGACAAAGTATAGAGAAACATCAGTGGGTCCAGGGGACCGGCACTCAGCACACCAAGGACATGCACAGGCACCGGCCTCTGAGTTCCCTCAGTTTTTATTGATTATGATTTTCATTATTTCAGCAAAAAGGAATATACTAGGAAAGCAGGGTGATAATAAGGAGGTCAACAAAAAACATGTGAGCAAAAGAATCTATATCATAATTAAGTTCAAGGGAAGGTACTATGACTGGACGTGTACGTAAGCCAGATTTATGTTTCTCTCCACCCAAAAATCTCAGTGGAGTAAAGAATAACAAGGCAGCATTGCTGCAAACATGTCTTGCCTCCCATCACAGGGCAGCTTTTCTCCGATCTCAGACTTAAACAAATGTACAATCGGGTTTACATCGAGACTTTGAGTTCCCAGGGGCAGGCAGGAGACAGTGGCCTTCCTCCATCTCAACTGCAAGAGGCTTTCCTCTTTTACTAATTCACCTCACCACAGACCCTTTATGGGTATCGGGCTGGGGGACAGTCAGGTCTTTCTCATCCCACGAGGCCATATTTCAGATTATCACATGGGGAGAAACCTTGGACAATACCCTGCTTTCAAGGGCAGAGGTCCCTGCGGCTTTCCACAGTGTATTGTGCCCCTGGTTTATTGAGACTAGAGAATGGCAATGACTTTTACCAAGTATACTGCTTGTAAACATTTGGTTAACAAGGCACATCCTGCACAGCCCTAGATCCTTCAAACCTTGATTTTATACAACACATGTTTTTGTGAACTCCAAGTTGGGTCAAAGTGGTTGGGGCAAAGTGGCTGGGGCAAAGCTACAAATGAACAACATCTCTGCAAAGCAATTGTTTTAAGTACAGATCTTTTTCAAAATGGAGTCTCTTATGTCTTCCCTTTCGACATAGACACAGTGACAGTCGGATCTCTCTTTCTTTTCCCTACACAAATAAAGAGCCCAGTGCCTTTTCTCATTGCTCAAGAGATTGAAGGGGTAGGAAGAAAAGATGTTAAGTTATAAACATGTTTCAGTTTTGGTACCACTTGAGCCAATTTATGTTTTGAAGAGGAAAGGGTCTTGCCTACTAAGTCAGTCCCTGGGTTTTCCTTCTGCTTATGGAATCCAGGCAATGGGCAAAGAGAAAAAGAAAACTAAGGAATCAGCCAGATGCAGTGGCTCATGCTTGTAATCTTGGCCCTTTGGGAGGTTGAGGCAGGCGGACTTCTTGAGTCCAGGAGTTCAAGACCAGCCTGGCCCACATAGCGAGACCCCGTTTCTACAAAAAATACAAAAAGGTGCTGAGCATAGTGGCATGCACCTGTAGTTCCAGTTACTTGGGAGGCTGAGGTGGGAGAACTACTTCAGCCCAGGAGGTTGAGGCTGCAGTGAGCCATGATTGTGCCACTATACTCCAGCCTGGGTGACAGAGTGAGGTCCTGTCTCAAAAGAAAACAAAAAAGATAAGAAAAAGAAAACTAGGGAATCTGGACAGAATAAGTTTATATATATAATAAAGAACTGAGATAGAACTGGGTTGACTGAATAATTATTTGAGTTGCTTTTGAGTGAATTTTTCCTATTGGAGTCTATCTTTGTTTTTTTGTGTGTGCGCGTTTTTTTTTTTTTTTTTTTTTTTGTTTAGTTTTGTCTTTGTGTTTTTTTTGAGACTGGTCTCTGTTGCCCAGTCTGCTGGAGTGCAGTGGCACGATCTCAGCTCACTGCAACCTCTGCCTCCTGGGTTCCAGCAATTCTTCTGCCTCAGCCTCCCTAGAAGCTGGGACTACTGGGCATGTACCACCAAGCCCAGCTAATTTTTGTATTTTTAGTAGAGATGGGGTTTCACCATGTTGGCCGGGCCTGGTCTTGAACTCCTGGGCTCAAGTGATCCACCTGCCTCAGCCTCCCAAAGTGCTGGGATTACAGGTGTGAGCCCCTGCGCCCAGCTAGAGTCTACCATTCTTTGAATTCACTGCAGTGCAAAGACTGGAACATGTGGAACTCCAGGTGTATATGGGTTATGTAGAGATGCTAGGGGCAGATTAAGGAAGGAAAGATATGAGAAGCCTGCAGAGCATGCTTTCCCAGACTGTATGGGCCCTGGGAAAGGAGAAGTGGACAGAAAGGGAGCACTAGGTACCCTGGAAGAGAAGATTCATCCAAGTCATCAGGGAAGTTACTAATGCAAGGGAAAAAATTTAGAGACAGGGCCAGCCACGCTTCTTCCAAGTCCTTTCTGTCTGCTCAGTCACCTCTATGCTTATTTTTCTTCTTTCCTCTAAGTAGTGTCATGCGTTTTCTTCCTATTCCTAGTCGCTCCTAGTCAACTAACTCCTCTCTTTACCATCTTTTCATCAGAACTTGAAACCTCCTCTCCTTCATGTATTAGTGATCATGTTTCTCCATAATACTGCTAGAAACAAGAATTGAAACCTGGAAAACCTGCATTTGAGAACCAGATCTCCCTCTGCTAGCTATTTGAGAAGTTATTTTGTTCCATTCTTTTTGTTGTTGTCGAAACAGGGTCTCACTCTGTTGCCCAGGCTAGAGTGCAGTGGTTCAATCTTGGCTCACTGCAGCCTCAATCTCCTGGGCTCAATCAATCCTTCCACATCAGCCTCCTGAGTAGCTGAAACTACAGGTGTGTGCCACCACAGCTGGCTAATTTTTAATGCTTTTTTTTTGTTTACTTATTTTTTTTTTTTGTAGAGATGGTGTCTTGCTATGTTGTGTAGGCTGGTCTCAAACACATGGGCTCAAGCGATCCTCCTGCCTTGGCCTCTCAGATGAAATGGGAAAAGTTCTGTTGTCCCCCTCGAAGGGCATGCGATGCGGGTGTGGTTCGTTTATTCAGTGCCCCACTGCTCAAACCTCTAGGAGAGCATGCAGACAGGCAGGGAGACCCATGGCAGTGTCCAGGGGTGAATGTTTATAGTTGAAGCCCCAGTGGGCGTGTGTTACAGGGTGCTCTTTTAGTTTAGCCGTCTGTAGGTAGCTTGTGTTAGTCGGCTCAATTAGACCCCTGCCTTATTGCAAGGAGAGAGGGCTCTCTTTGTCCCGGGGTTCTTGCCTTGGTGTACCAGAAGTGGTGTGATCTCAGCTCACTGCAAGCTCCTACTCCTGGGTTCACGCCATTCTCCTGCCTCAGCCTTCCAAGTAGCTGGGACTACAGGCACCCGCCACCACGCCTGGCTAATTTTTTTGTATTTTTAGTAGAGATGGGGTTTCACTGTGTTAGCCAGGATGGTCTGGATCTCCTGACCTCGTGATCTGCCCGCCTCGGCCTCCCAAAGTTCTGGGATTACAGGCGTGAGAGTGCAAGGTTTTATTGAGTGGAAGTATCTCTCAGCAGATGGGCGTGCCAGAAGGGAGATGGTTTACCCCTGGAGTTGGATGAGTGGCCGGACTCTTCTCCGAATGTCCCAGCCAAACTCTGCGTTGTTCTGCAGTCAGTGGCCTGCGGTGTGACGGTGCCCATTGGTGCGTTCCTGTTGAAGTCCAGCACCCTTGTGTTCCTCTGCTGATGTGCTCCTCTCAAAGTCCAGCTGCCTGTGTCTGCCTGCTAGGGTCTCAGGGTTTTTATAGGCACAGAATGGGGGTGTGGCAGCCAGGGTGGTCTTGGGAAATGCAACATCTGGGCAGGAAAACAAAAATGCCAGTCCTCACCTAGGTCCGTGGACACAGGCCCTGGGGTGGAGCCCTAGCCAGGGACCACACCCTCCTCTACCCAGTACTTCCCTTCCTCACTTCCATATCATTTAAAGGGACCACATTCTTCCCTTCTGAGCACTTCCCTTCTGTATCACAAAGTTTTGGGATTATAGGCATGAGGCACTGGTCCCAGCCAATTCCGTTCTTTTAATGCAAACTAGAAAATAGGTGTTCAGAAAGGCCTGCCCTATCCACCTCAGGGAGTTGCTATGAAGATCAAATTAGACCATGTGCAACAGAAGTTTAGAAAAGATTCCAAAAGCACTGTGCAATGGGAATGTATTTTTAAACTCCACTGAGTGGACTTAAAACTATGGTTTTCTTTCTTTCTTTCTTTCTTTTTGGTTGAGACAGAGTTTCACTCTTGTTGCCTAGGCTGGAGTGCAGTGATGCCATCTTGGCTTACTGCAACCTCTGCCTCCCAGGTTCAAGTGATTCTCTGCCTCAGCCACCCGAGTAGCTGGGATTGCAGGCGCCCACCACCGTGCCTGGCTAATTTCTTTCTTTCTTTGTTTTTGTCTTTTTAGTAGAGATGGGGTTTCACAGTGTTGGCCAGGCTGGTCTCAAACTCCTGAGCTTAGGTGATCCACCCACCTTGGCCTCCCAGAGTGCTGGGATTAAGGCTTTAGCCACCGCACCCAACGTGTGTTTCTTTTTCAAGCAAGAAAACAAATGCCTCTCCCCAGCGCTCACTAAACAAATCCCTCTGTTATTTTTTTTTCCATAGGATTCTTATCCTTCTTGCCCCACTGCAAACAATCTATTTTCTTTTGGCCCTTCCGTCTGTCTGTGAAAGGGTCAGGCTTTCTAGCTAACCCTTAATCAAATATTTTTGATGACCACAGTCAAGACAGTACTTATTATTTTTTTGGGGGAACGGAGTTTTGCTCTTGTTGCCCAGGCTGGAGGGCAATGGCGCAGTCTCAGTTCACTGCAACCTCTGCCTCCAGGGTTCAAGTGATTCTCTTACCTCAGCCTCCCAAGTAGCTGGGATTACAGGTGCACAACACCACACCCAGCTAATTTTTGTATTTTTAGTAGAGATGGGGTTTCTCCATGTTGGTCCGGCTGGTCTCGAACTCCTGACCTCAGGTGATCTACACACCTCAGCCTCCCAAAGTGCTGGGATTACAGGGGTGAGCAACCCTGACTGGCCAGGACAGTGCTTATTAATTCCTGAGATGCATCCAGGAGCACATGACCTGGCTGTGACTGTTCTAACAGAGTTCCCCAAATGGGTGGCTCAGGACAACAGAAAGTCATTCTCTCCAGTTCCAGAAGCTTGATGTCTGAAACCCGCAGGGCCATGCTCCCTCTGAAGGCTCTAGGGGTGAATCCTTCCTTGCCTCTTCTGGCTTCTGGTGGTTGCTGGCATTCTTTGGCTTGTGTCCACATCATTCCATTCTCTTCCTTCATTCTCATGTGGCCTTCTCCCCTGTGTGTCTCTGTCTCTTCTTCTCTTCCCATGAGGATGCCATTATTACTCGATTTAAGGTTCACGCTATTCCAATATGACCTCTTTGTAATTAGATCTGCAGTGACCCTATTTTCTTTTCTTTTTTTTGTGATGGAGTCTTGCTCTGTTGCCCAGGCTGGAGTTCAGTGACACAATCTCAGCTCGCTTCAACTCTGCCTCCTGGGTTCAAGTGATTCTTCAGCCTCAGCCTCTGAAGTAGCTGGGATTACAGGTGCACGCCACCATGCCTAGCTAATTTTTATGTTTTTAGTAGAGACAGGGTTTGCCATGCTAGCCAGGCTGGTCTCGAACTCCTGACCTCAAGTGATCCTCCTGCCTCAGCCTCCCAAAGTGCTAAGATTACAAGCATGAGCCACCATGCCCTGCCCCTATTTTCTAATAAGGTCACATTCTGGGATTCCTGGTGAATGTGAATTTTTGGAAGACAGTATTCAGTCTAGCAAAAGGCAGAACATCGTCATTTTCTTCCCTACCTCAGAAATAAAGAAGTTAACTTCAACCCCTCTGAGAGAGAGAGGCTTCCTGAGCTTCCAACAATCAATTATCCAAATATTAGTCACAGAAGGGCACTAAGGGTTGTGCACAGCACGTGGCCAGCCCATTCTCTGAGTCTGTCAAGTTTAAGGTGAACGCTAATCCTGAATGAGTCTTAAAATGTACTTGGCATATCCTGTTCATTGTAAAATGTTCTCACATTGTGATGGCTGGGGCTTCCCTCTCAGGTGTAATCTGCGAAGTCAGACGTGACACAGCCTGGGTGAGGTGGGCCAAGCCGGGAACTGGGTTAGGAGGGAAGCTGGGGAATGATCTCCAAGGTCTCAGATCCCAAACTGGCTTTAGCCAGATTCACCCAGAGGGATCTCATAAAAAATGCACATTCCGGGGCCCACCCCAGACCTAATGAATCAGAATTACCTGGGAAGGAGCCTGGGGAGCTCTGTTTTCAGAAGCAGCCCAGCCGAATCCTACGGTCAGACAGGGCTAGGAATCGAAACTCAGTCTAGCGCGGTAGTTCCCAAACTCGTCTGTGCTTCAAAAAATACAGATGCTGATGTCCAGACATGGTGGCTCATGCCTATAATCCCAGCAGTTTGGGACGGTGAGGCGGGAGTATCACTTGAGCCCAGGAGTTTGAGACTAGCCTGGAGAACATAAGGAGATACTGTCTCTATAAAAAATTTAAAAATTAGCCGGGCGTGGTGGTGCCCGCCTGTGATCCCAGCTACCGTGGAGGTTGAAGTGGGAGGGTTTCTTGAGCCCAGGAGTTGGAGCCTGTAGTGAGCTATGATTGTGCCACTGCACTCCAGCCTGGGTAACAGAGCGAGGCCCTGTCTCAAAAACAAAACAAAACAAAAAACGGAGTCTATGTCCCATTCCAGAGGTTGAGGTTTAATTGTTCTTGGGTGTGGCCTGGGTTTTGGAAGATTTAAAAAAAAAATCTCAGGTGACCCTAAAGTGTAGATGAGTTTGGAAACCACACATTTAAGGCACACTTGAATGGGGGAGCAGTGAGGTGGCGCGGGCTAGCCGGCCAGAACCCAGGGGTGGGCCAGTAGGAACCAGCATTGCAGAGGCCATTAAGGCTGGGAAGCATAGTGTCTGGGGCCCATAACAATGCTTCGGCATGAATGCTTTAGACCTAAGACAATTGGCTCC
Organism: Homo sapiens; assembly: GCF_000001405.40. Lineage (NCBI taxonomy): Eukaryota > Metazoa > Chordata > Mammalia > Primates > Hominidae > Homo > Homo sapiens. The sequence continues at coordinate 8,191,281 of NC_000008.11, read as the reverse complement.
TAAATGTGAAAACTGCAAGGCTGAAATGAATGCATGTTTAATGCCTTACAACATTGTCAAGTGATCAGCTGCAACTCCTTTCTGAGGGCATGATGCCTGAGATATGCCTGTAATGCGGGTTGATTTTAATTAATTTAATATGGTGTGGAGTGGGGCCTTCAAAAGTAAAGACGTCAGTTCTAAGTTGGTTGCAGGGTTCTGGGCAAAGGTCTTAAAACCCCATGGTGAGCAGATGGCCAATCCTGAACACCCCAATTTTAAAACAGGGCTTTTTTTCCAAGAGACTTTTTGAAAATAGCTCCTATTTTGAGAGGAGGAACCCTGGCAGGAGAGAGCCAGAGTTAAGCCCAGCTGAGAGGGGGTTGGTAGGCAGGGGCCTGCCTGATCCTCACTGAAGCTTGATACTCAGGGTGAGCTTCCTAAACCAGTGCAGATTTGCCGGCCCACTGAGCCTCCCAGATGAGAACCTGCATTTCAACAAGGTCCTTGATGCAGCAAAGTTTGAGATATACTGGGCTAGAACACTCAGGGGACACAAAGGTTCTCTGAAAACTAAGGAAAATAGGCAGGGTGTGGTGGCTCATGCCTGTAATCCTTGTATTTTGGGATGCCAAGGCGGGCGGATCACCTGAGGTCAGGAGTTTGAGACCAGCCTGGATCAACATGGTGAAACACCATCTCTACAAAAAATACAAAAATTAGCTGGGTGCGGCCGGGCACAGTGGCTCATGCCTGTAATCCCAGCACTTTGGGAGTCCGACGCGGGCAGATCACGAGGTCAGGAGATCGAGACCATCCTGGCTAACACGATGAAACCCTGTCTTTACTAAAAACACAAAAAAATTAGCCGGGCGTGGTGGCAGGTTCCTGTAGTCCCAACTACTCGGGAGGCTGAGGGAGGAGAATGGCATGAACCTCGAGGAGGAGCTTGCAGTGAGCCGAGATTGCACCACTGCACTCCAGCCTGGGCAACAGAGCCAGACTCTGTCTCAAAAAAAAAAAAAAAAAAAAAAAAAATTATCTGGGTGAAGTGGCAGGTACCTGTAGTCCCAGCTACTTGGGGGGCTGAGACAGGAGAATAGATTGAACCTGGGAGGCGGAAGTTGCAGTGGCCCAAGATCGCACCACTGCACTCCAGTCTGGTGGCAGAGTGAGACTCCATCTAAAAACATAAAAAAAAAATACACAAATAAATAAAAAATAAAAATAAATACTGGGCTAGAAGACCCAGGAGACCCGAAGATTCTCTCAAAACTAAGGAAAATAATCTAGGTCACAAATATATTCTCTTCCTCCTTCTCCCCATTGCCCCCCTTCACCAGTAATCTTTATAGACTCAAATCGAGTTGATGTTCTATAATCAATTCTAGTCACTTTTATTTGTATTTATTTATTTTAGAGATGGGGGTCTCACTCTGTTGCTCAGGCTGGTCTCAAATTCCTGGGCTTAAGTGATCCACCCACCTAGGTCTCCCAAAGTGCTGGGATTACAGGCATCAGCCACTGCACCCGGCTGTCACTTTTATTTTTGATGTTCAAGTTATAAGCTAATACCTGTGAGACCATAGATTCTTTTTATGCACTCAATACACTTTCTTGTTTACCTTATATTTGTATTATGGAAAAGTTCTGTTTTTTCCACTTGTTTATATTTGATAATGAAGCCCTCTGTGCCTATCACCAGCCTCAGCCGCCATCATCTCATTACCAAGCTGGGTTATTTTGAAACAAATATCTTCTAATATTTAGCCGGTGTTCAAATTTCCCTAACCATCCTAAAGGAATGTTTAGAACAGTTGTTTCATTGGAAAGAAGGTCAAAACAAATACATTTTACATTTTTAGGCCAGTCTTGAAAGTAAGTGTAAAACCATGTGTGGGGTAGGAGGTGGGACTAGACTCTCAAGGTGGGGCCTGGATACCAGACCCAGTTGAGGACTAGCTAAGACAGATTCCACAGTGAATAACACCAGGAGGTGGGAATATTAAGGTCCATTGTGAAGGATGGCTACCACAATTTTTTGATCAACTAGTTATCAACCCTGACTGAAGCTGAGAGAGATTTGTTTTTGCTTTTTTTTCTTTTTTTTCAGAGACAGGGTCTTGCTACGTTGCCCAGGCTGGACTCAAACTCCTGGGCTCAGGTGATTCTTCTGCCTTAGCCTCCTGAGTAGCTGAGACTACAGGTGTGTGCCACTGTGCCCAGCAAGATTTTAAAAAATACGTATGCCTGGACACCACTCTAAACCAACTAAATGAGAATCAGATATCGTGAAGTCACTAATCATTTTGCTCCTGGGTCTTTATGACAGTTTTGCTCCTGGGAAACTCTTGGGAATGTGGTAGAGAGAGAGAAAGAGATGGGAAAATAAGATTTTAAGAAGTGTTGCTATGCATTTTGAAAATAATTTTTATTTGGTGTTTGTCTTGAGGGAAGGCGGTAAACATTTCAATTGCCTTTAAGTGTGCTTGGATGCTGGAACGATGGTTCTTTGAATGCAGCGTCAAACTGGCATTGGGTCACATGGCAGCCAGCATTAACCTTTATGCCACATTTATAAAACATGAATGTCATGAGCCCACTCTCAGAGACCTTATAATTTGGAGGGTTAGGTCAGATCCACAAATCTCTTCTATCTCATGGTAAAGGAAACCTGGCGTGTAGCAGGAGATGGTGTGATAACAATAATATATCGCATGATCAGTATTTGTATTCTTCTTATCAATATTAAACTTTTTGACCTCCTCCATTGTGTCATCAATTTGCTTAATACAGTTTCTGCCTCAGCGTCTGTTTTTAGGCCTGGCATAAGCTGTTTGAAACCCAGGCACATACCCCACCCATCATCTTTGGCCTAGTTAACACCTCCCCTCCCTGCGTGGTGGTTTGGAGAACCTGCTTGTTCCTCATCCCACTGATCCCAAACCCAGGACACCCCACAGCTGCTGACCAGGATTAAACCTAAGGGAGATTTAATGCCGTTAAATCAGAAGAAATTCTGATTCTCAGGGACTGACATTCATTCACTTAAATACTTGCAGAGTCGGCCAGGTGTGGTGGCTCACACCTGTAATCCCAGCACTTTGGGCAGCCGAGGTGGGTGGATCACGAGGTCAAGATTTCGAGACCAGCCTGGCCAACATGGTGAAACCCCGTCTGTACTAAAAATACAAAAATTAACTGGTATAGCTGTGCGTGCCTGTAATCCCAGCTACTCAGGAGGCTGAGGCAGGGGATTTGCTTGAACCTGGGAGGTGGAGGTTGCAGTGAGCCAAGATTATCCCATTGCACTCCAGCCTGGGCAGCAGAGCGAGACTCTGTCTCAAAAAACAAAAAACCCAAAAACTTGCAGAGTGAATTTAGGAAACCATGTAGTCTACAGTTTGATGCAATGTCTTCCTTTTCCTCTTTCTCAAATATTTTGAGCCAGGTACTATCCTAGATTGTCTTGTGATATTTACAATCTAGGAGAAGGCAGGAGAGAGAACTAAGAACAGAGAGCATGTTCTGAGATGTCTGCTGTGTTTGCAGGTACCTTCCCTCAATTTCCCTACTCACTGGCCATGCTGGAAAGCAGGTCTTGGAGCCATATTTGTACCATGGTACTTCCCCTCCCTATACTCAATTGGTTGGCCAGAAGCCCAATTGTCATTCTCTCTCTCTCTCTCCCTCTCCCTCTCTTCCTTCCTCCCTCCCTCCCTCTCCAAGATATCCAGTAACTGATTGATCAGCTGGCGGTGGGCTCTGCTGGCTGCCAGGGTGGGCCACCAGCAAAAAGGGAAAATTGGTTGTGAGTGAGAAGAAGAGATAAGAAAGTCCACAGGGCTGATAAGAAAGACCATGGGCTTCCAGGTGCGGTGGTTCACGCCTGTAATCCCAGCACTTTGGGAAGCCAGGATGGCCGGATCACGAGGTCAGGAGATCGAGACCATCCTGGCTCACACGGTGAAAGCCCATCTCTACTAAAAATACAAAAATTAGCTGGGTGTGGTGGCGGGTGCCTGTAGCCCCAGCTAATTGGGAGGCTGAGGTGGGAGAATGGCGTTAACCCCAGGAGGTGCAGCTTGCAGTGAACTGAGATTGCACCACTGCACTCCAGCCTGGGCGACAGAGCGAGACTCCGTCTCAAAAAAAAAAAAAAAAAAGAAGAAAAAAAGAAAAAAAAGAAAGAGACCATGGGCTTCTGAGAGCAAGAAAGAGGAATTTTGGTTTCTGTAACTGCAGTTTCCATTCTCTCATGGCCTCTCATTTGTTTCTTGTGCCCATGAGTTTGCCTGTTAGAGATAAGGTGTGTTTCTTGTCCTCAAGCTCATGCAAATGGGTTTCTGTTTCTTACAATCATTGTTCCCAGATATGGATGGTGACTGATGCTCTACTAAATGCTGAAAAAAGGCAGAGTGGAAGCACAGAAAAGCGGGCTTCTCTGAGGAGGTGACGTTAGAGCCCAGTTGGAAGGCAGGAGTAAATGTGCACCATGATTTTTTAGGATTAAAACCAAGTATGTCACTGCTTGGGCACATGTAGATAGAGGTGATTTAACGGTAAAGTGTCCCAGTTGTACCCATTGTCAGTTAGCTCACCACAGGGATTATGTAGCCCTGAGTTTGCTTAGTGCTTATTTATTTTAGGATGTTGTTTATCCAAACCTCTTAAATGATACGTGTTTGGAACAAGTAACAGCATCGTTCATTGATGTTGTGGACAAACCACTATTTTGTTACTCAAGACTGGGTAATTTATAAAGAAAAAGAGGTTTAATGGGCTCACAGTTCCATGTGGCTGAAGAAGTCTCGAAATCATGGTGGAAGGCAAAAGGAATGTCTTACATGGTGGCAGACAAGAGTGATGAGAGCTATTTTGCTCATTGTTCGCTGGCCATAGAATTTACTTCTATATTGTGAACTGAGAGCCAGGCACACAAGACGGTTACAGGTCTGTCTTTTGTTTTTGATGATGATGATGATGATGATGATGATGATGAAATGGCTGACATGGTTGATGACTTGCTTTTTCTCATCATCTCAGACCTAGATTTTTGGCTGGACTATTGGCTTGGGATAGATGAAAATCATTCCTTGTATCCCCTTATCTTAAAGTCAAGACTGAACCAGCCTCCAGACTCAAGCTTTCATGGGACTTCAGATACCATGACGAATGGGTGTCCCTGCAATATTGTCATGGCTGTCAAAAGTGTTATTGGAGCTGGGCAAGTGGGCGCTCTCCTGTCATTCCATCCTCCTTAGATTTCCCATTCAACACCAATCTTATTTCCTTTTTTTTTTTATTTTGACAGTCTCGCTCTGTCTTCTAGGCTGGAGTGCAGTGGTGGGATCTCGGCTCACTACAGTGTCCACCTCCCAGGTTTAAGTGATTCTTGTGCCTCAGCCTCCCAAGTAGCTGGGATTGCAGGTGCACACCATCAAGCCTGGCTCATTTTTTTTTTTTTCTTTTTGTACTTTTAGTAGAGAAAGGGTTTCGCCATGTTGGCCAAGCTGCTCTTGAACTCCTGACCTCAAGTGATCCACCTACCTCGGCCTCCCAAAGTGCTGGGATTACAGGTGTGAGTCACCGTATCTGGCCCCATTTCCTCTTATACCATAAGTCATTGCCTGAAGATGTGTTTTCTCCATTAGTTTGCAAAAGCTTCCTGAGAGTAGGTCTGTGCCTCATTTATTCTGGAATCTCCCTGGCACAAAGCACAGGGCTTTATCTTCAGTAGGCATCCAACAAATGTTTCATTTCATTCAACAGCTCCTCTTACCACTGCCTCCACCTTATTTGCAGGTGGCTAAGTACAATCGGAACAAGTAGGTATCATAAGATTTAGTCCAGAGTCAATTTGAGAAGAAATTACTTTAGTGATATGAAAATAAACCATGCTATTGAGTCAGAATACTTCTGAGAATATCCCCTGTCCAAGCATTTGCTGAATTTCTATGTACTAATTTTCAGGTGGAACAGTATGCTTGCAGAGGGTCCATTTGGACATAGATACACTTTCATACATTCATGTCTTTAACAAGAATTTGTGTCCCTACTGTGTTTGTTCACTAACTCCTTTGAACCTACCACATAAGCTATATCTGTATTTTCCTTGTAATTTGGGAGGTCCAGTGCTTCATTACGCTCATATGCCTGAAACTAATGAAGAAAATAGCTCGTTAACCAGCTAGTATAAAAGTAGCCACCAAATCAAGTCAATCACCTGCCTTAAATTAGCCCAGTACTCCCATCTTGAGCGGAGAAGCCCATTCTGAATCACAGTCAAGACATTGATGGAAAAACAACTCCCTCTGGGGATCAAAACCACGCTCACTCCAAATCCTCCTCCCCAGAGTTCTACTCATTGCTCACCCACTGAACCCAGAACTAACCAGAAGTGCTTGAAATGAGGACGGGTAGCTCCATGTACCAATCGGAATTTAAAACTCTATCAATTCCTGCTATAGAAATGAGGCTTCTCCCCAGGACCAGCATTCCACGAAGGCAGCCCTTTTCTAGATGGAGAAAACAGAACCTGAAGACACCCGTTTCCCTAAACTGCTCTCGCTCATGTGTAAGTACAAATGAAAAATGGTGAGGCTGCTTCTGTTGGCATTGCTTTTTAATTATGGCCATCAATAAATCATTTTGTCCTTGAACAAGACTTGAGAATGACCCGAAGGCAGAGGCACAATTCCTTAGGAATTAGGCCAACAGAGAATGGGCTATCTCTCTTCCCACCCCTTCTCTTACTCTGCTGTCAGAAACAGAAACGTTCTCTGTGAGTAGCTGGGAGTAGACGGCCACACTTGAGTTCCATCTCGGGGTTCTGTTAACACAGTTTTACCCCATCCTGCCTCGATGGCCACTGCCACACAAGCTGCATCTGTTCTTTCTTCTGCGCCTTTTGTTACTTCGTTGTTTTTCCTCTTTCTAGTGTAGTGAGCTGAATGGTGGCTTTGCACAATATATATCCAGATCCTTGTGCCTAGAATCTGTGGAGGTGGCATTATTTGGAAAAAGGGTCTTTGCAGATGTAATTAAGTTAAGGATGTCGAGATTATCCTGGAGTAATTTAGGTAGGCTGTACATCTAAAGACAAGTGTCCTTATAAGAGGACACTTTTGTCCCGGCGCAGTGGCTCATGCCTGTAATCCCAGCACTTTGGGAGGTCGAGGCGGGTGGATCACCATAGGTCAGGAGTTTGAGACCAGCCTGACCAACATGGAGAAACCCCATCTCTACTAAAAATACAAAATTAGCCGGGCATGTTGGCGCATGCCTGCAATCCCAGCTACTGGGGAAGCTGAGGCAAGAGAGTTGCTTGAACCCAGGAGGAGGAGGTGGCAGTGAGCTGAGGTCATGCCATTGCACTCCAGCCTGGGCAACAAGAGTGAAACTCCATCTCAAAAAAAAAAAAAAAAAAAGGACACCCTTTTTCTGGCGCGTCCGTGTGAAGAGACCACAAAACAGGCTTTTTGTGAGCAATAAAGCTGTTTATTTCACCTGGATGCAGGTGGGCTGAGCCCAAAAAGAGAGTCAGCGAAGGGAGATAGGGGTGGGGCCATTTTATAGGATTTGGGTAGGTAAAGGAAAAAGGGGGGTTCTCTGGCAGGCAGGAGTGGGGGTCACAAGGTGCTCAGTAGGGGAGCTTTTGAGCCAGGATGAGCAAGGAGAAGGAATTTCACAAGATAATGTCATCAGTTAAGGCAGGAACAGGACATTTTCATTTATTTTGCGGTGGAATGTCATCAATTAAGGCAGGAACCGGCCATCTGGATGTGTACATGCAGGTCACAGGGGATATGATGGCTTAGCTTGGGCTCAGAGGCCTGACGTTCCTGTCTTCTTATATTCATAAGAAAAATAAAATGAAATAGTGGTAAAGTATTGGGATGGTGAAAATTTTTGGGGGGTGTTATGGAGAGACAATGGGCGATGTTTCTCAGGGCTGCTTCCAGTGGGATTGGGGTGGCATGGGAACCTAGAGTAGGAGAGATTAAGCTGAAAGAAGATTTTGTGGTAAGGGGTGATATTGTGGGGTTGTTAGAAGAAACATTTTTCATTTAAAATTATTGGTGATGGCCTGGATACAGTTTTGTATGAATTGAAAAACTAAACAGAATAAGAGAAGGAGAAAAACAGGTATTAAAGGACTAAGAATTGGGAGGACCTAGGACATCTAATTAGAGAGTGCCTAAGGAGGTTCAGCATAGCCTTGCCAGCAAAGATTATTTAAGAGTTAAGAGTGGTGGTTTGGGGATAGCACCAGGAGATGTCAGCTGTGATGGCTTGGAGAAACAGTGTAAACCACCAGTGTAAACAAGAGCAGGGCATATATGAGTAGTTGAGAATGGTGAATAGGAGTATGGCTAGACAGAAGATAGTAGGGATGAGAAGTTTTTTGGGGCACAGTCCAAGTTGGTCTTGTGTCTGGAATGAGACTGGAGCCTAACAAAAAGGAGTGTCTATACAGGAGATCCAAGGGGTATCGGGGGACCTGCCCCGATAATCACGTAGGTTCTTCTCTATTTTCCTAAGCATTGACTGGCTTGAGAAATAAAAGGACAGAGTACAAAAGAGAGAAATTTTAAAGCTGGGCGTCCGGGGGAGACATCACACATTGGTAGGATCCATGATGCCCCACAAGCCACAAAAACCAGCAAGTTTTTATTAGGGAGTTTCAAAAGGGGAGGGAGTATACGAATAGGTGTGGGTGACAGACATCAAGTACTTAACAGGGTAATAGAATATCACAAGGCAAGTGGAGACAGGGCGAGATCACAGGACCACAGGACCGAAGTGAAATTTAAATTGCTAATGAAGTTTTGGCACCATTGTCATTGATAACATCTTATCAGGAGACAGGGTTTTGAGATCAACCGGTCTGACCAAAGTTTATTAGGCGGGAATTTCCTCTTCCTAATAAGCCTGGGAGCGCTATGGGAGACTGCAGTTTATTTCACCTCTGCAATCTCGACCTTAAGAGACAGGTAAGCCCCGGGGGGCCAGTTCAGAGACCTACCCCTAGGTGCGCATTCTCTTTCTCAGGGACGTTCCATGCTGAGAAAGGAATTCAGTGATATTTCTCCCATTTGCTTTTGAAAGAAGAGAAATATGGCTCTGTTCTGCCGGGCTCACCAGCGGTCAGAGTTTAAGGTTATCTCTCTTATTCCCTGAACGACTGCGGTTATCCTGTTCTTTTTTCAGGATGTCCACATTTCATATTGCTCAAACACACATGCTGTACAATTTGTGTACTTAACGCAATTATTACAGGGTCCTGAGACGATATACATCCTTCTCGGCTGACAGGATTAAGAGATTAAAGCAAAGACAGGCATAGGAAATCACAAGGATATCGATTGGGGAAGTGATAAGTGTCCATGAAATCTTTACAATTTATGTTTAGAGATTGCAGTAAAGTCAGGCATAAGAAATTACAAAAGTATTAATTTGGGGAACTAATAAATGTCCATAAAATCTTCACAATCCACGTTCTTCTGCCATGGCTTCAGCCTGTCCCTCCGTTTGGGGTCCCTGACTTCCTGCAACAAATGGGCTGTACCTTGTAGCATTCCAAGGACAGGCCGGAATTCTGAGAAGGGAAAGTGGTAAAAGTATTGTCCAGTCGTTTTTAAGTTGGTGGCTGAGCTTGGTAAGGTGTGTTTTTAAAAGACCATCAGTCTGTTCTACCTTTCCTGAAGATTGAGGACTGTAAGGGATATAAAGGTTTCACTGAATACTAAGAGCCTGAAAAAATGCTTGGCTGACTTGATTACTAAAGGCAGGTCTGCTATCGGACTGTATAGAGGTGGGAAGGCCAAACTGAGGAATTATGTCTGACAGAAGAGAAGAAATGACCGTGGTGGCCTTCTTAGACCCTGTGGGAAAGGCCTCTACTTATCCAGTGAAAGTGTCTACCTAGACCAAGAGGTATTTTAGTTTCCTGACTCGGGGCACGTTGAGTAAAGCTAATTTGCCAGTCCTGGGTGGGGGCAAATCCCTGAGCTTGATGTGTAGGGAAGGGAGGGGGCCTGAAGAATCCCTGAGGAGTAGTAGAATAGCTGATGGAACACTGAGAAGTTATTTCCTTGAGGATAGATTTCCACGATGGAAAGGAAATGAGAGGTTCTAAGAGGCGGGCTAGTGGCTTGTACTATAGCATACCCTGCTTTTGCTGGTGTGTGGCAATTAGGCCTGGTGGAACTGCCATCAATAAACTAAGTGTGGTAAGGGTGAGAAACAGGGAAGAAGGAAATGTGGGGAAATGGGATGAACGTCAGGTGGATCAGAGAGATGCAGTCATGAGGGTCAGGTGTGGTATCAGGAATAATGGGGGAGGCCGGATTGAAGTCTGGGCCAGGAACAATGGTAATTGTGGGAGACTCAACAAAGAGTGAGTACAGCAGAAGGAGCCGGCGAGCAGAATGTATATGTGGCAGGTGTGAGGAAGACAATAGATTTTGGAAATTATGAGAGCTGTAGAGAGTGAGTTGAGCATAGTTTCTGATTTTAAGGGCCTTTAAAAGTATTAGGGTGGCAGCAGCTGCTGCACGGAGACACAACGGCCAACCTAAAACAGTAAGGTCAAGTTGTTTGGACAAAAAGGCTACAGGACGCCATCCTGGTCCTTGTGTAAGAATTTCAACTGCACAGCGCTGCACTTCGGCTGCGTGTAATGAAAAGGGTTGGGATGAGTCACGGAGAGCTAGTGTAGCAGGACGAGTTCCAGACAAAACTCCTCAGACACTAGATTAAAGAAGGAAGAGGTTTTTTTATTCGGCCGGGAGCGTTGGCAGACTCGTGTCTTAAGAGCCGAGCTCCCTGAAAAAGAAATTCCTAGCCCTTTTAAGGGCTGACAACTCTAAGGGTTCTACGTGAAAAAGTCATAATAGATCAAGGAAGCTTGAGGAACATGACTGGGGGCTACATACATCAGCTAACAGAACAAAAAGTTTTTACAGTGCTTTCTCATACAATGTCTGGGATTTACCGATAACAACAGTAGTTTTGGTCAGGGGTTAATATTATTGTTACTTTAACCACCAGGGCCAGGTGGTGGCGCCAAAGTCGTCTAGGTATTTATTTTACTTCTGTTTTTTCCAGCTTTTTGCTTTCTCCCTTTTTTGCTGTCTTATAAACTAGGGAAAAGGGGAGGTTGGGGAGAAACTGGGAAGGACAACAGGAGAAGTGGTGGTCTCATACCATATTTTCCCCCTTTGAGCATTTTCACTTTTTAGTGGGAGTTCTCACTCTCATCTTTACTTTTTGAGTCTCTTTGTGAGATAGAGCGATAGTGATTTATATAACACACGTGTGCTGAAGTTTTCTGATGAACCAAAGTAGCAACAAAATCTTTTATCATTTGAAAAAGCAAGAGTAATACACAGGGGAGCAGCAAGTAAGTTCCTATCACTAGCAATACACCTACAATGAGGGTTTTAAATCCTCCTATAGCTGGAAACCATTTTTCAAATAAAGACTCAGGATTAAACTCGTGCCAAACCTCTACAGGCACATGTGCAACCTTTGTCATGTCCCTGACTATGTTTTTAACCATCTGTCCTTGATCATTTATTTGTAGGCAGCAGTTGGTTAAGTTAAATTTTCCACAAACTCCTTCAGCTACTAGCAAGTAGTCTAAGGCCAGTCTTTTCTGATAGATAGCATTCCTCATTTGGGTTTCTTGCAAAGCTAAAACAGTCAAAGCTCTGCCAGTTTCATTAGTAATTATTTCTTAGACGGACTGCAACCGTATGATCCAGTTGAGCATGTAGATGGGGGTTTGGTATCCCCATGAGCCATCTTGTGCCCCTGTGGCAGGCCCATAATACTGAATGATCCTTTCAGGGGGCCACTCATTATCTTTCCAGTTTCCTATAACTATGCCTTTATTTTCTCAGGAGGCATAGACAGGGAAACCTATGAGCTCACCCATTTTTATGGGTAATAAGAAAAAGGACGGCTTAATAGTGCCAATAACACAACTGTCTGCCCATTTATTAGGTAACCGAATGTAGGCTCTGTGCCTACGTATCTAGTATAGTCCAGTGGGAACCGTCCAGTCCTAATGAGATTCTGCATGAGCCTAAGCAGTTTTTAATTTAGAAAATTTACTAAATGGATTCTTTTCAGTGTGGGTTAGGCCCTACTAAGTAATTGTCTTTGTTGTGCTGTTATACAACTTCTGTCCTATACAATTAAGCTTTCCTACAGGGATGATAAAGTCTTTCCCTTCTCTAGCTATACAGTATTGTCTAATAATTGAGGTTTTAGGACCTAGAAGTTGCTAGCTTGGGCCTTCTGAACTGGAATTATATCAGGAGCTGGATCAGTAGACACCAACTCTCGGGCTTCCGAAGGCCATCTGTCTCCGATAGTGGTTCCTCCGCATACATAACAAGAAGTAACATTAAGGGAATTAGCTACATTTTCTGCTAATTGGAGAAACAAATTTTTTGTCTTTTTCGGAAGTTCTGGTGTTGGCAGATTCAGCTCCTCATAAAACGTTTGAAATACTGTTTTGGGAGAGCACTTGTGGACCTCCCCTCTAATTAAAATGGCAACTTGAGGGTTTAACCCTGTCCTATTGATCCCCAGGGTTACGCGTTCTCCCTTTTTCCAAAGGGGATCTAGGGGATTGGTAATTATTAGTTCTAGTGGGTTACAGTGACCGGCGGCCCAGGAGGGGTTGGCTTCTCCCTTCTGAAGATAAACCGAGTCATTTTTGTTCTTTTTTTAAGTAGCCTAAATAACACATGGCCAATAGGCACAATTTTTACAAACCCCTGACTCATGACAAACATATTTATTTTCTACTCTTTAGCTCCTTTCTCAGTTAAGAGAACCATATCCTATTTCTAGCTTTTTACTATTAATGGCTGCACAAGCATCAGATCTTAAAGTTATTTGCTTGGGGATTTCTTTTTCTTCTGTTCTAGTTATTATTTTACTTGTATCACCTAGCAAAAGGCCAGTTCTTATTTCAAAAACGGTGGTTGCAGGGGGCTCAGATGGGCTATAACACGCATCAGGTCGGTCATTTCTCGGGCTACATACCTTGTACTGAGTGGCATTATACAAACAAGTTTCTTTTAATGTTTCCATACATTCATAATAACTATAGAACAGAAAGATTGTTTTAATTTGCTGTCCTACTTCGGTGACCTGATAAATACACTGGGAACAGTCCCCATTTTGAGTAAGGTTAGTTGAAGCCCTTACTGTATAAGTCCAAAATTTAAGAAAAATGAATCTAACGATGAGCTTCCTCGTGCTTCGGCCATGCGTGGACCAGTCAGCTTCCAGGTGTGACTGGAGCAGGGCTTGTCGTCTTCTTCAGGGTCACTCTGCAAGGGTTGTCTGGGCTTGGTCTTGCCTCCCAGGTTTCCGGCGCTGCAGGTTTTACACAGCTGTGGTGGTTCCAGACTGGGATTCCTTCTACCTTCACAGCGGTGGGAGTGCTCAGGACGACAGTCTGGGGTCCGTTCCACAGTGGACACAAAGAGGCTACTTTCCAGTCCTTGATCCACACTCGATCACCTGGGGAGAAAGGGTGAACTGGGGAGAATAAACTAACAGGGCATCTCTCATTTACCCAGGCTGAGATTGTCTGTGTAATTTTTCCTAAAGCCTGTAGCTGTCGCTGTAACTCAATTTCACCTAACTCTCAGGGAGTGCCTGGAAGTCCCCGCAATATAGGAGGGGGCCTATGATATAATATTTCATAAGGGGAATATCCTGTTCTTTTAGAAGTGGTACATCTAATTTTAAATAATACCATAGGGAGAGCCTGTATCCATTTTAATCCTGTTTCCTGACATACTTTCCCTAAACTATTTTTGATAGTTCAATTCATTCGCTCCACCTTTCCAGAACTCTGAGGCCAGGAGGCAGCATGCAGTTTCCGTGTGATCCCCAATACCTTTGCCGCCTTCTGTACTAAGTCAGCCACAAACGCCGGCCCATTATCTGAACTGATCCATAAGGGCAGTCCAAATCTAGGAATAAGATCTCGAAGAAGCACATGAGTTACTTCATGAGCTTTCTCAGTTCGTGTTGGATAAGCTTCCACCTACCCAGGGTAGGTACGCCCAAGAACTAGTAAATACTTGTTACCTCTACACTTTGGCATCTCTGTGAAGTCCATCTGGAGCTCTTCAAAGGGGGCTGTTCCATAAGTTTGTATGCCGGGTGGAACGGCTGGACCCTGCCTCGCATTATGCTGTCGGCAGGTAACACACCACTGCGTCAACGTTTCGGCAAGGGCTGACAAATGCGAGATGTAGAAATACCAGCCTAACAACTTTTCAAGTGATTCCTAACCTAGATGGGTGGTTTCACGCACAGCCAGTACAACTGCAGCTCCTAGCAGCTGTGGCACAGCTACTCTCCCATCCGGTAACCGAATTCATCCTTCCTCCATCACTTGTCCTCTCTCTGCCTGGAGAAAGTCCTTTTCTTCTTTAGAATAAGTAGGTACCAGATCAGGTGCTTGAGGGAGCAGGGGGGTTGTGATTGATGCCCAGAAGGGGGCAGATGCTGCTTTTCGAGCCTCTAAGTCAGCGCAGGAATTCCCTAAACCCACCAAGGTGGAAGCTCGCTTGTGTCCTCTGCAATGCATAACTGCCACCTTGTGGGGTCTCCATACGGCTTTTAATAATTGCAAGATTTATTGTTGATATTTTATGTCTTTTCCCCCAGAGTTCAATAAGCCCTTTTCTTTATATAATGTTCCATGCATTTGAAGGGTTGAAAAGGCATATTGAGAGTGAGTGTAAATGTTGACATTCTTAGCTTCACTGAGTTCTAAGGCCCGAATGAAAGCAATGAGTTCAGCTTTCTGAGCTGAAGTGCCCTGGGGAAACGATCTGGCTTCAGCAACAGTGTCCAGAGTTACCACCGCATAGCTTGCACATCTCTCTCCCTGTGGGTTGATGAAGCTGCTCCCAGCCACGTGTAGTTCCTAGTCTACTGATGCCTAAGGCTGTTCCTGGAGGTTAGGTCTGCTAGAGTAAACTGAGTCCAACACTTCTACACAGTCATGCTCGACAGGGCTCTCTGATACTGGGAGCAAGGTAGCGGGGTGTAGGGTGTTACAAACCTCAATGGTTATGCGGGGATTTTCACAGAGCAAACTTTGGTACTTAGTGAGTCTAGCATTCATTAGCCAATGATGTCCTTTAGTATTCATGAAAGTCACCACAGCATGGGGGGCCTTTACGTTCAGGTTTTGTCCAAGAGTCAGCTTATCTGCTTCTTGTACTAGCAGGGCAGTTGCTGCCAAGGCCCTCAAACAAGGGGCATCCTTTAGAAACCCCGTCTAGTTGTTTAGAGAGGTAGGCCACCGGCCTTGGCCAGGGCCCCACAGTTTGGGTTAAAACACCAACTGCCATCTTTTCTCTTTCTGACACATACAATGGAAAAGGCTTTATTAGATCGGGTAGCCCCAGGGCTGGGGCTGACATAAGTCTTTCCTTTAACTCATGAAAGGCTTGCTGTTGCTGGCATCCCCATTCAGAAAGTTCCCGGTCCCCCCACTTTGTGACCTCATACAAAGGCTTGGCTAATACTGCAAAGTTTGGGATTTACAGTCTGCAAAACCCCACAGCCCTTAAAAATGCTCTCACCTGCCTTCTGGTCTTAGGCTCCGGTAGATTGCAAATGACCTACTTTCTTTCTGATCCTAGGCTGCTCTCCCCCTGTCGGATAGTAAATCCTAAGTAACGTACCTGCTGTCGGCAGATCTGAGCTTTTTTCTTGGACACCTTATACCCACAGTCCTCCAGGTGCCGCAGTAGAGCATCTGTTCCCTTGGCGCACCCGACTGCCGTGGGGTGTCCCAGCAAAAGATCATCAACCTACTGGAGCAACACGCAGTCTAGGTCTCTGGTGGGAAACTTCTGGAGGTCTCGAGGCAATGTCTCCCCGAAGATAGTGGGGGAGTTCTTGAACCCTTGGGGAAGCCGGGTCCAAGTGTACTGAGTAGTGACACCTGACTCCGGATCTTCCCACTGAAAGGCAAACAGCTTCTGGCTCTCAGGGGCTAATCTGATGCTAAAGAAAGCATCTTTCAGGTCCAAGCAGGTGAAGCAGCTGTCCTCAGCTGGCAGCAACCCCAGCAATGTGTACGGGTTAGGTACTGCTGGATGTAAAGTCACTGTAGCCTGATGAAGCAAGCGCAAATCCTGTACCGGCCTGTAGTCCTTGGTCCTAGGCTTGGGAACAGGCAGGAGGGGAGTGTTCCATGGAGACTGACAAGGAACTCTAATTCCAAAAGTTCTTAGGTGCTTGAGATGGACCTGGATACCTTCAAGAGCTTCTCTGGGGACCGGCTCCTGTTTTTGCCTAAATGGCTGGGCCCTAGGCTTAACTTCTATAAGTACGGGGGCTTGGTTGACTGCCAACCCTGGAGGGTTGTCTTCCACCCGTACTCTTGGCCACCGCTTAGCCAGAGCTGGTCTTATCTCTTGGCCCGGCTCAGTTAAGAAAAGTCTCCATTCCTCCTCTCGGGGGACGGTAAGGGTCATAATGACTCCCGTTCCGGGTAACTTTAGCAGCGAAGAGCCATGCTCTGTAAAAGAGATAGTGGCTCTCTGTTTGCTAAGCAAGTCCCTTCCCAATAAGGGCAAGGGACAGTCAGGCGTGGACAAAAACTGATGAATCACTTTATGTCCTCCTACAGTACAAGTCCAGGGCAAGCAGAAACTTGCTTTGCGGAAACCCCTGTGGCTCCGATGATGTCAATAATCTTTTTGTATAAGGGGGCGACCGGGGCGGTTACTACCGAATGTTTAGCACCAGTATCTACAAGAAAATCAATGTCTTTACCCCTAACTGTCATCCTGAACATAGGCTCTTTCGGGGTCCTTGAGCCCGGTCCCCCTCAGTCCAATAACCCTTCTGCCAGGTTGAGCAGGGCCCCTTTCTCCTTGTCTGGAGCCTCTTGCTCCGAATCACCTTGTTTTCTTTTTAGCTGAGGGCATTTGCTCTTCCAATGTCCTATTTCTTTACAATAAACACACTGATTACGCTGCAACCTTTGACAGCCAGGCTGAGTTTCTTTCCCGGGGCCCCCCTTCCCTTGCCTCTTTTGGGGGACCCCTCTGTTTGCTGCCGCTAACAGGTCGGCGTTTCGCTGGGCCTGACGTTCCTTCTCTCTGCAGTTTTCCTTATGGCTTACTGCATCCCTGTTTACAAACACCTGGTTAGCTACTTCTAATAACTGTGATGTGTTCATCCCTGCAAACCCAGCCTGTTTCTGCAGTTTTCTTCTAATGTCTTCTGCGCTTTGACTAACTAAAGCCATGTTAATCATGCATTGATTTTCAGGGCTATCGGGATCAAAGGGTGTATACATACCATAGGCATCACACAGTCTCTCCTAGAATTGTGCTGGACTTTCTTCTTTTCTCTGAATGACCTCAGAGACCTTGTTAACATTTGTGGCCTCCTGGGCTCCCCTCTTTAATCCTTCCAAGAGAGCTTCCCTGTATCGGTTTAGCCTTTGCATATCCTCTCTTTCATTTGGGTCCTTCTGGGGGTCGGTTCCAGTAACTGGGTCCTTACATACTCTTGGGGGTTTTGGTAATCAGCCGGTGCATGTTCCTCTAGCCACTTAGTTGCTGCTTCTAGCACTCTCCATTTTTCATCTGTGTTAAAGAGGAACATGTGCAGCTGGTGACAATCAGTCCAAGTGGGGTTGTGGGTCTGGATATTAGTTTGGAGCAAATCAATTAGAGCTTGTGGCTTTTTGGTATAGGATGGGGTACTATTTTTCCAGTTGAGAAGGTGGGCAGAGGTGAAGGGCTGGTACACAGAAACACGCCTCCCCACCACATGACCATCCTCATCTATCCCTGTATACCGCTGCTCTCTCAGGAGCATTTGGATCCCCGTTTTGGGTCTTAAACGAGCTGCCAAGGGAGGGGTTCCTCCCGAGTCCTCACCTCTTCTTTTGTATACTCTGGATTGCCTAGGGATATGTTTGTCTTGTGGAGGCCCAAGCACTGTGGACTCAAAAGTGGGGAGCCTTTCTCCCTGGTAAGGGGAGGGCACCACTGGGATCACTGGTGCCATCTCCTGCAATGCATGTTCTGCTGTTGGGTTGAACAGATCTTCAGGTGTTGATTTCCCTCGGCGGGTGGAGCACGATCCTTCCTTGGCTATCTGTCCCTACGCTACTAGCACTGCTGCTGCCTGCCCTCTTAGCCACTGTGGGGGGTTTAGCATCAGCTGTAACCAAGTGTCTATGTATGGAAACTGGTCTGAGTGTCCTGACTTACCAATTACCTTGTGCCATACCTTAGAAACAAGGGACCTGCCCAGGCTTCCTTCTGATGGCCAACCCACTTCTAAAGCTGGGCAATCTATTTCACACAAAGTTCTAAATTTCCCTGGTGTCATAGTAACCCTATAGTCTCCATTAAATCCTTTCTTAAAATTTTTCATCATAGTTCCTAGCAGAGTAGGCTTACTTTGTGTCTGACCCACGTTTCCTCGAGACAAAACACCAAGCTCACACCACACGCACACCACAGAACAAAGAATGAGTAAAAAGGGCACACACACACTTTTTCAGTTTTCACCAAACCAGAATCAAAACCAAAATCGGAGTATCCAGAAATCCAAGCCAGGTCAAACCAAAACCAAAGTATCAAGCAATTCAATTCAAGTCAAAAACAAAAACCAAAGTGCCAGTACAGGCACGCCGTGGGTGATCAGGCCACACTTCCACTCAAATAGAGTGGGCAAGTTCCAAAGACCAGTCTTACCAAGTTTCAAATGTCCAGACTCCAAGTGCCTGTTCCTTCCCGGTGTTCACCCACTATGTTGATCCTCCACCGGGGCCTACCACACACTGCTCTGACGAGGCATTCCACCGGGTCAATTGCCTACCCAGGAGAGCTCTCAGGATCCGCGTCGCTCAAACTGGCAGGAGTCCCCCGCAGGGATGCTCCACAGGGCAGGCCTAAGCCGCCTAAAGGGCTGCCTCAACTGCCGTCAATTACCTCGCTTCCCGGTCAGGGAACCAAGACTAGGGTGGGGGCAGTCTTTAAAGCTGTCTTCAAGGAACAGAAAGAGGAGTGGGGAAAGGATTTAGGATCTATGGGGTCAGCTAGGTTTCCTTTTGTGAGTTTATATAATGGTTTTGTTAGGATGGCAAAACCAGATATCTAAAGGTGAAAGTATCCAACCATGCACAGGAAGGAAAGGAGTTGTTGTTTTGTAGAAGGGGTTGGGGTTTGAGAGATGAGTCACACACGATCGGCAGAGAGAGCACGTGTGTTTTTATGAGAATTATGCTGAGATAGGTAACAGATAAGGGAGAAATTTGGGCTTGACTGAAGTAATGGGGGCTGTCTGTGAAGCTTTGCGACAGTACAGCCCAGGTAATTTGCTGAGCTTGATGGGTGTCAGGGTCAGTCCAAGTGAAAGCGAAGAGTGACTGGGATGAAGGGTGCAAAGGAATAGTAAAGAAAGCATGTTTGAGATTCAGAACAGAATAATGGGTTGTGGAGGGAGGAACTGAGGATAGGAGAGTATATGTGTTTGGCACCTTGGGGTGGATAGGCAAAACAATTTGGTTGATAAGGCACAGATCTTGAACTAACTTGTAAGGCTTGTCTGGTTTTAGGACAGGTAAAATGGGGGAATTGTAAGGAGAGTTTATAGGCTTTAAAAGGCCATGCTGTAGCAGGTGAGTGATAACAGGCTTTAATCCTTTCAAAGCATGCTGTGGGATGGGATATTGGCATTGAGAGGGGTAAGAGTGATTAGGTTTTAATGAGATGGTAAGGGGTGCATGATAGGTTGCCAAGGAGGGAATAGAGGTATCTTCTACTTGTGGGTTAAGGTGGGTGGCAATGAGATGTGGCTGTAGTCCAGGAATAGTCAGGGAAGCAGATAATTTAGTTAAAGTGTCTCAGCCTAATAAGGGAACTGGGCAGGTGGGGACAACTAAAAAGGAGTGCTTAAAAGAGTATTGTCTAAGTTGGCACCAGAGTTGGGGAGTTTTAAGAGGTTTAGAAGCCTGGCTGTCAATACTCACAACAATTATGGAGGGAAGGGAAACAGGCCCTTGAAAAGAAGGTAATGTGGAGTGGTTAGCCTCCGTATTGATTAAGAAGGGGATGGACTTATCCTCCACTGTGAGAGTTACCTAGAGCGTCTGTGATGGTCCTGTAGGCTTCCGAGGTGATCTATCAGGCAGTGTCAGTCTTCAGCTGCTAAGCCAAGAAGATCTGGGAAGGAATCAGTCAGAGAGCCTTGGGCTGGAGTTCCAGGGGCTCTAGGAGTGGCTGCCAGGTGAGTTGAACAGTCCGATTTCTAGTTGGGTCTCGCACAGATGGGACATGGCTCAGGAGGAATCCCGGGCTGCAGGCATTCCTTGGTCTGGTGGCCAGATTTCTGGCACTTGTAGCAAGCTCCTGGGGTAGGTGGTTCTGGAGGAATGCCTGGCCACTGCGCTTTAGGCGTTTGGAAGTTCTTGTGTGCTGGAGATTTGGCTGGGCTTTGTCTCACAGTGGAGGCAAGGAATTGCAACTGAGAAATATGTTGCTGCTAGGCTGCCTCTACTCCATTATTGTACACCTTGAAGTTGAGGTTAATTAAGTCCTGTTGTGGGGTTTGAGGGCCGGAATTTAATTTTGGAGTTTTATTTAATGTCGGGAGCAGATTGGGTAATAAAATGTATATTGAGAATAAGACGGCCTTTTGACGTTTTAGGGTCTAGGGCTGTAAAGCATCTCAGGGTTGCTGCCAAACGAGCCATGAACTGGGGTGGATTTTTATATTTGATGAAAAAGAGGCTAAATGCTATCTGATTTGGGATAAAGAAAAAGGAGCATTAACCTTGACTATGTCTTTAGCTCCAGGCACCTGTTTAAGAGTAAATTGCTGGGCAGGTGGGGGAGGGCTAGTCACGGAATTAAACTGTAAGCCAGACCCAGTGTGAGGAGGGGAGGTGATAAAAGGATTATAGGGTGGAGAAGTGGAGGCTGAGGAAGAATTGGGACCTAGCTCAGGCTGGCCAGGATGGGAGAGGTCAGATGGGTCTGTAGAAAAGGAAGATTAGAAAGACTCAGCGACACTTGGGGTTGGGACTGAGGGGACAGGTGGGAGGGAAAGGAGGAAGATTTCGGATGAGTTGCACTGGGAACAGAGACTAGGGAGGGACCAATGTGTAAAAGAATGCCTGGACATCAGGCATCTCAGATCATTTGCCCATCTTATGACAAGAAGTATCTAGATCTTGTAGGATGGAAAAATTGAAAGTGCCATTCTCTGGCTATTTGGAACCACTGCTGAGTTTGTATTGGGGTCAAGTAGCATTGTAGAAGAAAATAAGGCATTTAGGTTTTAGGTCAGGTGTGAGTTGAAGAGGTTTTAGGTTTTGAAGAACACAGCGTAAGGGAGAAGAAAGGGGAATGGAAGGCGGAAGCTTGCCCATAGTGAAGGAGGCAAGCCTAGAGAAAAGAGAGTAGAGACATGGAGAGAAGGGGTGGAGGGTTCTTGCCTTCCAGAATAGAGGGAAAGGGTTGGGGGCACAGAAATAAAGGGTTGGGGTGCAGAGATAAGAGGTCAGGTTGTGGAAATAAGGGATCGGGACACAGAGATGAGGTCAGGGCATGGAAATAAGGGATCGGGGTGCAGAGATAAGAGGTCGGGGTTCCTGTCCCTCCCCCAGAAAAGTGGGACATGCTGCTAAGGGTGAAGGAGAAGGGGTTGAGGGGTTCTTGTCCCTCCCCCAGAAAAGCAGGTCTTGCTGCTAAGGGTGAAGGAACAAGGCAGGCATCCCTGCATGGTCTGACACCTCTGAAACCTCGGTGAATAATCAGAGAGGTGTCCCTGCAATGATTAAACACCAAGGAAAGGCTGCCTTCCCTAGTCCGTGACTGGTGCCAGAGTTTTGGGTCCACAGATAAAACGTGTCCCCTTTGTCTCTACCAGAAAATGAAAGGAATTGAAATTAAGAGAAGGGAGAGATTGAAGTGTGGTGCCAAGATTGGGAGGAGAAAGAGGTGGAGGGATAGTGAGGGAGGTTGGAGAAGAGAGTAAAAAGAAGCCGCTTACCAGATTTGAAATTGGTGAGATGTTTCTTGGGCTGGTCAGTCTGAGAACCTGAAGTCATAGGTGGATCTTTCTCACAGAGCAAAGAGCAGGAGGACAGGGGATTGATCTCCCAAGGGAAGTCCCTCGATCCCAGTCACGGCACCAAATTTCACATGCATCCATGTGAAGAGACCACCAAACAGGCTTTGTGTGAGCAGTAAAGCTGTTTATTTCACCTGGGTACAGGTGGGCTGAGTCCAAAAAGAGAGTCAGTGAAGGGAGATAGGGGTGGGGCAATTTTATAGGATTTGGGTAGGTAAAGGAAAAAGGGGGGTTGTTCTCTGGCAGGCAGGAGTGGGGGCCACAAGGTGCTCAGTAGGGGAGCTTTGGAGCCAGGATGAGCAAGGAGAAGGAATTTCACAAGGTAATGTCATCAGTTAAGGCAGGAACCGGCCATCTGGATATGTACATGCAGGTCACAGGAGATAATGATGGCTTAGCTTGGGCTCAGAGGACTGACACTCTTCCTCCAGAGGAGGAGACCCAGACAGAAGAGGAGGAGGCAAGGTGATCACAGAGGCAGAGATTGGATCATGCAGCCACAAGTTGAGGAATTCTAGTAGCCTCTACAAGCTGGAAGACGCAAGGAATGGATTCTCCCCTAGAACCTCTGAAGGAGCATTCTCCTGCTGACATTTGATTGATTTTGGACTTCTGGCCTCCAGACAATTAATTTTTTTTTTTTTTCTTTTTTTTTTTCAGACAGAGGCTTGCTCTGTTGCCCAGTCTGGAGTGCAGTGGCATGATCTCAGTTCACTGCAACCTCCACCTCCCAGGCTCAAGCCATTCTCTTGCCTCAGCCTCCCAAGAAGTGGGGACTACAGGTGCCTGCCACCATGCATGGCTAATTTTTGTATTTTTAGTAGAGACGAGGTTTTGGCATATTGGCCAGGCTGGTCTCGAATTCCTGGCCTCAAGTGATTCACCCAACTCAGCCTCCCAAAGTCCTGAGATTACTTAGGTGTGAGCCACGGCACCTGACACAGACATTGTTTGAAGCCACCCATTTCATGGTTCTTTGCTGCAGTGGTTGTGGAATATGAATGCACTCGTGCTGTTGGTTAGACTTTGCTGACCTTGTGTCTGTTATTCCCTGGCAGTTCTACAAGGCCTGGAGCTGATAGGAAAAACCTCCCTTCTTTCCCAAATGGTCCCCAGCTGCCCCGTTCACTGAAGGCCCTGCAGTCAGGAACGGTCAGGACTTCACACCCAGTTGTTGTGGGTGTTTGGCCGACACGACACTTCCTCTTGTGTGATTCATGGACCCGCAGCATTGCGTCACCTGGGAGCTTTTGGTATTGAAGACTCTCAGGGCTCACCCGGAAGGACCTGCTGGGCCAGAATCTACATTTTAACAAGATGCCCAGGTGATTTGCATACACGTTCAGATCTGAGAAGCGCTAGTAGGTGAGGCTTTAAGGTGGTAATTAGATCTTTTCTCCACCTGCAAGAATCTTAGTTTCTTCATGTTAAATCTATTAACTGTGGCAATGGCATGGGGGGTTATAAAACAAAACAAAATCCTTACATCAAGAATGCACCCTGGTGTGTTATGGATGTGGGTGAAATGAAATGTCTGGAATTTGCTTTAAAATATCCTAAAATAGCAAGAAGGAAAAGAAAAGTGGGAACTGGAATGAGATTGGCGAAATGTTGACAAGTTCTTGCAGTGGGATGATGGGTGCATGGGGGTTCATGGTGTAATTCTCTCCCTGATTTTTGTGCATATGGAAAATTTCCATAATGAAAAGTTAGAGGTCAGGCACGGTGGCTCATGCCTGTAATCTCAGCATTTTGGGAGGCTGAGGTGGGTAGATTGCTTTAACCTAGGAGTTCAAGACCATCCTGGACAACATGGTGAAATCCCATCTCTACTAAAAATGCAAAAATTAGGCATGGTGAAAACATGCCTGTAGTCATGTTGAGGTACGAGGTTGAGAACTGAGAATCACTTGAACCAAGGAGGCGGAGGTTGCAGTGAGCGGAGATCCAGTGAGCTGGAGATCACTCCAGCCTGGGTGACAGAGTGAGACTTGGTCTCAAAAAAATTTTTAATTTTCTTTTCTTTTTTTTTTGAGATAGAGTCTTGCTCTTTTGCCTAGGCTGGAGTGTAGTGGCGTGATCTTGGCTCACTTCAAGCTCCACCTCCCGAGTTCACTCCATTCTTCTGCCTCAGCCTCCAGAGTAGCTGGGACTATAGGCACCCAGCACCATGTCCGGCTAATTGTTTGTATTTTTAATAGAGATGGGGTTTCACCGTGTTAGCCAGGATGGTCTCAATCTCCTGAACTCGTGATCTGCCCACCTCGGCCTCCCAAAGTGCTGGGATTACAGCCATGAGCCATCGTGCCTGGCCTTAATTTGGTTTATTTTTTTTCTTTTTTGGGACAGGATCTGTAGCCCAGGCTGGAGTGCAGTGGTGCGATCCCGGCTCACTGCAGCCTCTACCTCCTGGGTTCAAGTGATCCTCCCACCTCAGCCTCCCGAGTAGCTGAGACCACAGGCATGTATTACCACACCTGGCTAATTTTTTCCCTTTTTCTAGAGGCAAGGTCTTGCTACGTTGCCCAGGCTGGTCTTGAACTCCTGAGTTCAAGCAGTCTTCCCGTCTCAGACTGGGAGTAATCCCAAAGTGCTGGGATTACAGGTGTGAGTCACTCTATCCAGCCTCAACTGTTTTTCATGACTCCACTTTTTCTCTCCTCTTGGAAATGTGTAGTCTTTGAGGGAATGTCATTTTGTCTCAATCTCTGGTTTCTTTGCTCAGTGCACCTGTGTTTGGGGCTTTGTTGATCTCCAGGCCTTTTTTCAGCAGCGTTGTCCCTGGAGAGCAGGATGGGAGCTGATGGCTTCTCAGCATCTTTTAACTCAGTTTAAAGATGACTATCAACAACATCTAGTCAG
The DNA here is from genome assembly GCF_000001405.40 of Homo sapiens. Classification (NCBI taxonomy): domain Eukaryota; kingdom Metazoa; phylum Chordata; class Mammalia; order Primates; family Hominidae; genus Homo; species Homo sapiens. The sequence continues at coordinate 8,166,279 of NC_000008.11, read as the reverse complement.
CATCTGTTGCTCTAGGCAACTGGGACTTCATTTCCTTTCTCTTTCTCCACCTCTCTAACCTCTTTAAGACTCTGTCTTTGTCATGGGTACAGCATCACCTGTGTGGCCCTTAGGCTCCCTTACTTACATGTGATCTGCATATTATGTCTTTACTTCAGGGCTTTTCAGCCAGGGGGTGATTTTGCCCCCCAGAGAACACGTGGCCATGTCTGGAGACAATTTTGGTGGTTGCGGCTGGAGGAGGTGGTGCTACTGGCAGCTAATGGGTAGAGGCCAGCGATGCTGCTAAGCATCCTACAATGCCCCGGACAACTCCCACTAAGACAAAAGAATGATCCAGCCCCAAATGTCAATAGTGCTGAAAGTGAGAGACCCTGATTCCATCTTAGAGATCATCCAAGCACACTTGGCCAAATTGTTTTTGCTACTGTCCCATGAAGAAAAGGCAGACTCATTACCGATGGCAACATCGATGGGAGTTTTGCTTAGCTCTTCTTTGTGGACTTTGGGATACGGTGTCTTACCATTTGTGCAAGTTGTGCATTGCTTACCTCCAGGGGGCGCCACCCACATATTTATGAAAATGCCACCCCGGGAGTTGCACAGTATATAGTCTATATGGAAATAAGCAGTTGCTCTGGTTTTGGGGTTATCCTGGGGTGCTCTGGAACTGGGAGGAACTTTATTTCTGGCCATTAGAGGCCCTGAGCATGATATTCAGTATCCTTTCAAGAAAGGAGAAATGTTGAACAGAGAGGACCTCATTTTTATAACTCTTGACCATCATCTAGTTACGGAGCATCCACTTTTCACCCCTGGGCCATAACCATTTGACGCATGAAAAATCATCAAATTATAATATCATGGCTTATACTTTTGATAGCTTCTGCCCGGAACATGGCGGTAAGAGCTTCTCATTTTCAATTGATTCATTGGGGGAGAAAATATACACGGCTGTCCTAAGACTTTCTATGACACACAATTTGCTTGACGGGATTTCTTTAGTTTCTGCAGCATAACTTATTCTAACTGGTCCTCAATCACTTTGCAATAAAACCTGAGATTGTGAAGATGTTCATTGTCATTACCAGTGACGGAGCAGTAAGTACAGAGTTCTGGAGAGGGAAGGAATCGAGAGAGTTAAACTAGCAGAATGAGCCGCTCACCCTCAGAATTGCTTTTAGTCTTGGTGAGAACTGAGGGGAATTTTGACAGGGTTCAGGGGGACTGCGGGGAGTGGGGCTGGGAGGTGGCTGTTTGCACATGTGGTCAGCAAATCCAGTGAGGCGGTCCATGTACTGTGGGCAGCCCCATAGATGGAGTTGGGATTGCCCTGGACTGAGTACTGTGTCATCAGTACTCAAGACATCAAGGCCCAGGCTGGTGCAGGAGACACATTGCACTGTGTCAGCCTTTCTTCTATCGCTCCTCTCCAATGATAGTTCCTGATTTTCCGCTGAGGAGTCACTAGTCCCCAACGGCATGTGTGCCACTGGCCATTCCCCACCCTGATCTGGATCTGGGGCATGTGGTCCCAGCCTGGATGCCAGTGTCCTTCCACCACCCTGGCCACAGTGATTGGGTCTGAGAAGCAGATTAGCCAAAGGAGAGACAATCTTGGAAATTTCATTTTCATGCTTAAGAAAGTAAAATGGAAAGCGGGGGGAGGGTGAGGGGGTCATTCTGATGATATAGTTTTAGGACCTGGATGTAGCCACACCTGTAGCTGTCACCTCTGTGCTATAGTACTGCTTTTTTTTTTCCTTCAAATTTAAATACTTTCTAAAGGCAAGGTCTTGCTATGTTGCTTAGGCTGGTTTTGAAAACTCCCTTTTGGGGGGATGCTTTCACTGCTTCACTTCCTTTCTATGAGAGCTCACGGAATCAGAAGACAAAGGAGATGACTTTTTTTTTTTTTTTTTTTGAGACAGGGCTTGCTCTATTGCCCAGGCTGGAGTGCAGTGGTGCAATCACAGCTCGCCACAGCCTTGATCTTCTGGACTCAAGCGACCCTCCTGCTTCAGCCTCCTGAGTAGCTGGGACTGTAGGCCGCTACCCCCATGCCCAGCTAATTATTATTATTATTTTTTTCTTTAGAAATGAGATCTCACTATGTCACCCAGGCTGGCCTCAAACTCCTGGGCTCAAGTGATCGTCCTGCCTTAGCTTCCCAAACTTACAGGTGTGAGCCCCCACACCAGTCAACGCTGTGGTCTTATGCACCTGGTGTCCCCTATGCCCTGAGCAATGATCCTCCTGCTTCAAACTCCGAAAGTGCTGGGATAACAGATGTGAAGCAGCATGTGTGGCCCACATAGTATTCTTATGGGTTAAATTGAGTCCTCCTCAAAACATGTTGAAATCCTAAATTCTAGTAGCTCAGAATGTGACCTTATTTAGAAATAGAGTTATTGCGGGCCGGGCGTGGTGGCTCATGCCTATAATCCCAGCACTTTGGGAGGTCGAGGCAGGCGGATCACCTGAGGTCAGGAGTTTGAGACCAGCCTGACCAACATGGAGAAACTCCGTCTCTACTAAAAATTCAAAATTAGCTGGGTGTGGTGGCACATACCTGTAATCCCAGCTACTAGGGAGGCTGAGGCAGGACAATCGCCTGAACCCACGAGGCGGAGGTTGCATTGAGCTGAAATCGTGCTATTGCACTCCAGCCTGGGCAAAAAGAGTGAAACTCCGTCTCGAAAGAAAGAAAGAAAGAGAGAGAGAGGGAGAGAGAGAGAGAGAGAGAGAGAGGGAGAAAGAAGAAAAAAAAGAAAGAAAGAAAGAAAGAAAAAAGAAAGGAAGAAAGAAAGAAAGAAAGAAAAGAAAGAAATAGGGTTATTGCAGACGCTATTGATTAGGATGAAGTCATCTTGGAGTAGGGAGGGCCCTAAGTCAACGACTGGTGTCCTTATAAAAGACGAGAGGACACGCCGAGTCACAGAGACACAGGGAAGGCGTCCATGGATTGGCCGGAAGATTGGACTGATGCGTATGCAAACCAAGAAACACTGAAGACTGCCAGGAGACCACAGGAAGGTAGGAAGAGGCAAGGCAGGACTCCCCGACAAGCGCAGGAGGGAGCGTGGCCCTGCTGGCACTTCCATTTCAGACTGCTGGCCACCAGAGCCACAAGACAATCAGTTTCTCTGGTTTCAAGTCACGCAGCTTTTGGTACTTGGTTGTGGCAGCCCTAGGGAATGAACATAAGTACTTTCTTTTTTTTTTCTTTTTTTGAGACGGAGTCTCGCTCTGTTGCCCAGGCTGGAGTGCGGTGGCGCGATCTCGGCTCACTGCAATCTCCGCCTCCTGGGTTCACGCCATTCTCCTGCCTCAGCCTCCTGAGTAGCTGGGACTACAGGCACCCGCCACCACGCCCAGCTAATTTTTTGTATTTTTAATAGAGACAAGGTTTCGCCGTGTTAGCCAGGATGGTCTCCATCTCCTGACCTCGTGATCCGCCTGCCTCAGCCTCCCAAAGTGCTGGGATTACAGGCGTGAACCACCACGTCCGGCCGAATACAAGTACTTTTAAATTAACTCTCCTCTTCTCTCCATCTTCTTCTAAATCATCATTTTTGCCTAAGCAACAGCTAGGGTCTAATACAGATGTGACGACTCACTTCAAAGTGGGGGAAGCCCCCATGTGCACCCAAACCTCCTGCTGCCTTGGCCCAGGGTTCAGAGACTGGACCATCATTCTGGAGGCTTGCTGGAGATCTGAGCCAGGGCATCATTCTCTGTTGCCTTTAAACAAAGGCTGGTGCTCGCCCAGGCTCGTGAGCTCCACCGAGGATCTATTTGGAAGGCAGAATTCTGAGATGACCCCTTAGGTTCTTGCCCTGGATAAATGCCAGGTGTAATCTCCTCTCCCCTGGAGTGTAGGCAGGACCCGTGGCTTGCTTCTAATCTATACCTATGGAAAAGTTGAAGGGATTTTGCAGATGTAACTAAGCCCCTAATCCATTCACTTTGAGTTAATCAAAAGAGAGATTATTCAGGGTGGGCCTGACATCTTCAGGTGAGATCTTCAATGAGGGTCTGGAGGAGAGAGACTCCTTCCTCCTGGTTTTTGGTTTTTGTTTGTTTGTTTGTTTTTGACATGGAGTCTCACTCTGTTGCCCAGGCTGGAGTGCAGTGGCACGATCTCGGCTTACTGCAACCTCTGTCTCCTGGGTTCAAGTGATTCTCCTGCCTCAGCCTCCCAAGTAGCTGGGATTACAGGCGTGCACAATCATGACCGGCTAAGTTTTGTATTTTTAGTAGAGATGGGGTTTCACCATATTGGCCAGGCTGGTCTCGAACTCCTGACATCAGGTGATCCACATGCCTCGGCCTCCGAAAGTGCTGGGATTACAGGCGTGAGCCACCATGCCTGGCTGGTTTTGAAGAAGCAAGCCACATGAGTTCCACAGTTGCATGGAAATAAATTCTGCCAACAACCATGTGAGGTTGGGAGAATACCCCAAGCCTCATATGAGACACTAATTCCAGCCAACACCTTGATCACAACCTTGTAAGTACCTAAGCAGAGGGCCCAGCTAAACTGCACCCCCAGACTCCTGACCCACAGGAAAGGAGAGGTAATAGATGGATGTTTTAAGCTGCTAAATTTGTGTTGATTTGTTATGCAGCTTAGAAAATGAATACATCATTCCATTTTTAAAAAATCATAAGCTAATCACACCATTCGATTTCTTTTTTTTCTTTTTTCTTTTTTTTTTTTTTTTTTGAGACAGAGTCTCACTCTATCGCCCAGGCTTGAGTGCAATGGCGCAATCTTGGCTCACTGTAAGCTCTGCCTCCCAGGTTCAAGTGATTCCCTTTCCTCAGCCCCCCAAGTAGCTAGGACTACAGGCAAGCACAACCAAACCCAGCTAATTTTTATATTTTTAGTAGAGATGGAGTTTCTCCATTTTGGCCAGGCTGGTCTCGAACTCCTGACCTCAAGTGACCTGCCTGCCTCAGCCTCCCAAAGTGCTGGGGTTGCTGACATGAGCCACCGCACCTGGCCTGACACACCATTCAGTTTTAATGAACTTCCAGGTGCTGTGGTCACGCCCCTCTTGTGTGGCATGCAGGTTGGGAGAGATGGGTTGGAAGATGACTGGATGGGGGCATGGAGCTAGGTGGGAAGAGGAAAAGTGTCTTGAAGGAAGTAAGTCCCTTCAGATAAGGGAGGGAGAAGCTTGATCAATATGCAGACTTTCACAGTCCTTCAGTCCTGGGGATACTGGTGGAGAGACAGGTCTTGCCTTATATTTGAGAGTTACCATCCCAGGCAGAGGCCCTACTTCCACCTTCTTGCAGGTGGGGCTGGGGAGCAAATACTTAGAGGAGAAACGAACACCCTTTGTAAGCATGTGAAAAGTTTCTGGAGTAGAGAGATGATGAAGCAGGATATTGGAGTCAACAGCCGAAGTTTTTATCTTATTTTTTATTTTGTATTATACTTTAAGTTTTAGGGTACATGTGCACAACGTGCAGGTTTGTTACATATGTATACATGTGCCATGTTGGTGTGCTGTACCCATTAACTCGTCATTTAACATTAGGTATGTCTCTTAATGCTATCCCTCCCGCCTCCCCCGCCCCCACAACAGGTCCCAGTGTGTGATGTTCCCCTTCCTGTGTCCATGTGTTCTCATTGTTTAATTCCTACCTATGAGTGAGAACATGCAGTGTTTGGTTTTTTGTCCTTGCAATAGTTTGCAGAGAATGATGGTTTCCAGCTTCATCCATGTCCCTACAAAGGACATGAAATCATTGTTTATGGCTGCATAGTATTCCATGGTGTATATGTGCCATATTTTCTTAATCCTGTCTATCATTGTTGGACATTTGGCTTGGTTCCAAGTCTTTGCTATCGTGAATAGTGCCACTATAAACATACGTGTGCATGTGTCTTTATAGCAGCATGATTTATAATCCTTTGGGTATATACCCAGTAATGGGATGGCTGGGTCAAATGGTATTTCTAGTTCTAGATCCCTGAGGAATTGCCACACTGAATTTCACAATGGGTGAACTAGTTTACAGTCCCACCAACAGCGTAAAAGTGTTCCTATTTCTCCACATCCTCTCCAGCACCTGTTGTTTCCTGACTTGTTAATGATCGCCATTCTAACTGGGGTGAGATGGTATCACATTGTTGTTTTGACTTGCATTTCTCTGGCCAGGGATGATGAGCATTTTTTTCACGTGTCTTTTGGCTACATAAATGTCTTCTTTTGAGAAGTGTCTGTTCATATCCTTTGCCCACTTTTTGATGGGTTGTTTGTTTTTTTCTTGTAAATTTATTGGAGCTCATTGTAGATTCTTGATATTAGCCCTTTGTCAGATGAGTAGATTGCAAAAATTTTCTCCCATTCTGTAGGTTGCCTGTTCACTCTGATGGTAGTTTCTTTTGCTGTGCAGAAGCTCTTTAGTTTAATTAGATCCCATTTGTTAATTTTGGCTTTTCTTGCCATTGCTTTTGGTGTTTTAGACATGAATTCCTTGCCCATGCCTATGTCCTGAATGATATTGCTGAGGTTTTCTTCTAGGGTTTTTATGGTTTTAGGTCTAACATTTAAGTCTAATCCATCTTGAATTAATTTTTGTCTAAGGTGTAAGGAAGGGATCCAGTTTCAGCTTTCTTCATATGGCTAGCCAGTTTTCCCAGCACCATTTATTAAATAGGGAATCCTTTCCCCGTTTCATGTTTTTGTCAGGTTTGTCAAAGATCAGATGGTTGTAGATATGTGGCATTATTCCTGAGGGCTCTGTTCTGTTCCATTGGTCTATATCTCTGTTTTTGTACCAGTACCAGGCTGTTTTGATTACTGTAGCCTTGTAGTATAGTTTGAAGTCAGGTAGTGTGATGCCTCTAGCTTTGTTCTTTTGGCTTAGGATTGACTTGGCAATGCGGGCTCTTTTTTGGTTCCATATGAACTTTAAAGTAGTTTTTTCCAATTCTGTGAAGAAAGTCATTGGTAACTTGATGGGGATGGCATTGAATCTATAAATTACCTTGGCCAATATGGCCATTTTTACGATATTGATTCTTCCTACTCATGAGCATGGAATGTTCTTCCATTTGTTTGTGTCCTCTTTTATTTCGTTGAGCAGTGGTTTATAGTTCTCCTTGAAGAGGTCCTTCATATCCCTTGTAAGTTGGATTCCTAGGTATTTTATTCTCTTTGAAGCAATTGTGAATGGGAGTTCACTCATGATTTGGCTCTCTGTTTGTCTGTATTGGTTTATAAGAATGCTTGTGATTTTTGCAAATTGATTTTGTATCCTGAGACTTTGCTGAAGTTGCCTATCAGCTTAAGGAGATTTTGGGCTGAGACAGTGGGGTTTTCTTGATATACAATCATGTCATCTGCAAACAGGGACAATTTGACTTCCTCTTTTCTTAATTGAATACCCTTTATTTCCTTCTCCTCCCTGATTGCCCTGGCCAGAACTTCCAACACTATGTTGAATAGGAGTGGTGAGAGAGGGCATCCCTGTCTTGTGCCAGTTTTCAAAGGGAATGCTTCCAGTTTTTGCCCATTCAGTATGATATTGGCTGTGGGTTTGTCATAGATAGCTCTTATTATTTTGAGATACGTCCCATCAATACTTAATTTATTGAGAGTTTTCAGCATGAAGGTTGTTGAATTTTGTCACAGGCCTTTTCTGCATGTAATGAGATAATCATATGGTTTTTGTCATTGGTTCTGTTTATATGCTGGATTATGTTTACTGATTTGCAAATGTTGAACCAATCTTGCATCCCAGGGAGGAAGCCCACTTGATCATGGTGGATAAGTTTTTGATGTGCTGCTGGATTCGGTTTGCCAGTATTTTATAGAGGATTTTTGCATCGATGTTCATCAGGGATATTGGTCTAAAATTCTCTTTTTTGGTTGTGTCTCTGCCCGGCTTTGGTATCAAGATGATGCTGGCCTCATAAAATGAGTTAGGTAGGATTCCCTCTTTTTCTATTGTTTGGAATAGTTTCAGAAGGAATGGTACCAGCTCCTCCTTTTACCTCTGGTGGAATTCGTCTGTGATTCCGTCTGGTCATGGACTTTTTTTGGTTGGTAAGCTATTAATTATTGCCTCAATTTCAGAACCTGTTATTGGTCTATTCAGAGATTCAACTTCTTCCTGGTTTAGCATTGGGAGGGTGTACGTGTCGAGGAATTTATCCATTTCTTCTAGGTTTTCTAGTTTATTTGCATAGAGGTGTTTATACTATCCTCTGATGGTAGTTTGTATTTTTGTGGGATTGGTGGTGATATCCCCTTTATCAATTTTTATTGTGTCTATTGGATTCTTCTCTCTTTTCTTTATTAGTCTTGCTAGTGGTCTATCAATTTTGTTGATCTTTTCAAAAAACCAGCTCCTGGATTCATGGATTTTTTGAAGGGTTTTTTGTGTCTCTATTTCTTTCAGTTCTGCTCTGATCTTAGTTATTTCTTGCCTTCTGCTAGCTTTTGAATGTGTTTGCTCTTTGCTTCTCTAGTTCTTTTAATTGTGATGTTAGGGTGTCAGTTTTAGATATTTCCTGTTTTCTCTTGTGGGCATTTAGTGCTATAAATTTCCCTCTACACACTGCTTTGAATGTGTCCGAGAGATTCTGGTATGTTGTGTCTTTGTTCTCGTTGGTTTCAAAGAACACCTTTATTTCTGCCTTCATTTCATTATGTACCCAGTAGTCATTCAGGAGCAGGTTGTTCAGTTTTCATGTAGTTGAGTAGTTTTGAGAGAGTTTCTTAATCCTGAGTTCTAGTTTGATTGCACTGTGGTCTGAGAGACAGTTTGTTATAATTTCTGTTGTTTTACATTTGCTGAAGAGTGCTTCACTTCCAACTATGTGGTCAATTTTGGAAGAAGTGCGATGTGGTGCTGAGAAGACTGTATATTCTGTTGATTTGGGGTGGAGAGTTCTGTAGATGTCTATTAGTTCCGCTTGGTGCAGAGCTGAGTTCAATTCCTGAATATACTTGTTAACTTTCTGTCTTGTTGATCTGTCTAATGTTGACAGTGGGGTGTTAAAGCCTCCCATTATTATTGTGTGGGAGTCTAAGTCTCTTTGTAGGTCTCTAAGGACTTGCTTTTTGAATCTGGGTGCTCATGTATTGGGTGCATATATATTTAGGATAGTTAGCTCTTCTTGTTGAATTGATCCCTTTACCATTATGTAATGGCCTTCTTTGTCTCTTTTGATCTTTGTTGGTTTAAAGTCTGTTTTATCAGAGACTAGGATTGCAACACCTGCCTTTTTTTTGTTTTCCATTTGCTTGGTAGATCTTCCTCCATCCCTTTATTTGAGCCTGTGTGTGTCTGTTTTTTCCCCATCTTTGTGGCTTTATCTACGTTTGGTCTTTGATGATGGTGACGTACAGATGGGGTTTTAAGTGTGGATGTCTTTTCTGTTTGTTAGTTTTCCTTCTAAGAGTCAGGACCCTCAGCTGCAGGTCTGTTGGAGTTTGCCTGGGTGTCAGCAGTTGAGGCTGCAGAACAGCAGATATTGTTGAGCAGCAAATGTTGCTGCCTGATTGTTCCTCTGGAAGTTTTGTCTCAGAGGAGTACCCGGCCATGTGAGGTGTCAGTCTGCCCCTACGGGGGTGTGCCTCCAGTTAGGCAACTCGGGGGTCAGGGACCCACTTGAGGAGGCAATCTGTCCATTCTCAGATCTCCAGCTGTGTGCTGGGAGAACCACTTCTCTCTTCAAAGCTGTCAGACAGGGATATTTAAGTCTGCAGAGGATTCTGCTGCCTTTTGTTTGCCAATGCCCTGCCCCCAGAGGTGGAGTCTACAGAGGTAGGCAGGCCTCCTTGAGCTGAGGTGGGCTCCACCCAGTTGGAGCTTCCCAGCTGCTTTGTTTACCTACTGAAGCCTAGGCAATGGCGGGCGCCCCTCCCCCAGCCTTGCTGCCACCTTGCAGTTTGATCTCATACTGCTGTGCTAGCAATGAGTGAGGCTCCATGGGTTTAGGACCCTCTGAGCCAGGCATGGGATATAATCTCCTGGTGTGCCGTTTGCTAAGACCATTGGAAAAGTGCAGTATTAGGGTGTGAGTGACCCGATTTTCCAGGTGCCATCTGTCACCCGTTTCTTTGACTAGGGAAGGGAATTCTCTGACCCCTTGCACTTCCCAGGTGAGGCAATGCCTTGTCCTGCTTGGCTCATGCTCGGTGCACTGCACCAAGTGTCCTGCACCCACTTTCTGACACTCTCCAGTGAGATGAACCAAGTACCTCAGTTGGAAATGCAGAAATCACCTGTCTTCTGGGTCGCTCACGCCAGGAATTGTAGACTGGAGCTGTTCCTATTCGGCCATCTTGGCTCCACTCCTGCTATTATGATTCTTACACAGAGTCCTTTGCTTTCCAGCAGCCTCCTCTTCCTCCTTTTTAGGTTGGAATCCCTCTATTTTAGTGGCCATTGGGATTCTGAAATGACCAGGTCTTTGTCTCAGAGACCTCACACATGCTCTTCCCTCGCCTGGAACACTTTTCCTTCCTCTGGTCCCCTGAGATCTCTTTCAGCTCAACTGCCCCATGCTCAGAGACCCCCTTTCTCCCTCTCTAGTTTGAAACCAGTTTACGCCTGTAGTCTGTGCCTGGAAAACTCGTTTTCCTCCTTGATGCCTCCTGAGTTGTTACAGGATGTATGTGCCTGTTTGGGTGTCTGGTGTCTGTCTCCCCGACTGGACTGTATGCTCCTGGTGAGCTGGAGGGACTGGACTAGCACAGGCCAAGGCCCTGGGGCTTGAGGGAGCAGGGCAGAAGGCACAGGCAAAGGCCTTTGTGATCCGGAAGGAAGTGAAGGAGAGGGAGAGAGATGAGAGAGGCTGGCAGAAGATAGGCCAGGGGCCAGGCTGTGTGGGATCTTTTGGGCCACAGAAAGACATTTGAATTCTTATGTAAGAGAACCAAGACACCATTGGAAGGTATGAGTCACCTCATCTAACTGAGCTCTGTAAATGTCAGTGTTTTATTATTTTTATACAATTATTTAAAAGTGATTTTAGTTATTTACCTTTTTATTTTTATTACTTTTGTTTTTTTTTTTGAGACAAAATCTTGCTCTTTTGCCCAAACTGGAATGCAATGGCATGATCTCGGCTCACTTCAACTACCACCTCCTGGGTTCAAGTGATTCTCCTGTATCAGACTCCAGAGTAGCTGTGGTTATAGGCATCTGCCACCACGCCCAGCTTATTTTTGTATTTTTAGGATAGGTGACGTTTCACCATGTTGGGCAAGCTGGTCTTGAACTCCTGACCTCAGGTGATCCACCCACCTCAGCCACCAAAAGTGCTGGGATTACAGGGGTGAGTCACCATGCTCGGCCTTATTTACTTTAAAAAAAAAGAACAGGCCAGTCACGGTAGCTCATGTCTCCAATCTCAGCACTTTGGGAGGCTGAGGTGGGATGATCACTTGAGGCCAGGAGTTCAAAACCAGCCCAGGCAACATAGTGAGACACCCCCTGCCCCAGTTTCTAAGAAAATGAGAAAATCAGGCATGGTGGCTTGTCTGTATCCCCAGCTACTGAGGAGACTGAGCTAGGGAGGACTGCTTGAGACCAGGAGCTTGAGGCTCCACTGAGCTGTGATTATGCCACTGAGCTACAGCCTGGGCAACAGAGTGAGACCCCGGAGCAACCTCAACCTCCCTAGAGCTGACCGAGCTTTTGCTTCTTATCACAGGGAATGACGGACGCTGGGGATTTGATGGGCATCGGGTGAAATGGGCAGAGTGGCGCTTACCTGTGATGGCAGTGAAGTGGGACGGGGAGGTCATTGTCACAAGGGGCGGCATGAGGTACTTGGCCTTGACGCCCTCCCTGGCCAGATGGTCCAGGTTGGGGGTGTTCACATCCTGATCCTAGTCCCAGCGGAAGCCCTGGAAGGAGATCAGCAGCAGTTGTGAGTGCTCTTCTTCCCTGCGAGGGGGTGGCCGCCCAGCAGGACAGGCGGTGGCAGCAGCAGCTGGAGGGCGCCGAGTCATGTCATCCCACAAGCACCTGTCATGCACTCCTCACAGTGTTCATGGGCTTCTCCCTCTTTAGTCCGTTGTTAAACAAAGTCCGCATTAGTAATTCAGCCCAGCTCTGTTGTGGGACAAACAACCTGGAGTGTAGCAAGGTGCTGCATATTTGCAGGACAGTATGAAAGCGTTCTGGAGATGGATGGGGGACATGGCTGTACAATGTGGGGGATGCACTTAATACCACTGAATTTTTCCTTTGAAAATGGCTAAAATAATAGATTTTGTATGTATTTTACCACAGTAAAAAATCAAGCTGGCCGGGCATGGTGGCCTACACCTGTAATCCCAGCACTTTGGGAGGCCAAGGCGGGTAGATCATTTGAGGTCAGGAGTTCAAGACCAGCCTGGCCAACATGGAGAAACCCCATCTCTACTAAAAATGCAAAAATTAGCCAGGCGTGGCGGTACATGTCTGTAATCCCAGCTACTCGGGAGGCTGAGGCAGGAGAATTGCTTGAACCCGGGAGGCGGAGGTTGCAGTGAGCTGAGATTGCTCCACTGCCTTCCAACCTGGACGATGGAACGAGACTGCATCTCCAAAAAAAAAAAAAAAATCAAACCACATGAAATATTTTGGACTCTTATACTAATTCCAACACTTTGAAGATCTGGGGAGAACAAACTAGATTGGTGCTTTCCTTGGCTTAGTATGTTCTGTTTTTATAGGGAGAGCAAATTATTGTTCACCAGCACTATTAAAATAGCTACAACAGGATGGGCATGGTGGCTCACACCTTTAATCCCAGCACTTTGGGAAGCTGAGGTGGGAGGATCGCTTGAGCCCAGGAGTTCGAGATGCCAGCCTGGGCAACATGGTGAGACCCTGCCACTACCAAAAAATATAACAACAACAACACAAATAGCTAGGTGTGATTGTGTGCATCTGTAGTCCCAGCTACTTGAGAGGCTGAGGTGGGAGGATCACTTGTGCCCAGGAGGTTGAGGCTGTAGTAAGCCATGATTATGCCACTGTACTCAGCCTGGGTGACAGAGTGAGACCCTGTATGGAAAAAGAAATAAAAAGCTGCAGTGGAGTCATTGATCATGAGGCCAGGCACTGTATACATGTACATCATCTCATTTAATTTTTTCTCTTGTTTAAAATTATTTTTTCCTCTAATCCCCATGTTGATCGACATTTTTTTCAATCCTAGGAATTAGTTGAAAATTTTGCATAAGAATTGAAAATTGCCTGGCCTGATGTCTTACACCTGTTATCCCAGCACTTTGGGAGGCTGAGATGAGAGAATCACTTAAAGCCAGGAGTTTGGGCCAATCTGGGCAATATACTGAGAATGCAACTCTATAAAAAAATTTAAAAAGCTGGGTGTGGTAGCGTTCACCTGTAGTCCCAGCTACTTGGAAGACTAGGTGGGAGGATTGCTTGAGTCCAGGCGGTAAAGGCAGCAGTGAGCTATGACTGTGACATTGCACTGCAGCCTGGGTGACGGAGTGAGACTCTATCTCTAAAATAAATGAATAAAATTGTGGTATAATATATGCAACATTTATCATTTTGTGCATCTGAAAGTGTACAATTCAGGGACATTTTGTACATCTATCATGTTGTGTAATTATCACCACTACCTAGTTTCAGGGCTTTTTCAACACCTCAGTTGGAAGCCTCATATCCATTCAGCAGTCACTCTGCATACTCCCTCCTGCAGCCGTTGGAAACCTCTCATCTACTTTCTATCTCTGTCGATTGGCTTAGTCTGAACATTGCATATAAATGGAATTCTACAATATATGACCTTTCATGTCTGCTTCTTTCACTAACCCTAACGTTCATCCATATCACAACATGGATAAGTTTTATTTTCTTTTTAGACCCTATCTAAAAAGAAAAAAAAAATTTGTAAAACAAAAATAAAAACAAAAAAATATATAGGATGGAGATCAGATGAGTCCTGAAAAGTTTATAATATTTACTATCTAGCACTTTACATAGAAGCTTGCCTACCTCTGAAAGATAGGCAGGTACAGAGATGACATTTATCTTGACACTTATAGAAAGACCTATAAATTGTATAAAGACATCATCATTGGATCTCCAGTAACAAGAACTGGCAAGACATGACAGTGTGTCCAGGTGTTCAGGTGAAGTGTAGGGAAGGTCTTGTCTTGACGAGGTTGGATGTGAGACCCAGATGAGATAACCCCATTTCCCCTGCTGAAATTGCCTGAGAATTTCATTCCAGTTATTTGCGTAGTTTGATTCTTTCGGTGGGGGTGGGGGTGGGTGAGGAGGTGGGTGAGGAGGCCGAAGGTCATATCTCAGCTCTGCAACTCATTATCTATGATGCCTTGGGGCAGGTCCCATAACTCTCCAAGCCTCTGTTATATATTCCATAGGGTTGTGAGGTTCAGATGAAATAATGCATGCTGGCAGGAATGGTTACTGCTCATGGGATTTCCATCTGCTCCCTGTATTCCCCAGACCCCCGTAGTTAGATGGATCCATGCCAGGGTCCAGTGCTCTATAAGTGGAAGTCACTGACATCACCTCTAGTCTACAGCTTTTGAGGGCTTGGAAATAACTATCTCATTCTCTCATCTCCTGGTGCAGTAACTAGGGGAGAATCCTTACATTAAGATGGTAGAATTTCCATCATTCTAGGTCTTTGAGTGGCCATATGGAGCACACCATACCCAGCCAACCCATTGTGGACATGGAATGTAAGAAATCAACCTTGGTTGCTAAGCTGCTGAGACTCTGGGGTTAATTTGTTACTGCAGCATAACCTAGTCCATCCTGATGCATGTAGCATGCAAACCACTTATGTTGACCCTTAGTCATGGTCAGTGCTCCACAGATGTTGGTTACTTTTGGTAGGAAGATAGATTGCCTCTGAAAGTTTTGTTAGCTGATCTCATGATGCCAATGTTGCTATTTTGTAATTGGATAAATTGGACTTGGCTCTCTTTCCAGCATGTGGGAGAGAAAGATGACTGAGAGACAATAAGGCACTATTATCTTCAGTTTCTGTCCTTGGATACCCTTGGTGGCAATGAACAATGCATGCCCCTCTGAGAAAGCTGGACCTAAAGGAGAATGGGAGGTGATACCAGAATTGGGAAAGTCCAAGGCCCCAGGCATTCCCTGGTCTGGAGACAACTTTGAGTCCTTGGTGGGAAGATTCTCCAAGGGAACATAAATGCTTCTACTATCTAGTTTGTCTCTTTGAGAATTAAAACTTTTTTTTTTCATTCCAGTAGCTTTTGGGGTACAGTTTGGCTCTTTGAGAATTGCATACTAATTAATTTTAGGGGCCATCTGTACACATCTCTATATTCCTGAAACATGGTAGAAACAGCCAGCAGTCAGGCGACAATCTACGATGACCACTAAAATATCCCCAAAGTGAAACACTAGATGTGATCCACTAGGTTTAGTGGAGGTGGCTGGCTCGAGAGTTGATTATATTTATTATTGTCACTGTGGTGATTATGGCCACAACATTGTCATGCGTGTTGGTCTTCTTTTGGTGAGTTTCAGTTTGGAAGGAATAAATCCATTTTTTTTTTTTTTTTGAGTCTTGCTCTGTCACCCAGGCTGGAGTGCAGTGGTGCCATCTCAGCGTGCTGTAAACTCCGCCTTCCAGGTTCAAGTGCTTCTCCTGCCTCTATGGCCAGGCTGGTCTTGAACTCCTGACCTCAGGTGATCCACCTGCCTCAGCCTCCCAAAGTGCTGGGATTACAGGCGTGAGCCACCATGCCCGGCCCCATTATTCATTTAACCAATATCTGTTGAGCACATTGGGTGTGCTGGAGGATGAACTGCAGGGGAGAGAGGAAGCCTCCTCCTGCCACTATGTTTTCAAGTTGTCCTAATACTCCACCATGACACGCAGGCTTGTGGGTCCCAGAGATCCAGAAGCATCTCCCGACCACAACATCCTGACCCAGATTCTACTGAAAAATACGCGAGTCTAGGAGAGCCATCTCTGACACTTCCCTTCTTTTGAACGGCTGATCTGTCAGTCCTGGGGAGCCCTTATGAAAGTGCAGTGTGTTTTGTGAAACTTGAGGTTGATCAAAGAATACCATTAAACTTTGTTAAGAAATCTACATATTGATGACATATGCAGTGGGGTGGAGGTGGGGAAATTCCCAAATACATTTTAGGAATTATCTCAGAAGGAGGTAATAGTCAGAACTCTTGGTTGTCAGTGACAGAAACTCATCTTACTAGTGTGGAGTGGAAAAGGGATCATGTTTTTCTCTGCACTCCCCAACCCCAACCCCAAGCAGATCCTGAAAGAGGGACAGGATTGCAAGTGGATTATTTAGGAGATGATTCCAGGGGACACCAATAGGGGAGTGAGGAATTGATTCATGGAAAGGTAGGAGGCCACACAGGGGGTTTCAATGAGCAGCTTACCACTCTAGGCAACTAGGATTTGACCCCACTGGGGACCTCTGAGAGGTGATGTGGAATACATTTCAAAGTTGTTCCATCCAAGGGGCAAAGATATTGAAGCATTTATAGCCTGGCTCCCATCCGTCACTGGCTGAGGACTGGTCCCAGGGCATCAACTCTCTGGCTTTGCTTTCTTCTTCTTCTTTTTTTTTTTTTTTGAGACATAGTCTTGCTCTGTCACCCAGGCTGGACTGCAAAGGCATGATCTCGGCTCACTGCAACATCTGCCTCCCAGGTTCAAACGATTCTCTTGCCTCGGCTTCCTCAGTAGCTGGGATTACAGGCGCCTGCCACCATGCCCGGCTAATTTTTTTATTTTTTGTAGAGACGGGGTTTTGCCACGTTGGTCAGGCTGGTCTCTAACTCCTGACCTCGTGATCCACCTGCCTCGGCCTCCCAGTGTTGGGATTACAGGAGTGAGCCACTGCGCCCAGCTTCTGTGGCTTTTCTGACATACTCCATGCCTGACTTTCAGAAAGCCCTCAGGTGAAAGTCTTGGTTGTATGCAGTATCGAGCATGTACTAAAATGACAAAAACCAAGGGGCTTACCACAAGATCTCTCTCTCTATCTCTGTCTCTAGCTTTGTCTGCATACTGGCTTAATTTCTTCTTACTCAAGCCTTTTCTCCATAAGGTGAGAAACGTGTCCACAAAAGCTCCTGTATTTCTCACTACACACAATTCCTGTCATCACAGAGAATGATTAACTTGGTCTAGTTCCAGTTTGGAAAAATATTCAAGGGAAGAATTCTGATTGGCCAATTTAGGCCAGATGCTCATCCCTGGACCAATCAACTGAGGCCAGGGAGGTGGAGTCATTTGAGAACATGGCAGCCCCCATGAGATCCACATGACTGGAGTAGGAAGTGTGACTCTCTATAGAGGGGAGGGCTGCTAGGCTGAAAAGGCAATAGATGTCTGCAGTGAAAGGAATAGATCAGGAGATACATTCTGTTAAACCTGTTAATTATTTGAAAAAAAGAGAAACTTTCAATATACTGTCACAGTATACGTGAGCCGGTGGCTCACGCCTATAATCCCAGCACTTTGAGAGGCTGAGGTGGGCAGATCAGAGGTCAGGAGTTCGAGACCAACCTGACCAACATGGTGAAACCCCGTCTTGTGCACCTGTAATCCCAGCTACTCAGGAGGCTGAGGCAGGAGAATTGCTTGAACCAGGGAGGGGGAGGTTGCATGAGCTGAGATCATGCCACTGCCCTCCAGCCTGGGCAACAGAGTGAGACTCCTCAAAAAAAAAAAAAAAAGTTACATTGTCGTTCCCCCAGCGTGATTTATCAGAAAGGAAAAACTTACAATATGCATATTTCCTATGCATAGGCTACTGCTATGAATTGAAATTCTTAAATTCCAAAGATTAATTAAAATGTTTCTCAAGACACATAAACTGTTAGAATCTGCTTATAATGAGGCTGAAGTTGAGTAAGAAGAGAACTGGCATTTAGGACGCTACTTTTCTTCTGTCGAGTACTGTCAAGTTTTGGTTCTGCCTGGAAGTAGATGCACCTCAAGGGAGGGTTGCATGTAAAGGGGTGTGTGTGTGTGTGTGTGTGTGTGTGTGTGTGTGTGTGTGGTAGTTTCCAAAGATGGGTACAACTTTCTGCAAATGTTCGTGCAGTATAATTGAACCAATCTTTCCTTAAAGAGGGAAAATTTATACTCCTCTACATGAATCTGGGCTGCCTATGACTTGCTTTGGTCAGTGGAATGCTGCCAAATTGATGGTGACCAACTTCTAGCCGTAAAAGGAAAATAAACCTTGGGGCCCCAAGATCACTAAGCTAGGCTGGGCTCCGTGGCTCACGCCTGTAATCCCAGCACTTTGGGAAGCTGAGGCGGGCAGATCACCTGAGGTCAGGAGTTCAAGACCAGCCTGGCCAACATGACAAAACCCCATCTCTACTAAAATATATGAAAATTAGCCAGGCGTGGTGGCAGGCGCCTGTAATCCCAGCTACTTGGGATGCTGAGGCAGGGAAACTTCTTGAACCCTGGAGTTGGAGGTTGCAATAAGCCGAGATCGTACCACTGCACTCCAGCCTGCACAACAGAGCGAGACTCTGTCCGCCCACCCAAAAAAAAGTTACTAAGCTAAAGAGA
The DNA here is from genome assembly GCF_000001405.40 of Homo sapiens. Classification (NCBI taxonomy): domain Eukaryota; kingdom Metazoa; phylum Chordata; class Mammalia; order Primates; family Hominidae; genus Homo; species Homo sapiens. The sequence goes on along the minus strand of NC_000008.11, from coordinate 8,147,705 downwards.
AAAGTCAAGCTGGGAACTGCTTAAGGGAAACCTGCCTCCCATTCTATTCAGTTAACCCTTTGCTTACTGAGATGAATGTATATCTGATTGCCTCATTTGGAGAGGCTAATCAGGAACTCACAACAATGCAACCATTTGTCTCTTAACTACCAATGACCTGGAAGCCCCTTCCCCTTGTCTCACCTTCACTTTCACCTGGAGTTGTCCCGCCTTTCCAGACTGAAACAATGTACATCTTACACATATTGATTGATGTCTCATGTCTCTCTAAAATGTATCAAACCAAGCTGTGTCCCCACCACCTTAGGCCCATGTTGTCAGGACCTCCCGAGGCTGTGTCACAGGCGTGAGTCCTTAACCTTGGCAAAATAAACTTTCTGAATTAACTGAGACCTCATATTTTTGGGGTGCAAATAGTCTTAGGCCTTGAGAGCCCTCTCGTAGTTTCCATATTTTTGCCCTCTTGGATGCTGGCACCAAGCAAACCTTGGCTATCCTGCTTAAAGGGACATTTGGAGAGGGGTTCTGGAGGGCGAGGGGCGACATGGAGGAAAACAAGCTTCCCCGGCTGACAACCAGCACCAACTGCCAGGCACATGCATGAGGCCATCCTGGATGCTCTGCCCAGCTGGCCCTCCAGCTGCAGGTAGCCACACAAATGAGCCCAGGTTAAACCAGCCAGGAAGTCCCCATGCAACTCACAGGGTCATGAGCAATAATGGCTTCTGGTGGTTTAAAGTTTCTAATTTTAGGTGCAATAGGTAACTGAAACAGCCCACAAGGGTGTGAGCCTGTGGAGGGTGCATTTCCCACCTGCTGAAGCTTCTCAATTCCCAGGATCCAATCCAGATAAGACTCTTGTTCTCAGTGTCCTTGATGGAAATGGCAATGAACTTTTTGCAGATTGGACCATCTCGGGAATCCCAAAGATCGGAAACTATTTTCTTTCTCAGAATCTTCCACAAAGCATTGAGCCTTAGGAATTTCTAAGAAGGATCTGGAATGAAAAAAAATCTTTTGAAAAGGTATTTGTATAGCTTCAGTTCAGCAAGATTCATGGTGGGTGTTAGAGTAAGTGCTGGTGTTAAGCCAAACCATGTTTTTCAAAGACTCATCTGGCCTCAACATTGGCAGGATCAGAGTGGCCTCCCAGGATCTATCACATCCTCAGAAGAGTTGGTTCAACTGGCATGTACCCAGATCTCTTTGAGCTAGTATGATACTCCCTTAAGTCAAAGGCTGCCACATCACATCTCCTTTAAGTCCCCCTAAGTACGACCCCAGAAGTATTGACAAAATAGTGCAATTCCTGAAGATTTCAGGAGGACATAAATGAAGAGACTAAACTGCAAGGTACCAAAACTTCCATCTTTGCTAAAGACCCTCATCCAGACTGGGCACGGTGACTCACGCCTGTAATCCCAGCAATTTGGGAGGCCAAGGCGGGTGGATCACCTGAGGTCGGGAGTTCAAGACCAGCCTGACCAACATGGAGAAACCCCATCTCTACAAAAAATACACAATTAGCCGGGAGTGGTGGTACATGCCTGTAATTCCAGCTACTAGGGAGGCTGAGGCAGGAGAATCGCTTGAACCTGGGAGGCGTATGTTGCGGTGAGCTGAGATCGTGCTATTGCACTCCAGCCTGGGCAACAAGAGTAAAACTCCATCTCAAAAACCAACAAACAAAAAGCCCTTATCCAATGGTCATGCCACTCTATCTGGCCATGTAATTTCTCCTCCTGTCTTTCTGTAGCAACAGCCTTCTGAAGAACCTCACTCTGCCTTTCAAAACCCCTTCAACTTGTACCCTTCATCAGCAAAGTACTTAGCTCAACATGTATGCCTCTGGGGGTACTCATCCACATGCCATTTAAGGATATTTCCAGCATCATCATCTTCACTACCCCAGGATGGCATTTTAGAGTGGATTACGTGCCTGCTGGATGTGTTGTACTTGAACGAGCTAGAGAAAATGCCACACTTTAAGACGAATTAAGAGTCTGTTCATTTAGCCGGCGGCTAAGAAATGGCTAACGTTTAAAGTTCTCTCGGCCTCGAAGAAGGGGCTAGATTTTCTTTTATACTTTCGTTTAGAAAGGGGAGGGGGGTCTAGTTAAAACAATTTTACAGAAGTAGGCAAAAAAGTTAAAAGGATAAATTGTTGCAGGAAAGTAAACAGCTCTAGGTCTAGGGGCTTTAAGACTATTATGAGGTGATAGACGCGGGGCTTTGGGCGTTATCAATTGGACGAATTCCTGGGAACTGCGGATATTGCTCACCACAGTATCTTATCAGTTAATTGCATTCTTCGATGTGCTGGGCGTCAGCTTGCACAAGTTAAGTCCTTGAGGAAGGGGCTGTCAGTGAAAGAGCCAAGATGGAGTCTGTCTGCCTCTCTTAGCTAAGGGAGAGTCAATTCAGGTGGAAACAAGGCTAGGTGATTAAAAGAAAGGGAGAGTCTAAGAACAGGGTTAGTAAAAACAAGGTTGGGCATTACATTCCTCACTTGTATTTTTGGGGAATCAAATCGTTGATTCTTCAGTTATAACGAGGGGGTTATTTTGAGTCTTAAGATACATAAGTTTGACAGAAGGTATACGTTGTTTTACAAAATTAATAAACTAATTTAATATACAAGGTCCAAAAATTAAACTTAATAGTAGGATGGGGAGGGGGTCTGGCTAACTTAGTAATTAGAATAGTTAGCTCTGGGTTCTAGTTGAACATGCTTTGATACTAGGGGATGTTATTTTCTTGTTCTTGTTGGCGCTTATCTAGATTTTCTTGCACTTTCTGGAGTGTATCTTTTATGCCTAAGAATGGTGGAGGAACAGTTGAATCAACTTTCTCAGGGTGTTTCTGGAACATAGGGTTACTTAGATCAGTTAAAGGCCTGATTGGCTTGGGTGGGCTTTATGAGACTAGGTTTTTTTTGGATGGTGAACATAGACTTAACATTAAATCCTGGGATATAAAATCTTAATCTTCATGACATGCCATGATACTGTTGTGTTGAATTAAGGTCATGGACAGTTATAGTAAGAGGATTACAATTTCTTCTAGTATATAATTTAGGATGAGAAGCAGGACTTATGGAAAGAGTTGAAGATCTGGTTGATCTTTTAGAGCAGGTGGCTAAAGTTACACATGTCTAATCAAGACAGGAAAACTGATAAGTATCTTGACAGCTAGCATCAGGGTGATTTCTAGGACAGAGGTAAAAGTAAATATTTTGGAGTCTTTTTTCTGCACTTTTGGAGCTTCTACACTTAGTTTGGCTCTTGGAGTGTCTGAGTCTTGCTGCAAAGTCGACACTTCCTGCTCCTGGAACTGGCAGATTGTGTTGCTTTTCGTGGGTATGGGCTGGCTTTGGGAAGAGTACAAATAAGTCAACTGCAAAGGACACTTCCTTGGAGGTACTGGCCTTCTAAGTGGTGTTTGCAAGTACAAGTCCTGTTGTGAAAGAGGTGAGGAGAAAGGAGTAGGAAGGCACAGAGGATGTAATGGGCAAAAACAAGTGAGTGAGGTAGATAAAAAGAATGAATCTAATGGCTTCACCTGACTTAGGTGCAGTTTTAAGGGTCCTGACTTAGGCTTGGGGACTTATGTTTTTAGTTGGACTCTGTTGGCCTTTTTGATGCGGGAGTGATGAATGTAAGCAGGAATGCCATCTACTTTCAGAGCCATTGGAGTCGTGAAGATGACGTTGTGAGGTCTTTTCTAAGCAGGAGTGAGTCTTTCTTTTTGGAAGTTTTTAACAACACTAGGTCTCCTGGCTGGAACGAATGGCAGGACTTTGGTCAGGAATTGGATTGGGATGGGCTCCTGGAACAAGTGGCAGGATAATATCTTGTACCTGTTGGAGAGACTATAGGTACTGTAATAAATTAGTTTGTGATATTTCTGCTAATTTGGCATCTCTTAGCTTAGGCAAGATAGGCGGTGCCCTATTATACATAATTTCAAAAGGTGAGAAATTAGCCTGGTAAGAGGTGCACCTTAATTTAAGTAGGGCTAAAGGAAGGAGACTTACTTAATTTACACTGTTTTTTTAAGATTAATTTTATAAGAGTGTTTTTTAGGGTGTGGTTCATGCGTTCTACTTGCCTGGAGCTCTGGGGTTGATAGGCACAATGGAGCTTCTGTTGAATGTTTAACGCCTTACTGACTGACTGAGCTATAGGCGAGGTGAAGGCTGCTCTATTATCAGACTTTATGGCAGCAGGCAGCCTATATTGAGGGATGATTTCATTGAGTAAAAACTTAACTACTATGTTGGTGGTTTCGTTTTCGGTAGCAAATGCCTTAGTCTATCTGGAGAAGGTGTCTACTAGTACTAGAAGGTATTTGTACTTAGCCTGGTGTGGTTTGACTTCTGTAAAGTCAATTTCTTACTTTTTTCTTGGCGACTTTTTCCAGAGACAGTGGCCTGGGCTGGGTTTAGGACTTTGTTTGGCATTTACTTGGGCTCAGGTTGTGCACTGGAGAGCTGCTTAATCTTTAGGCTTTGAAGACTGGGGATCTTAAAATGGCTCTGGAGGAGCTGAGGTAGCTTTGCTCTTCTTAAATGGGTGATAGACTGTACGTAACTGGTTAAAGTTTGTTTAAGAGTTCAGGGTATGAAGATTCTAGAGTCAGGAAGAATCTACTAACTTTCCTGATTTTTATTGGCTCTGAGATCCGAAGCCAGTTGTTGTTGTTGTTGAGTATACGGGATTGTCAGGCAGATCTGGCTGTGGAAAGGAGACTGTGGGCAGCAAGTTTAGAGGCGTGACTGAAAGTCTTGCTGCGACCTGAGCTGCTGAATCAGCTTTCTGGTTACTATGGGCCACGGCCGTGTTTTCTTTTTGATGTCCTTTGCGGTGGATCACAGCTACCTGCTGAGGTGAGTAGCCTGCTTTCCTGGTAGATGGCTTTATGTACATGCACAGCAGCAAAGGCGTACTTGCTGTCAGTGTAAATGTTAATAAGTTTATTCTTACTTTATTGGAGAGCCTGAGTGAGGGCGATCAATTCAGCCTTTTGTGCTGAGGTGTTCGCTGGTAAAGCTTGAGCTTACAACAAATGTGTCTCCGTGGTAACAGCTGCACTGGCTCTTCATATTTCCTGCTTGAGGAAGCTGCTACCGTCTGTGAACACGGCGGCATCTGCCTTTTCTAGGGGCACAGCTTGAAGATCAGATAGGCCAGTTTCGATAGTTTCTAACAGTTCTTGACAGTCATGAGCAGGAATAGTGGAGTCTGAGTCAGGAAGTAGTGTAGCTGGATTGTAACACTTTGTGGGAGAGAAAGTCAAACGAGGCTGATCTAACAGTAAACTTTGATACCGCAAGATGCGAGCATTTGACATCTATTTGCCAGAAGCATTTTGTAGTAAGGTCTTTACGGCGTGAGGAGCTGTAAGGGTTAAATTTTGGCTTAGAGTTAACTTATCATCTTCTTGGGCCAGGCTTGCTGTAGCCGCTAAGGCTCGAAGACAACTTGGCCATCTAGAGGCCACAGGATCTAGCCTCTTAGACAAATAGGCCACTGGGCGGCTTTAGGGTCTTAAAGTCTGAGTAAGCACGTCTTTAGCAACTCCTTGGCTTTTATGGAGATATTAGGGAGGGCTAAAGCAGGGGCTTCAGTTAATGCTAAATTAACGGGCTACTTCATTCTGTACTTCTTGGATGGCTGCCACTAAGATTTTTGTTTGTCTTCTGAATGCTTTATCAGCGGCCTTTCCAGTTGCCTGTGTTGCTTTTGTTTTTTAAGCTTTTGATTATCAAAAACTTTTTGGGCTATTTCTAAAAGCTGACTGATATTTATTCTAGAAAATCTTTAGTTTTTGGAGTTTCTTTTTAATATCCTGGGCTGCCTGAGCCACAAATGCTAAATTAAGAGCAAGGCTATTTTCGGGAGCTGCCGGGTCAAAAGGGGTGTAAATCCGATAAGCCTCCTGGAGGCGCTCTAAAACGTTCTTGGTGACTTATCGGGCTTTTGGACAACGTCGGTCGTCTTAGACAAGTTGATGGGTTTCTGAGAGGCTCTTTTAATACTTGCGAGGAGATACCAGTGAAAATCGTCTAAAGCTCCCTTTCTACTTGAGGAATGTGGGTCCTGGTTAGGCTGGGTAGAGGGAAAGACATCCTCAAGGAGGTCTCTAGCTTCTTCTTCCGGTCCGTTGGCTGATGTGAGGAAGTACTTTTTGGCTTCTTTTTGGATACGTTCCTTCTTTTCAGAGGTGAAAAGGGTTAAAAGGAGCTGTTGGCAATCATCTTAGGTGGGCGGGCGGGTCCGGAGTACAGACTCTGTCAGAGAGGTCAAAGCCTGGGGCTTTTCAGAGAAGGGAGGATTATGGGTTTTCTAATTATATAAGTCAGAAGTAGAAAAAGGGACACAAACTAAGAAGGGTGCTGAGCGCTCGTCACCTGGAGGGACTTGTGCCTCTCTCAGTGGTAGTAGAGGGACTACTTCTTCCTGCCACGGTCATGACTGAGAGGCAATGGGTGGCGAGCCTACAGGGGACGTCGTCGAGGAGACATGGGATAACTTTAAGGGAGAAGGTTGGTTGTAAGGCGGTGGGATTGGGTGAGGGGGACTCTCCTCTTCTTCAGAGGGAGGCAGTACAGGGGAAGCTGAACCGACTGAGGGTTGAGGCGAAAACGCGGTCTGGCTTAGGAGGACCTTGGAGGTAGAATTATGAACGGCGCATGAACGGAGCCATGGAGAGTGGATCCTGACTAAACGTAGCTAATGTAGGGAAACTGATCAGGGTGACTAGGAGTTTCAGTAACAACCTGCCACACAGCTTGAACAATTGTGAGGTTCAATGACCCTTCAGGGGGCCACTTGACTTTAAACTTTGGCCATTTTATTTTGCAGAGTGTCTGGAGCTTGCCTTTTTTAGGCGGACTTTATAATCCTCTGAACTGAGAGAAAAATTCTGCAGCATACATTGGAGAGGGCTTTAACTTTACAAGGCTGGGAGGAAGTGTTTCTTATTTTTATTTTTTTTGAAGGCAATTTAATAAGATTTGAGCATAGATATTAAACTTAGCATGGACAGAGAAACTTATTTCTTGGGGGACTGGCATAGTGAAAGAACAGAATCAGTATGACCAGAGAGAGCAGAAAAACTTACAACAGCTAATACTACTTGCTACATTGCTGTAGCTTTAAGATTGAGGGAGGAGGACTAGAGCCAGCCTGAGATCTTCTGGGTCAGTTTGATTTAGGCGTTCTTCTTCTTCTTCTAGATCTGCACTTTAAATATTTTTGGTGTCTTTATGACTTAAATGCAAATAGCTTAAACTTAGCTTTTTCTTTTAAGGGTTTAAGGAGTGAGAGCAGAGCCAAGTCCTGGAGATGGTAAACTTGCTGTCGCACCGTAAAACGAGATGTGCGGGATAGGGGGCAGGGACAAGGCAGGAAAGGACTACTCGGATCATTTTTAAGATGGGACAGTAGCCACAGAGGAACAGAGTAAGAATCTAAATGAAGTAAAGCAGTACGGGCGTACATTTCTTTACACAGTGTTCTACTTAAGGGCACAGGAAAAGTTACAGAATGACGAGAGAGGTGAGCAAGGAAATTTGCAGGGTGGCTGTTTTGAACTCACTACTGGTTTAGTTTAGAGGAGGTCTAATCACCTGGACGTGGAGTATGACGATCTAAATACTTACAACTTTCATGGTGCTAGAAATCTTAATCAGGCAAATGTTTTTCACACTTGTTCTTGTAACAACACTTGACTTGCTTCTGGCAGAAAAGACAGGACTGTGGTCGCCAGCCTAAAAGATTGATGAGAAATTTAACCTCCTGTGACAAAAAATCAGCACTAAGGGCTTTGAAGAAGTTTTTACTTAGACGTCTTGGCAATATCAACGTCTTGACATGCAAAACTCTGACAACTACTAACAAGACAATAGACACTGAGCAGAACAATCAATATAAAACAAACAATTGACTTTAGTGCATGTAAACAGTTACGACAGTTTCTTCCTTTTTTTTTTTTTTTTTTTTTTTAGACAGACAAGGGGAGGGTTTCCTGTGATGGGATCAGTCAGATAACTGCCTGGCCCCTCCCCCTGAGGGGACTTGGGCTCCTCTTAGCATTGGCAGGCCGGTATAAACTTCCGGCTCAGATCAAGCTATGCCTGATGCTGCCTTAAGCCTTATGGGGTCGCCACAGAACCGCAGGTGAGGTGAGGGCCTACTTGAACTCCGTAGCTTTCGCCGTGGAGCTACAAACTGGAGGACAAGCGCGAGCCCTTGTCCTCCCTCACTCATTCATTATTCACACAGAGTATATAACAGTTTTTTTTTTTCTTTCTTGGAGATTCTTCAAGAAACTTGAACAAGAGAAAGATGAGAGATAGAAACAGAGAGAGAGAGAGTGACCGGTCTGCCGGAAACCAGGACTCAGTCCTCCAGCATCCTGGGATGTGGACTGAGTCAAGGGAGGGCCCCTGTCAGGGCCACTTCCCTCCTAGAAAGAGACACAGAGGTGCCTAACAGAAAACCAGGGCTCTACCTTCTAGCGTCCTAGAGAAACATGCAGAGTCGAAAGAGGGACACCCTCATCAGGGCCGCTTCCCTCTTCCTAGAACTGAAGTCAAATCTGACCTACGTGACCTCAGGGTCAGAAGTCGAGGACTCAGAGGTGGAATTTTTATGGGCACCCACCGGGTAGTCGATCCGCTCTCCTCTGGAAGACGGTCACTTTTCGAGGACCTGAAGGTTTTTTTTTAGGTGGCACCCCCCACAAGCCGGCCGTCCTTCCGGGGGAGCCCGGCTCTCTCCTCATGGCGTTTCTCGCTGGGGCCTCCAAATGTTGTACTTGAATGAGTTGGAGAAAATGCCACACTTTCACATGAATTAAGAGTCTCCTTATTTAGCTGGTGCCTAAGAAATGGCTAACTCTTAACGTTTTCTTGGCCCCGAAGAAGGGGCTAGATTTTCTTTTATACTTCAGTTTAGAAAGGGGAAACAGGTCTAGTTAAAAGAATTTTACAGAAGTAGGCAAAAAAGTTAAAAGGATAAATTGATACAGGAAAGTAAAGAGTTCTAGGTCTAAGGGCTTTAAGACTATTACAAAGTGATAGACGTGGGGCTTTAGGCATTATCAATCGGACAAATTCCTGGGAACTGTGGATATTGCTCGCCCCACAGTATCTTATCAGTTAATTGCATTCTTAGATCTGCTAAGAGTCAGCTTACACAAGTTAAGTCCTTGAGGAAGGGGCTGCCAGTGAAAAAGCCAAGATAAAAGCTGTCCCCAGTGTTAGAGGTGGGGCCTGGTGGGAAGAGATTGAATCATGGGGGTGGATTTCTCATGAATGATTTTGCATCATCCTTTTGGTCCTGTCCTTGCAATAGTGAGTGAGTTCTTGCAAGATCGGGTTGTTTACGAGTGTGTCGCACCTCCCTCCTTACTCTCTTGCTCCCGCTTCACTTTCTGCCATCATTGTAAGTTTCCTGAGGCCTCCACAGAAGCTCAGCAGATGTCAGTGTCATGCTCCCTGTATAGCCTACAAAACTGCGAGCCAATTAAACCTCTTTTCTTTATATATTACCCAGTCTCAGGTATTTCTTTATACCATGAGAACAGCCAAATCCAGCAGCCGTAGACAATATGTAGCAAATGTGCATGGCTGTGTTTCAATAAAACTTTATTGACAAACACATGTGCAAGCAGGTCAGATTTGGCCCATGGGCCATAGTGTCCCAATCTCTGCTCTGGAATATTCTGTCCAGCCTGGATGGACATCTCTAGGTTGTTTTTTTTTTTTTTTTTTTTTTTTTTTGAGACAAAGTCTCACTGTTGCCCAGGCTGGAGTGCAGTGGTGCAATCTTTGCTCGCCAGAACCTCTGCCTCCTGGGTTCAAGCAATTCTCCTGCCTCAGCCTCCCAAGTAGCTGGGATTATAGGCACCTGCCACCACACCTGGCTAATTTTTGTATTTTTTAATAGAAATAGGGTTTCACCATGTTGGCCAGGCTGGTCTCAAACTCCTGACATCAGGTGATCCACCCACCTCAGCCTCCCAAAATGCTGGGATTACAGGTGCCCGCCACCACACCTGGCTAATTATTGTATTTTTAGTAGAGATGTGGTTTCACTATGTTGCCCTGGCTGGTCTCGAACTCCTGATCTCAAGTGATCCACCTGCCTCGGCCTCCCAAAGTGCTGAGATTACACGTGTGAGCCACTGCAGCTGCCCTCTAGATTTTTTTTTTTGTTGACCATTGCTTATTTGGTTTGACTTTCATTTTCTTCCCCATTGTGGTAGTCATTTTCTGAATGCCTGTTAGTTTGTCCATCTCTCTCCTCTGTAGTCCCTAGAGTCAGATGAACTCCTCTGCAGGTGCAATGGTGTAACACTCTCTAGTGCTGAATTCTGAGCAGGAGAAAGAGAGCAAGAGTGACCAGTACCTTTGGAAACTCTGGCCTCCTGAGAATTTGGTGTCTCCTCTGCAAAGGTTGCATACCTGTTAACCCACAGGCAGGAGAGACAGACAAGCCAGAATCATGATCTATTGAGCTTGAGTTTAATATCTGATGCACAGAGATCACTGAGTTTTTTGATAAGAATTAGAGGGGGAAGAAATGGCCACAGAGAACAATTTCTATCTCCAGGTGAGGATTCAGGAGATAATTCTGTGAACAGAACTTCCTGAGAACTGAGATGGGGGAAATCGCTGGTATTAGAAGAGTGAAAATGTCAGTAATTATGGCTACGACTGTGCTCTTAGAGGCAAAAGAAGAAAATGAGACTGCCAGGCATGAATAATGAGAAATCTTTGATGGAATTAGCCATGCAGAACAGATACTAAATGCATCCTCATTCTTCTCATAGTCAAAAGTTTGTGCTTAAGCTGGATGGGAAAAAGAGAATCCCATTTCACTAAGTATAAAAGAGGGGATTTTAGAGAAGGTCTCAGAAGAAAGAGATGTGGGGGTTTGGTGAAACTCACCAGAGGCTGAACCCTCTCCAGCATAACACAGGGATTGGGAGGAGCAGGGCAGCATTAGGCCAGATGTATAGCCCAGTGCTGCTCTCTCTGGACTTGTTTGCTAGCTGAGCTCATCCATTTACATAATTTTCAGTGCCATTTCTCAGCTAATGAGTCCTGAACTTTTGTCTTGAGGCTAGAATTCTCCTTCAAACAGCAGTTTTAACACTCAACTTCTTTCTTGTTTTTTCCACTTGTCAACTCATGAACACCTCAACTTTGTTACATCCAAAGCCAAACTCATGGCTTGGAGTGGTAGGTGATGGCTGTAATCCCAGTGCTATGGGAGGCAGAGGTGGGAGGATTACTTGAGGCCAGGAGTTGGAAGCCAGCCTGGAAAACAGAGTGAGACTCCCTATCTACAAAAAAAAAAAAAAAAAAAAAAAAGCTAGGCATGGTGATGTGCATCTGTAGGATCTGTAGTCCTGCTACATGGCACGCTGAGGCAGGAGGATCACTTGAGCCCAGGAGTTTGAGGCTGCAAAGAGTTATGATTGCACCAATGCACTCCAGCCTGGGTGACACAGCCAGAGACCCTGTCTTAAAAAAAAAAAAAACCAAAGCCAAACTCTCTTTTTCCTCCTCCTTCTCCATGGGCTCTGTCCATGCCATCTCTGTTCTGTAAATGGCACCACCCCCTGCTGAGCTGCTCAAGGTGGTCATAACTCATGTGTTGTGCTAACTCTTCTTTTGCCCTCTTCTCCAGTCAGCAAGTCCTGTGATTCTAAACTTTATCCAACTTGTCCACTCTCTGTAGCTTCACTGTCATTATCTTTGCCTAGGACACCACTATCTCAGCTGGGCTACAGCAGCCTCCTAACTGGTCTTAACTGGTACTCTGCACCTGCTCTCCATGCTCAGCAATCCATTTCCTACCTGGCAGCTTCAGTGATCTTAAGGCTTCCATTGAGTCTCATCCCTGCCTTTCCTGCCCATGGTACATAGAATAAAATCGAGACCCCGAGTCTTCTGCCTGTTCCTGCCACCTCTCCAGCCCTCTACTATCTCCTGCCCTTGGCCTACTCTATTTCAGCCACTATGGCCTCCTTTTGTTTTCTTGGACTTTCAAACCTTTTTCCACAACACGGCCTTTGCACTTGCTGCTTCAGCCTGGAATGATTTTCCCTGCACCTCCCCAAATTAGACCATCCTTCAGGTGTCAGCTAAAATGGTGCTTCCACAGACAGCTCTTCCCTGACCCCTTTATAAAGTGGACTTGCCTGCTCTTCTCCACCTTAACCTCTTATTGTTTCTTGTTGTGGGAAGTCAGGGACCCCAAATGGAGAGGGACTGGCTGGAGCCATGGCAGAGGAACATAAATGGTGAAGATTTCATGGACATTTATCAGTTCCCAAATAATACTTTTATAATTTCTTATGCCTGTCTTTAATCTCTTAATTCTGTTATATTCATAAGCTAAGGATGTACATCACCTCAGGACCACTGTGATAATTGTGTTAACTGTACAAATTGATTGTAAAACATGTGTGTTTCAACAATATGAAATCAGTGCACCTTGAAAAAGAAGAGAATAACGGCAATTTTTAGGGAACAAAGGAAGACAACCATAAGGTCTGCCTGCCTGCAGGGTTGGGCAAAAAGAGCCATATGTTTCTTCTTGCAGAGAGTCTATAAACGGATGTGCAAGTAGGAGAGAGATCGCTAAATTCTTTTCCTAGCAAGGAATATTAATAGTAATACCCTGGGAAAGGAATGCATTTTTTGAAGCCCTTAATAAAAACTTGCTCATCTGAGACTCAGGGGGCATCACGGTCCTACTGATGTGTAATGTCACCCGCAGCAGCCCAGCTGTAAAATTCCTCTTTGTAGTGTCTCTCTTTATTTCTCAGCTGGCTGACACTTATGGAAAACAGAAAGAACCTACATTGAAATATTGGGGGCAGTTTCCACCTATACTTCTTTCATAGATTTACTTATTTTTTGTTTGTCCCCCTCTGTATCCTAGAAACTCCTGGAGGGCAGAGGCATGCCTGCCATCTTCATCATTGCATTACCACCACCCAACACTATCGGGGGACCTGCCCTGATAATCAGGTAGGTTCTTTTCTATTTTCCTAAGCGTCGACTGGCTTGAGAAATAAAAGGACAGAGTACAAAAGAGAGAAATTTTAAAGTTGGGTATCCGGGGGAGACAACACACATTGGTAGGATCCGTGATGCCCCACAAGCCACAAAAACCAGCAAGTTTTCATTAGGGAGTTTCAAAAGGGGAGAGAGTATATGAATAGGAGTGGGTGACAGACATCAAGTACTTAACAGGGTAATAGAATATCACAAGGCAAGTGGAGACAGGGTGAGATCACAGGACCACAGGATGGAAGTGAAATTAAAATTGCTAATAAAGTTTTGGCACCATTGTCATTGATAACATCTTATGAGGAGACAGGGTTTTGAGATCAACCCGTCTGACCAAAGTTTATTAGGTGGGAATTTTCTCTTCCTAATAAGCCTGGGAGTGCTGTGGGAGACTGGAGTTTATTTCACCTCTGCAATCTCGACCATAAGTGACAGGTAAGCCCCGGGGGGCCAGTTCAGAGACCTACCCCTAGGTGCGCATTCTCTTTCTCAGGGACGTTCCATGCTGAGAAAAGGAATTCAGTGATATTTCTCCCATTTGCTTTTGAAAGAAGAGAAATATGGTTCTGTTCTGCCTGGCTCACCAGCGGTCAGAGTTTAAGGTTATCTCTCTAATTCCCTGAACAATTGCTGTTATCCTGTTCTTTTTTCAGGGTGCCCACATTTCATATTGCTCAAACACACATGATGTACAATTTGTGTACTTAACGCAATTATTACAGGTCCTGAGACGATATACATCCTTCTCGACTGACAGGATTAAGAGATTAAAGTAATGACAGGCATAGGAAATCACAAGGGTATTGATTGGGGAAGTGATAAGTGTCCATGAAATCTTCACAATTTATGTTTAGAGATTGCAGTAAAGACAGGCATAAGAAATTACAAAAGTATTAATTTGGGGAACTAATAAATGTCCATAAAATCTTCATAATCCACGTTCTTCTGTCATGGCTTCAGCCGGTCCCTCTGTTTGGGGTCCCGACTTCCCGCAACATCTCTCCCTTTCTTTTTATATAAATGTGCCATGGCGATGAAGGCTTGTTCATTCTCTCGATTTTGACACAGGATTATTTGACTGGTACGGCACACTAAAAGCAAGCCGATGAAGCAGAGAAACATAATTCCAGAATTTACTACAGTGGAGCCCCCAATAGACTTAATCCAAGTTCTGGGGTTTAATCCATAAAGATTTTCTGCCACCTGATCTAACGCCTGAGCTCCAGGCACGATGGATAAGTGAGCTTGTGAGGCTTCAAAAATTTGTTTTTTTTTTAATTTAGTTGTTTTCAATGATAAATTATATTTTCTACCTAGAAGATGTCCTTTGACCATTTCCCATGAATGATCAGTCTCGTTGTAGGAATAGGGGTGATGCAGAAATCCAAAGTATTCCAATCGCACTGCATTTGCATGCGATGTTCTAGACTCACTACCCGATCTCCAAGCCAAATAACAGACTGTCTTAAATCATTAATTTGATTTGCCAATTTTTGATCGATGCCTTGTTGAGAATTCCTCATTTGGGTGGAATTGGCTTGCCAATCATTAACAAAATGAGCCGTTTGAATAGACTGGTGTAATGCCATTCCAGCAGTGGTGGCCATTGCAGTGACTGTAATTAGGCCCATGATAACAGCGATTAAAGTGAAAACAAATATCTTAGGTTCTTTTAGAATTCGTTGTACCACTTCATTAATTAAATGTATTGAGGGGGAGGATTCCCAAGGTCTAGGTAAAGTTATCGGAATCCAGATTCCTTCTCGAGCTCAAACCAACATTACACTTTTCCTGGAGTCAAAGTGGGAGTTAATACAAGTGTATAGATGACAACTGATGCATTGGACACTTTGATTATTCTTCCAAATTTTGATATTTCCTACCAATATCATGTAAGGAGGCTTAACACAACTCTGTATGGGAACAGTCAGGTTGGAGGTAAGTAAAGCAGAATATCTGGGTCTACGTTGATACTGAGAGAGTGGGACGGTAGTGGGAACAACAGTCAAAATAGTTTTTCCTTCCCATACTCGCAGTCCAGACATGGCAATAGCCAATTTCCAAAGTTCTGGGTGTTCTGGGCTCAGAATAGGGAGTATCATAGGATGCCTGGTGGGGGCGGGGGTAATGCCTTTATCTTCCCATTTTAAGGGAAAGAATGAGCTGATCCTTGAATGATGATTCTCTTTCTCCTGATAAGAAATAAAATAAGTAGCCTCCAGGCATTCCCTTCCACAGAGGAGCAATTGTTTTTTAAATAGCCCTATGGTGCCCAGTCTATTACTAAACCATATGAGTCATTTTTTAATATTACTGCATGTGAGTTAACACCATCTTCCCAAATTAAAGTTTTAGATGGTCCCTCAAAATGTTTAGGGCATGGTTTTCCTGCAGGTTTATATTGAAAGTATGGGGTACCTCCCATTACTCCTCCTTTCATTTGTTGTAAAGGAGAAAGGGAGAGGCCAGAGGCCAAATGTCCCATTTTATCTGTAGCTGATGTTTCTGAAAGATAAGCAGCCCAGAACTGAGTTTCTAGATGGATGCAACCAGGTGCATGTCCGAGGCACAGAGGTGGGTATTTATAACCCATGGTAACATTAAATGCAGTGCCTTCTTCTCCTGGTTGTGCGGGGCAAGGGTCGTCTATGGCTCCAGGCATCCACACACTATCGTTAGTGTAGATTTCTGCGGGAGCATCTATCCGGGTGAGAGAGCGAATAAGTGGAGGAAAAGACACCTAAGCCCAAGAAGAATAATTATGTGTAGCAGGTAAATCAGTGTGAGAGGAAACTGGTGAGACAGAAAGTATAAGGAGGAGAATCATTAAATAAAACCTAGTGTAAGCGAGATGGAGTGCTGAAGGAGAAAGAGAAGAAGAGTGGGATGTTATTTTCAGGCTAATAGAAATGGTGAGATATTTAGGTTTGTAAGGAGAAAAAGAAAGGTAATCAGGATAAGTGTGATTAGTTAGATGGGTCTCCACTGTCATCAGGGAGGATTGATTTACACCCATTGTGATTTGGTGTGCCTGTTTCTGAGGAGTCGGCACAGATCTCACCACATCTGAAGGCAGTCTCTGACACAGACGTCTCTTCACTGTGGTTTTGATTGTCAGTATTCACAAGAAGCTTGAGTCTTCTGGTGGGCACCCAGACAGGGGATTGATGATCTCCTGGTGAAACACAAGCATATCCTCTTCCCCACGTTAAGTAGAATAAGAGACAATATTTAAAGGTTTGGGGAAATCCTGTAAGGCAGTAATCACAGCAATTAACTCCGCATTTTGAAGAGAAGTATAAGAGGTAGAAAGAAGTTTGTCTGCAGGACCTGTATAGCCAGCATTGCCATTACCAGAGCCATCAGTGAATACTGTAACGGCCTCAGGAATGGGTTGATTTTTGGTTAATCGAGGAACCACCCAAGACGTTATTTTTATAAAATCAAACAATTTGTTTTTTTGGATAATGATCGTCAATAACACCAATAAAATCAGCCAAGTGAATTTGCCACAGTACAGAATGTTGAAAGGCAGCTTGAACTTCGAGCTGATTTAAAGGAACTACAATTACACTTGGATCAAATCCAGAAAATTGAAGTATTCTGCACCGAACCTGTCCAATTAATATGGCTATTTGGTCTAGATAAAGTTTTTGACACAGAATGAGGAAGAAAACACCATTCCACTAAATCATTATGTTGAACTATTAGTCCAGTAGGAGAGTGTAATGAAGCAAAAACCAGAAGCTGAAAAGGCTGAAATGTCTGTACTCTAGATAACTGGGCAGTCTGGATTTTTTCCTCTACAAATTCCAGATCCAGTAAAGCCTCAGGGGTCAAAGTCCTAGGGCTGCGGAGATCAGAATCTCCCCGCAGCATAGAGAACAAGTTAGACAGGGTATAGGTCGGAATGCCTAAAGTAGGTCTTAAATAATTAATGTTACCCAAAAGTTTTTGGAAGTCATTTAAAGTTTTTAAAGAATCTCTCCTAATTTGAACTTTTTGAGGTTGAATACATTGTTTATCGACCACCATTCCTAAATATTGAACAGGAGTGGTCTGTTGAATTTTATCCTGAGCAATGCGTAATCCAGCCTCTGTAACACAGCGGTTCAAAATTTGGTAACAGTCAATTAATTTTTTATCAGTGGGGGCAGAAATTAAAATATCATCAATATAATGAAGAATATAGGCCTCGGGAAATCGGGCTCAAACTGGTGAAAGCACTTGTCCAACATAAAGCTGGCAGATTGTAGGGCTATTTAGCATTCCCTGAGGAAGTACTTTCCATTGATAACGAGCTACAGGCTCCTGATTATTGATAGATGGTACAGTAAAAGCAAATTTTTCACAATCCGATTTATGTAAAGCGA
Organism: Homo sapiens; assembly: GCF_000001405.40. Classification (NCBI taxonomy): domain Eukaryota; kingdom Metazoa; phylum Chordata; class Mammalia; order Primates; family Hominidae; genus Homo; species Homo sapiens. Next base: position 8,130,236 of record NC_000008.11, on the reverse strand, counting down.
TATGAAAAAAAAAACTCTTTAAGATCAATAACTATGAGAGGCCAATCTTTAGGTATTAAAGCAGGGGCAGGCATGCCGGGTTGGACGGCCCCCATAGGTTTAATTACAGCATTAATGGCCCTTAAATCGGTTACTATCCGCCATTTGCCTGATTTCTTTTTTACTAGAAACAGGAGAATTCCAAGGGGAAAGAGAAGGTTCCACATTTCCAAGTTGTAACTGCTCAGAAACCAATTGATTTAAAGCCTCCAGTTTTTCTTTAGAAAGCGGCCCCTGCTGAATCCCAGGGCCACTTGTCTTATCTCCTTTGTTTAAAAGGATATTAGGTAGTAAAAGCAATTGAGCTTGTTGAAGAGTAGTAAAAGAAACAGGAGCTTGGGCTGGGGAGTGTAGTTTATCCCAAGCTCTCATACACACTTTTGTTACTTGTTCTGTGGTAAGAGTATCAAAGTTTAATTGGGCATAAGCATCAGAGAAACTATCGGAGCCTGTGAGCTGAGCCTGAGTAATTAGAATGCCATTACTCCGATTTAGCTGAGCCTGTAAACAGGCCTCCTCCTACCACCAGGCTGAGATGGACTTAGAACAGCTTTTTGCCAAAAGATCACAGTCTAAAGGAAGCAAAACGACCTCAGTATAAAAAGTTTGCAATACCATTTGAACATAAGGAAAAGTAGGACCATACTGAGTACAAGCATCCTTAAATTGTTTTTAAAAAGGTAAGATTGAGCGGCGCATATCGATGCAGACTGGCTGAGGAACTGAAACGACAGGAGGGTGAGGGGCTGTAGTGGATGGGGGAGGGCCTGGAGAATGACAGGTAAATTGTAGTTTGGTCCCAGAGCCATTATTTGATGCTGGAGGTTTGAAGAGAGAAGAATTAGCATATTTATGGTACCGGGCTTTTTGAGTCACAGCCGCAGGAGTTTGAAGTACCGGCTTTTCGTGGGAAGAAGTAAGAAAAGTAGGGGGTAACTTTAAGCCAAAGTTACCAGAGTTAGAAATCGAATTTTCAGAATCGTTAGGGAGGGGAGGAGTAGCTGAAGGGAGAGTCTGAACGAAGGCCATGTGGGAGAGGAAGGTTGAGAAAAAGGCAGAGAAACTGAGGAAAAGGCAGAAAACTGCGGCAACTGCAGGGGGTCAGGAGATTGGCAAGCCACGAAGATGTCACGCACCAAGCACCCCAAACAGTGATGGGCACATAATACCCGGCCGAGATCAGTTTTCGGAATGCCTTACGGACACAATCACACAATTTTATATACACCGTTCCTTTTTCAGGAAACCAAGAACAGTATTTTTCTACTGCCCTGAATAGAGTGATCATATTTTTCATGGTTACCGGTTTTAACAGGAGTTTGTTAGATTACACATGACCCACAGTTAACCCAGACCTTACACAGATTACTCACCACTCATCGGGGAGTTGAACACGCTTATCTGTGGACCAAGCCGATTGACGTTTCACCGCACCTACCAAACGGAATCCGGTTCCCTCATGCACTTAGGAAAAAAGAAAGACCACGTGGGCGCCAGATATCGGGGGACCTCCCCCGATAATCACGTAGGTTCTTTTCTATTTTCCTAAGCGTCGACTGGCTTGAGAAATAAAAGGACAGAGTACAAAAGAGAGAAATTGTAAAGCTGGGCATCTGGGGGAGACATCACACATTGGTAGGATCCGTGATGTCCCACAAGCCACAAAAACCAGCAAGTTTTTATTAGGGAGTTTCAAAAGGGGAGGGAGTATATGAATAGGTGTGGGTGACAGACATCAAGTACTTAACAGGGTAATAGAATATCACAAGGCAAGTGGAGACAGGGCCAGACCACAGGACGGAAGTGAAATTAAAATTGCTAATGAAGTTTTGGCACCATTGTCATTGATAACATCTTATGAGGAGACAGGGTTTTGAGATCAACCCGTCTGACCAAAGTTTATTAGGCGGGAATTTTCTCTTCCTAATAAGCCTGGGAGTGCTATGGGAGACTGGAGTTTATTTCACCTCTGCAATCTCGACCATAAGAGACAGGTACGCCCCGGGGGGCCAGTTCAGAGACCTACCCCTAGGTGCGCATTCTCTTTCTCAGGGACGTTCCATGCTGAAAAAAGGAATTCAGCGATATTTCTCCCATTTGCTTTTGAAAGAAGAGAAATATGGTTCTGTTCTGCCTGGCTCACCAGCGGTCAGAGTTTAAGGTTATCTCTCTAATTCCCTGAACAATTGCTGTTATCCTGTTCTTTTTTCAGGGTGCCCACATTTCATATTGCTCAAACACACATGATGTACAATTTATGTACTTAACGCAATTATTACAGGTCCTGAGACGATATACATCCTTCTCAACTGACAGGATTAAGAGATTAAAGTAATGATAGGCATAGGAAATCACAAGGGTATTGATTGGGGAAGTGATAAGTGTCCATGAAATCTTCACAATTTATGTTTAGAGATTGCAGTAAAGACAGGCATAAGAAATTACAAAAGTATTAATTTGGGGAACTAATAAATGTCCATAAAATCTTCATAATCCACGTTCTTCTGTCATGGCTTCAGCTGGTCCCTCCATTTGGGGTCCCTGACTTCCCGCAACACAGCACAGTGCCTGGCACAAAAGAGTTGCTCAATAAATAAATCAGGATGAATAGATAAATACACGGATAGGCACTTTGAACTACAGATGAGCTTAAATACTTTGTTTTTCTTAGTCAAACATGTGCAATGAAGCATGTGATAAATGTTATGATGAGCATACCTGTGTCTTGCCTGATGTTCTTTGCAATCACTAAATGAAGTCAATTGGGCCTGTTTTGACAGTTCTATTTTCAACCTAATGATCTGTTTATTTTAACTTCTGGCTGTTGGCTTTGTTTGGGTTTGTTAGCCTGACAAAGTGGTAGATATTGGTATTTGCTCTTTTGTTTAAATGTCACGAACTTTAAAAATGCCTTTGCTTTTGGTAAGAAACCCTAGTTAGGACACCCTAGCAGTCAGGATGATTTGCGTTCTGGTGCTGTAACAACAATCCCCAAATCTCAGTGGCCTCATGCAGTGAGGTATTTGTTTGTTTGTTTTTGAGACAGGGTCTCACTCTGTCACCCAGACTAGAGTGCAGTGTGCAATCTCAGCTCACTGCAACCTCTGCCTCCCAGACTCAAGTGATTCTCCTGCCTCCTGAGTAGCTGGGATTACAGGCCCATGCCATCACTGTCTGGCTAATTTTTGTACTTAGTAGAGACAGTATTTCACCATGTTAGCCAGGTTGGTCTTGAACTCCTGACCTCAAATGATCCACCCGCCTTGGCCTCCCAAAGTGCTGGGATGACAGGCATGAGCCACCATGTCTGGCCACAGTGAGGCTTATTCTTGGTCACGTTGCATGTCTGGGCTGTGTTAGGGCATTGTGGGGTGGTCTGTTCATTGTGTTCACTCAGGGATCCAGGCTGACAAAAGCCCCATCTCTGCATGTGTCCTTGATCACCACTTCAGGGGAAAGAGAATGTGGTGGATCATAGAGCCTCTTAACACTTCCACCTGGAGGTGACTCAAGTTGCTCCTGCTCGTGGTTCATTGGACAAAACAGATCAAAGAGTCATGGGCAACTTCTCTGTGCCTGGAAGAGGAACCAAAATATGAATATCTACATTGACTTTCCCTAGCTATTACACAGAAGGTCTCATTTAAATGCAGTTACTTATTTGTGTTTTGAAGCTAATTGTAGTCCATCAAACTTCACAGAAGATATGTGCACTTCCAAGCTATTACTAAGCACAATTTTTTTTATTTTTTTATTTTATTATTTTTTTTTTTTTGAGACAGAGTCTCACTCTCTTGCCCAGGCTGGAGTGCAGTGGCATGATCATGGATAACAGCAACTTCTGCCTCCTGGGTTCAAGTGATTTTCATGCCTCAGCCTCCCAAAGTGCTGGGACTACAGACAACCACCACCGCACCTGGCTAAGTTTTGTATTTTTAGTAGGGATGGGGTTTCACCATGTTGGCCTGGCTGGTCTGGAACTCCTGACCTCAGGTGATCCACCTGTCTCAGCCTCCCAAAGTGCTGAGATGACAGGCGTGAGCCGCTGTGCCCGGCCTTGAGTATGATTTTTGATTGGGAAGGTCAGAGTTAGGGTTTTAGTCTGAGGACAGTATGATGTGAAGGTGAAAAGCAGAGCTTGGCTGTGAGTTTGCTGGGATTCCTGTGCTGCTTCTACAGCTCTTTGGCTGTGTGACCATCACCTTTGGCAAGTTCCTTTACCTTTCTATGTGTTGGCTTCCTCATCAATAAAATGGAAAAACTAATCATAATCATAGTATCTGTTGGTGTTGGGATAGCCCAGTGGTTGACACATAAGGACTCAAAAATAGTTTTTTTTAGTTTTTTTTTTTTTTTTTTTTTTTTTTTGAGACAGAGTCTTGCTCTGTTGCCAGGCTGTAGTGCAGTGGTGCAATCTCAGCTCACTGCAAACTCTGCCTCCTGGGTTCAAGCGATTCTCCTGCCTCAGCCTCCCTAGTAGCTGGGATTACAGACACCTGCCACCACTCCCAGCTAATTTTTGTATTTTTAGTAGAGATGGGGTTTCACCATGTTGTCCAGGATGCTCTTGACCTCATGATCTGCCCACCTCAGCCTCCCAAAGTGTTGGAATTACAGGCATGAACCACCGTGCCCGGCTCAAAAATACTATTACTAATTTTGGGGGGTAGTTACTATATTTTGTGAAAATCAGAGTTCAGTACCTTGTAACACTGGGTTGGGATCTATCCCTGAAGGAACAGGCTTCTTAAGAGGAAGGCATGGAGTGAGGGGCAAAATTTTAGTTGATGTTGTAATGACTTTAGGTATATGGATCTGGGTCTGAGTTCTAGCTGGGGCCACCAGGTAGCAAGGTGAACTTTGCTAAATTCTATCACTTTCCTGGGCCTCAGACTCACTTGTTACAAATGAGGTTAAAGCATCCCTCTTTCAGGGCTAAGATAAAGATGATTAAGTAAGAGGGAATGAAAGCAACTTCCATCAATGGTCAAAAGTATTCGTTTAAAAAAAAAATATATATATATATATTTTTGAGATGGAGTCTCTCTCTGTTGCCCAGGTTGGAGTTCAGTGACATGGTCCCGGGTGACAGCAACCTCCGCCTCCTGGGTTCAAGTGATTCTCCTGCCTCAGCCTCCTGAGTAGCTGGGATTACAGGTGTGTGCCACCACGCCTGGCTAATTTTTGTATTTTTAGTAGAGACGGGGTTTCACCATGTTGGCCAGGATGGTCTCCATCTCTTGACCTTGTGATCCACCCACCTTAGCCTCCCAAAGTGTTGGGATTACAGGCATGAGCCACCACGTCCGGCCCATTTAACTTCTATATTACTTTCCTGTTGGTGGATTTACCAGTGCAAACTGAGCAGCTTAAAACACCACCAAGGGTCTGGGCAGGGTTTAACTGGGTCCTCTATTCAGGGTCACAGTACTGCAACCAGAGTGTCAGTTGGAGCTGGGGTCTCATGGGATGCTCAGTATCCTCTTCCAAGCTTATTCAGTTTGTGGACTGAATTCAATATCTTGCAATTGTTGAATGAAGGCCCTCAACTCCTAGAGCTGCCACCTCCAAAGACAGCTCACAGCATGGCCATTTGTGTCTCCTTGGAGGCTAAGGGTTGAACCTCTGAAACTTCACCTTTAAAAGATTCACCTGATTAGGTCTGGCCCACCTAAGATCATCCTGCTTTGGATGAACTCAAAGTCAGCTGAACAAATGTGCTTAACAAAGCAACTGTGACCATAATCACATTTGCAAAATTCCTTCCTCTTGGCCAAATCACAAGCTCTGCACACACTCAAGAAGAGGAGATGATACAGGGAGCAGATATAAGGGAGTGGGTCTCTTGGGGGCTGTCTTAGTATTCTGTCCATTACAACTTCCTTTCTTGAGGAACAGCAGGCCTGGGGAGAGATGATCACAGATGAGGGCAGCCCACAGGTGGTGAGAGCCTGGTGCTGGTGTAGGATGCAGGAGGCTGTGAAGCAAGTAGGAAAAGCCTTCTCTGGGCTGGGTGCAGTGGCTTACACCTGTAATCCCAGCACTTTGGGAGGCTGAGGTGGGCAGATCACGAGGTCAAGGGATCGAGACTATTCTGGCCAACCAACATGGTGAAACCCCGTCTCTACTAAAAATAAAAAAATTAGCTGGGCATGGTGGCGCATGTCTCTAACAACCCAGCTCCCCAAGTGAGCAACTCTTGTCCCTTTTAAGGGCTCACAAATCTAAGGGAGTCCACATGAGAGGGTCATGATCGATTGACCAAGCAGGGAGTACGTGACTGGGGGCTGCATTCAGCAAACCCCATCTCTACTAAAAATACCAAAATTCAGCAAAGTTTCAGGATACAAAATCAATGTGCAAAAATCACAGGCATTCTTATACACCAATAACAGAGAGCCAAATCATGAGTGAGCTCCCATTCACAATTGCTTCAAAGAGAATAAAATACTTAGGAATCTAACTTACCAGGGACATGAAGGACCTCTTCAAGGAGAACTACAAACCACTGCTCAATGAAATAAAAGAGGATACAAACAAATGGAAGAACATTCCATGCTCATGGGTAGGAAGAATCAGTATCGTGAAAATGGCCATACTGCCCAAGGTAATTTATAGATTCAATGCCATCCCCCTCAAGTTACCAATGACTTTCTTCACAGAATTGGAAAAAACTACTTTAAAGTTCATATGGAGTCAAAAAAGATCCTGCATTGCCAAGTCAATCCTAAGCCAAAAGAACAAAGCTGGAGGCATCACGCTACCTAACTTTAAACTATACTACAAGACAACAGTAACCAAAACAACATGGTACTGGTACAAAAACAGAGATATAGACAAATGGAACAGAACAGAGCCCTCATAAATAATGCTACACATCTACAGCTATCTGATCTTTAACAAACCTGACAAAAACGAGAAATGGGGAAAGGATTCCCTATTTAATAAATGGTGCTGGGAAAACTGGCTACCCATATGAAGAAAACTGAAACTGGATCCCTTCCTTACCCCTTATACTAACATTAATTCAAGATGGATTAAAGACTTAAATGTTAGACCTAAAACTATAAAAACCCTAGAAGAAAACCTCAGCAATACCATTCAGGACATAGGCATGGGCAAGGACTTCATGTCTAAATCACCAAAAGCAATGGCAACAAAAGCCAAAATTGACAAATGGGATCTAATTAAACTAAAGAGCTTCTGCACAGCAAAAGAAACTACCATTAGAGTGAACAGGCAACCTACAGAATGGGAGAAAATTTTTGCAATCTACTCATCTGACAAAGGGACCTATGACTTTCTTATAACCAAGAGAATATGGCAGAGGTGACAGGATGTAGTGATTATGTTAGATAGATAGGATGTTAAGTTGTCTTGCTAGGAGGCTGTCTGTCTTGCTGGCTTTGAAGATGTGAGCTGCCATGTCATGAGCGGCCAGATGGAGAGGCCCATGTGGCAAGAAGCTGATGGCAGCAAGAAACTGGGGCCCTGAGTCCAGCAGCCTGCAAGGAACTGAATGCTGCCAACAACCAGATGAGCCTGGAAGCAGATCAATCACCAGTCAAGCCTCCAGATGAGAACTGAGCCCTGGCTGACACTATGGCCACAGGCTTGCATTGAACCCAGCTGAGTCACACCTGGATTTCTAATCCACAGAAACCGTGCAGTGGTAACTGTTTGCTGTCTCAAGTCACAAAGTTTGCAGTAATATTTTTGCACAGCAATAGATAACTAATATAAAAACTGTCCTACATCATGTACATTACTGAGCGAAAAGTAGAACCTGGATTTGAGCTCTGATTTCAGAGTTGACTCCCCAGGGAGACCTGTCCTGGGAGACAGTTATGCCAGGCTGTGATGCTGTGATGATTGTTCTCTTCCTACTCAGAAGCTTTCAATAGGCATGTCAAGCATGTGAACCCAGCTACATATACCAAATATATTTCTGACAAATGCCAGGACATCGTGAGCTTTCTTATTTTACTGAGAGCTCCATAAAGGAGGGACCATCTCTGTCTTTTTTTTTTTTTTAATAGTCTCACTCTCACCCAGACTGGAGTGCAATGGTGCGATCTCGGCTCACTGCAGTCTCTGCCTCCTGGGCTCAAGGGATTCTCCAGCCTCAGCCTCCTGAGTAGCTGGGATCAAAGGTGTACATCACCACACCCAGCTAATTTCATATTTTTGGTAGCGATGGGGTTTTGTCATGTTGGTCAGGCAGATCTCGAACTCCTGGCCTCAAGTGATTCGCCCACCTTGGCTTCCCAAAGTGCTGGGATTACAGGCATGAGCCACTGCACCTGGCCTGTCTTTTTTATGTTATGTCCACGTGAAACAGCCCAGTGGTCAGCACACAAAGGGGTCCAAATGTGAAAGGGCAAACACAGGGGAAACAGGGGTGTTCAGAAATAGTTCCCAGGTTACTGTCTGTTTCAATATGTACCGTTCTCGGCCCCACCCACAAGATTCTGACTTGGCGGGTCAGAGTTGGAGATGGGGGAGCTACCTGGTTACGAGGGATCCCAGTGATTTTGAGGCAGCTGGTTGTTAGACTGCACTGTAAAAGTTACCCCCCAAAGATGTGAAGGGATAATTCATGTATTTTTAATAGAGATAGGGTTTCACCATGTTGGCCAGGCAGGTCTCCAACTCCCAGCCTCAGGTGATCCGCCCGCCTTGGCCTCCCAAAGTGCTGGGACTACAGGCATGAGCCATTGCTCCAAGCACTATTTTTTTAATGAGGCCAAATACACATAACATACAAGTCCCTGTATGAAATCATACACTTCAGTATCATTAAATACCTTCACAATGTTAAGCAATCATCATCTCTGTCTAGTTCCAAAACATTTTCTTTAACACCCCCCGCCCCCCAAAAAATAACCCTGTATCCATCAAGCACTCTCCATCCCCTCCCCTTTCCCCCAGTTCCTGGCAACCACTTACCTGCTTTCTGCCTCTACAGATTTGCGTATTCTGGACCTTTCACATAAATGGAATCATGTAATATATATAATAACCAAAAGGTAGCAACAACAAAGATGGTCATTCGGTTTATGAATGAATAAACAAAATGTGCTGTATCCGTACAATGGAAGTATTGGTGCCTACTACATGTGGATGGAACTTGGAAACATCACGCTGAGTGAGAGAGAGCCTTGGTATTGTCTCATCTCCCCAGGAGATTCCAAGATGCAGCCAAGGTTGAGACCCACTGACAAGCAATGGATAAGGTTGGGTGCAGATGAAATAAGGCAGCCAGGGGCAGGAGGGACGTCTCATTGAAGACGACTATTTGTGGATGCCTAGCAGGGGTGGGGATGAGGTATGATAACAGCAACCCCAATCCCAACACTGCGTGACCGATTTTATCTTCAGCCAGCTGATACGCCTCATGGGGTTTGGACACAGGACATCTCTGCCTCCCAGGTTCAAGCGATAACTCCTGCCTCAGCCTCCTAAGTAGCTGGGGTTACAGGCATGTACCACCACGCCTGGCTAATTTTTGTATTTTTAGTAGAAACGAGGCCTTTTCATGTGGCTCAGGTTGGTCTCGACCTTCTGGCCTCAAATGATCCACCCACCTCAGCCTCCCAAAGTACTGGGATTACAGGCATGAGCCACAGTGGCAGCCTCCAAATTCTATTTGAAGTTCGACTTTCCACCTCCAGAAAATCCAAACCTTTGCCCAAGTCACAGTGGGACACCTCGGAGTTAATGTGAGAGAAATGTGCTTTTAAAAACAACTCCAGGCCTGGCACAGTGGCTCACGCCTATAATCCTAGCACTTTGGGAGGCCGAGGCGGACGGATCACGAGGTCAGGAGATCAAGACCGTCCTGGCTAACACGGTGAAACCCCGTCTCTACTAAAAATACAAAAAATTAGCCGGGCGTGGTGGTACATGCCTCGAAGCCCAGCTACTCGGGAGGCTGAGGCAGGAGAATCGCTTGAACCAGGGAGTCAGAGGTTGCAGTGAGCCGAGAGTGCGCCACTGCACTCTAGCCTGGTGACAGAGAGAGATTCCGTCTCAAAATAAATAAAACCCTCCGATATGAACACCAAACTAGAATCACTCCATTGACTTCCCTCCGCCAATCAGGGGGAGTGATGGTGATGGTGCATGAGTGTCTATTTGCATTCAGTCTCACTCAAAGGAAAAACAAATCACAGCCCAGACTGGAGCTGTGGATGAATAACATGGCTGAGTGTTGGTACAGGCTTTCCACAGCAATACTAAAACTGAAAAAATCAGCAATGAAACTCCCAGCCACATTTCTGCCAAATGATTTGGGGGAAAACAACAGAGGCACTCCTCAACTTTTCCTTCGCTGCACAAAGTGGGTTTGGCTGGAAATGCCAAGTGTGCTTGTTGCTGGGATCTTTCAAATGAAAGCAAGCTGGGAGTCAAACTCCTGCAGCCACAGGCCAGAAATGGGTTTAGAGCAAACTATTATAGTAACACTGGTGCACATCGAAACAGATTAAACTCCCTCACAGCAATCCAGATTAATTGAATATGCTTTCTTATTGGCATACTGCGTTTCTCATTAAAGCAAATGAACATCCATCCCTCTATAATAAATTAGGGCCAAAAAAAATTCATATGTTTAGGGCATAGGGAAGGAGGAGTTGTTGGCTGTTAAAAAAAAAATACTGCAAGTGGCCTTTGAAAGTCTAGACATCTTCATCATAAACACAAATATTCCTCTTCACAAAGAGACCTCAAGTAACCTTAGGCTGGAGGGCCCACTTGAGTATGTTTTTCTTCTCATTCTTTCTTACCTTCCCTCCAGCCCACCCAACCCACATTCAGTGACCAAGTCACGTGGGTTTTACCTCCTAAATCTTTTCAGATCCGTTCACTGCTCAGCCACTCTCCTGACACCACCATAAACCAAGCCACCATCACTTCCAGCTGTTTGACTGCAAATGCCTCCTCACTGGCCTCTGTCTTCCCCTGGCCCTGTGACAATCTGCACTCCTCACAGGGACCAAAGCAATCACTTCAGAAGGTGCATCCAAACAGATCACTCACTTTCAATGGCTCCCACTGCTCTATGGGTTAACAATGATAAAAGCTCAGCCGGGCACGGGGGCTCACGCCTGTAATCCCAGCACTTTGGGAGGCCGAGGCGGGTGGATCACGACGTTAGGAGATTCAGACCATTCTCGCTAACACGGTGAAACCCCGTCTCTACTAAAAATATTAAAAAAATTAGCCAGGCGTGGTGGCGGGCGCCTGTAGTCCCAGCTACTCGGGAGGCTGAGGCAGGAGAATGGCGTGAACCCGGGAGGCGGAGGTTGCAGTGAGCCGAGATAGCGCCACTGCACTCCAGCCTGGGCGACAGAGTGAGACTCCATCTCAAAACAAACAAACAAAAAACAATGATCAAAGCTCACCTTTACTTAGCACACTCTATCTCAGTCCATCCCTACATCACCCTTGATTTCACGAGTGGGGAAGCTGGGACAAAGAGTAGTTACGTGGGATGCCCAAGGTGGGACCACTCGTATGAAGTTTCCACACACTAATGTGAGACCCTCCATGACCTAGCCCCTCTCTTTCTCCAGCCTCATTTCCTGATTCTTTCGCTTGCCCTGCAGGCTTCAGCCACACAAACTTCTTGAAAGTCCCTTAAATCTGGCTGAGCGCAGTGGCTCACGTCTGTAATCCCAGTACTTTGGGAAGCTGAGGCGGGTGGATCACCTGGCATCAGGAGTTCGAGACCAGCCTGGTCAACATGGTGAAACCCCATCTCTACTAAACATCCAAAAATTAGCCAGGTGTGGTAGAGGGCGCCTGTAATCCCAGCTACTAGGGAGACTGAGGCAGGAAAATCGCTTGAACTCAGGAGGCAGAAGTTGCAGTGAGCCAAGATCACACCACTCCACTCCAGCCTGGGCGTCAAGACTGAAAGTCCGTCTCAAAAAAAAGTCCCTTAAATCTGCTCTATGCCTATCAACCTCAGGGACTTCACTATGCTGTTCCTCACCCTGAAATGCTGTTCCTCATTTCTCTACATAGTGAACTCATCCCACCCCCTAGGTCTCTCCTTAAGTGTCATCTCTTCAAGGAAGATTTTACTTTTTTAATATAACTATTAAAATATAATTCAGGTACCGTATGATTTGCCCATTTAAAGTGAACAAATCAATGGTTTCAGTGCATTCACAGAGGTCGGCAACCACCATCATTATCAATTTTAAAACATTCTCATCACCCCAAAAGGAAACCCTGTATCCATGAGCAGGTTCCTGCCATTTCCTCCTCCCACTAAGCCCTGACAATCTACTTTTTTTGAGATAGAGTCTCTGTCACCGGCTGGAGTGCAGTGGCACAATCTCGGCTCACTGCAACCTCCGCCTCCCGGGTTAAAGCAATTCTCCTGCCTCCCGAGTAGCTGGGATTACAGGGATATGCCACCATGCCCATCTAATTTTGTATTTTTAGTAGAGACAGGGTTTCTGTCTTCATAGCTTTGCGTGTTCTGGACATTTCATATAAATGAAATCTTATAATATGTGACCTTTTGTGACTGGTTTCTTCCACTTAGCTTAATATTCTCATAGTTCATCCGTGTTGTAGCACGTGTTAGTACTTCATTCCTTTTGATGACTGAATAATATTCCATTGCATGGTCAAACCATGTCCTATTTCTTTACTCATCAGTAGACAAGCATTTGTGTTGTTTTCACTTTGGCGCTATTATGAATAATGCTGCTGTGAGCATTTGTGTACAAGTTTCTGCAGGGACATATATTTTCATTTCTTCCATAAACTGGAGTGGAAGTGCTGGGTCATAGAACTCTGTGTTCAAGCTTTTGAAGAAGTGCCAGACTGTGTAATAAAGAAAGCCTTTCCTCACCCTGTAAGACCGAGCTCCCTCTCTCCATTTATACGTTCTCTTTATGCCCTTTGCTTCTCTTTCAGAGCAATTCACGATGAGCTGGGTCACCCTCAACTTAAGGCTCATAACTCCCTTAGACCCTCAGGGTCCACACTAAATATGATGAAATATGATGCAAGCCACATATTTACTTTTGCATTTTGTAGTAACCACATTTTAAAAAGGAAAACAAAAGAAGTGAAGGTAACTGGAATAATATCACAGATTTAAACAAATCTATCCAAAATACCAGGTCTACATATATAAAATATTTTAACATTAACAAAATATTTTGCTTTCTTTTTATATTAAGGCTTCACAATCTAATGTGTATTTGACACTTCTCACACATCTCAGTATGATGGCAGCACCCATATGGGAGGCCCTCCCATGATGCCAATGATGGGCCCTTCTCCTCCTGGGATGATGCCAGTGGGACCTGCTCCTGGAATGAGGCCGCCCATGGGAGGCCACATGCCCGTGATGCCTGGGTGCCCAATGATGAGACCTCCTGCCTATCTCATGATGGTGCCCAGTCAGCCCAGAATGACTCGACCAGACAGATAAGGATAGAGGGGAGGGCTCATTACATCAGTGTTGCTTTTTTGGTGTTATTGTTGTGCGTTTTTTTGTTTTGTTTTGTTTTTGAGACAGAGTCTTCCTCCGTCACCCAGGCTGGAAGGCAGTGGCACGATCTCAGCTCACTGAAACCTCCACTTCCTGGTTTCAAGTGATTCCCCTGCCTCAGCCTCCTGAGTAGTGTGGGACTACAGGCATGTGCACCATGCCTGGCTAATTTTTTTTATTTTAGTAGAGACAGGGTTTCACCATGTTGGCCAGGATGGTCTCAATCTCCTGTCCTCGTCACCCGCTTGCCTCAGCCTCCTAAAGTGCTGGGATTACAGGTGTGAGCCACTGCGCCCGGCCTGTATGAGTTTTATATTTACCTGCTCCCTTCACCAGGAGATCGTGCCGCTGTGATGCTGGCTTTTCTTAACAGCATAAGGAAGACTTGCCCTCTTGCCCCATCAAAGAGAATAGTTTTGGAGGGGAGAAGTGGGACCAAAAAAGATGCAGTTTTCATTTGTATTGGGAAATGTGAAAATAGAATTGTCAACTCTTTTAGTTAAAAACGAAAAAAAAAAGAAAAGGAAACAAGACGTGGGGCTGCCATATGCAATACCATGGATTCCAAGGATCTTCTACTCTGGAGGGAAATATTATCTTTGCTGAAGCCAGACCAACCTGACACAAAGACCTTTTGGTTTTTTAATGTGACTGTGTTTTATTTTACAATGTGTAATTCACTTTAGAAGGGCAAAGTACCTGTCTGGGGAAGACTATTTAATTTCCTGCATTTATTTAGAATGTTGGCTGATGTTGTTATGAAAGGAAACAGCTCTAACAACTGAGTGCCCCCCACATAGCCACAGCTCATGAGTTCATGGGGCAAAGGAATTGAACAGCAGCCTCCTAATAGCCGGCCTTCTTTGTGGTATGGAAATGATTATCAACATGTAAAAGACTATATATATATTCAACAATTCTGACCCCCTGCAAAATTCAAATCCACAACTGATTTGCTTCCTGGGCTCCTGAAAACAACTTTGTCAAAATTGTTTAGAAATAAAATCAGCCAATTGTTGCCCCTTGGGGATGCAGGACAAAGCAAGTCAGCCATGACCAATGTGGAGTCGGCCGTACACAATTACATGCAGACCTGCAGGACATCGAGTCCCTGCTATGGTCCCTCCCCAGTCAGGCCCCCATTGCCTGGGCTGCAGCCAGAAGGATTCAGGCACAAGTGCATTCAACAAATATTTAATTGCATTGGTGGTTAGAGGGTTGCGGTTGATTAAGGTACATTAATGGATCCATGTCCTCCCTGTATCCAAGACTCTGCCATTTGTCTCTGCAGTTCCTCCCACTGAAGAATCGGAGTATATTTCTCCAGCCCCTAATGTTGGGTTTAGTCATGTGTCTAGCTTTGGCCACTGGAATATTAACCTGCATGACCAAAAACTTGGAAAGTGTGCATTCATTTGTGCTCGCTCACTCCTGCTATCACCATGAGAACAAGCCCAGGCCAGACTGCTGCTTCCAGCAGAAGATAAGAGACACCAAGAGCGAAGTCGAGCTTCTGAGACATGCTCATGCCAGATTAACCAATCCTCAGCTGATCCATAGGTCCATGAAAATAAACGATTGTTGTATTATGCCACTGAGATTTGGAGTGACTTGTTATGCTGCATTTTGTGACAACAACTAACTGATACAAGGGTCACCGTCCTTTATCTCTGTAGATTTTAACCAATTTTTAATAGCTAGATGGAGATCTTCTAGTTGCCTTTATTTATAATGAATATGACTGTAGAGCTAGTTTGGCCTGATACTACCAGTAACCTACCCAGAAATTCAGAAATACTTTCTTCTCCAACCCACCCCAACCAACCTTTTTTTTATTTTGTTTTGTTTTTGGGTTCTCCATCTTTGCCTAGGCTAGAGTACAAGTGGTACAGTCAGAGATCACTGTAACCTCAAAATCCTGAGCTCAAGTGATCTTCCCCTTCAGCCTCCTATGTAGCTAAGACTACAGACATGTGCCACCGTGCCTGGCTAATTTTTTTATTCTTTGCAGAGACAGGATCTCACTATATTGCCCAAGTTGGTTTCAAGCTCCTGGCCTCAAGCACTCCTCTTGCCTCACCCTCTCAAAGTGCTAGGATTATAGACATGAGCCACCACACCAGCCTCTTCTTCTTTTTAAATAGAAACCCTATTTTATTCTGACAGTAGGTTGCTTTTTTTTTTTTTAAGAAAAATTTGGCCCAGCCCCAGGGAATAAATTGTGACTGGTCTAAACAGGGTTGGCAAACTATAGACCAAGGGCCAAATCTGGCCCTCTGACTGTTGGTATAAATTAAGTTTTATTGGAATAAAACCAGGTCCATTCATTTATGCATTTTTTACATATGCTTTTAGGCTACAATGGCACCACTGGGTCACTGCAACAGAGGTTATCTAGACCAAAAGCCTAAAATATTACTGTTTGCCTCTTTATGGAAAAAGTTTGCCATTCCCTAGTCTAAGGTTTAGATTCTGAGCTTATCATTTTAGCCTATCCCCCCTTACCAGTGACTGGCTCAAAACAAGTCTGTGATTCCATTCTGAATGTTCTACTGAGGGAATTCTCCCTTCTTCTCATGCAGAGTTGATGAGGACAAGTTGTATTAATAGGACATATGCTCAGGTTTTCTGAAAAATACTTTTATCTAGAAATGCATAGGAATATGCTGGTGCCTGAATGTACCATCCGGGGGCCTGGAGATTGACTCACCTGCCTCCAGAGCTAGTGCTCACCCTTACTACTGAGAGGCCTGAGGAAACACCTGCCTACCCACCACCAGAACCTGCACAGATCACCTGGAGAACTAGAGATCAGACTGCCACACACACCACCCAGGAGCCCAGTGGTGCACCTGCCCAACTGGCCCAGTGCTGCCACTGCCAGCAACCAAAGAAGCCACCTGGAGGCCCAGGGATTGGCCCATGCAGACAGGCTATCATCAGTGCCCATGTATACTGCCTGTGGTCCCTAGTATTGACAAACTTGGTCCACCACCACTACAACTGAGGCTGAAGGACAAGACTTCCTGGCATCCCCATCCTCAGCAAAGCCTCACCACAGCTTCCAATAACAACTGCATTCTGGCCAGGTGTGGTGGCTCACGCCTGTAATCCCAGCACTTTGAGAGGCCGAGGTGGGTAGATCACGAGGTCAGGAGTTTGAGACTAGCCTGGCCAACATGGTGACACCCCGTCTCTACTAAAAGTACAAAAATTAGCTGGGCATGGTTGCACGTGCCTGTAGTCCCAGCTACTCAAGAGGCTGAGGCAGGAGAATCATTTGAACCCAGGAGGCAGAGGTTGCAGTGAGCTGAGATTGCATCACTGAACTCCAGCCTGGTGATAGAGCTAGACTCCATCTCAACAACCACAAAAAAAAAAAAAAAAAAAAAACAAACAAAAACTACAGTCTAAGCCACTGAATGACTCACAGACACCACTCATCCAATTACAGCAGAAGAAATCATATGCAGATTATACCACTGTACCCACCCAGAATCAAAGCCAAACTGTGATATCCAATGAACATTGTAGATATAGCTATAAGAAAAGGTCTTTCCCATATAAAAGCCAATCCATAAAATTGGAAGCAGTGACTGTTATGTCAGAGGCACAGATAGTCACATAAGGATGCAAGAAATATGAAAAAGGAAACATAACATCTCCAAAGAAGCACAATAATTCTCCAGCAACAGATTCCAATGAAAAGAAAATCTATGAAATGCCTGAAAAAAATTCAGAATAATGTTATTGAAGAAACTCAGGGAGATACAAGAGAACACAGATAATGAATACAAAAAAATCAGGAAAACAATTCATGATCTGAATGAGAAATTCAACAGAGATAGACAGCGTAACACAGAAACAAACACAAATCCTGGAAGAGAATAAATCATTGAAAGAAATACAAAAGATAATTGAGAGCTTTAACAATAGACTAGATCAAGCAAAACAAAGAATTTCTGAACCTGAAGACTAGTCTTTTAAAATAATCCAGTCAGACAAAAAGAAAGAAAAAAGAATGAAGCAAAGCTACATGACATATGGGACACCTATGTGACCAAAAACTGAAATTCTGGGAGTTCTGGATGGAGATGAGATGGGTAAAGGCATAGCAAACCTATTTAATAAAATAATAACTGAAAACTTCCTGAAAGCTTCAAATACAGGAAGCTGAAAGATTACCAAATAAATACAACTCAAAAAGGTCTTCTCCAAGACACATTATGGTAAAATTGTCAAAAGACAAAGAGAAAATGCTAAAAACAGCAAGAGAAAAGCAACAAGTCACTTATAAGAGAATCCCCATCAGGCTAACGAGATTTCTCAGCAGAAACCTTACAGACTAGGAGAAAAGGGGATGTATACTACAAGTTAAAAAAAAAAAGTAAGCCAAAAATACTATACCCAGCAAAGCTATCCTTCACAAATGAAGGAGCCTGGCACAGTGGCTCACATCTGTAATTTCAGAGACTCATAAGGCTGAGGCAGGAGGATCATTTGAGCCCAAGAGTTCAAGGCTGCAGTGAGCTATGATCATGCCACTGTACTCCAGCCTGGGTGACAGAGTGAGACTCCATTGCTAAAAATAAATAAACAAATAAATAAAAGAGAAAAAAGTATTTCTCAGATAAGTAAAAGACTGTTTGTTTGGGTATTGTTTGTTGTGGTCATACAAGAAATGCTTAAGGGAGTCCTACATTGGGAAGAAAAAGAACAATATCTACCATCATGAAAACACATGAAAGTATAAAACTCACTGGTAGAGCAGACACACAAAGAAGAAAGGATTCAAACATCACCACTAAAGAGAGAAAATAGGAATAAAGGTGTATTAGTCTGTTTCCACACTGCTGATAAAGACATACCTGACTGAGACTGGGCAATTTACAAAAGAAAGAGGTTTAATGGACTTACACTTCCACATAGCTGAGGAAACCTCACAATCACGTTGGAAGGCAAGAAGAAGCAAGTCATGTCTCACATGGATGGTAGCAGGCAAAGAGAGAGCTTCTGCAGGGAAACTGCCCTTTTTAAAACAATCAGAACTTGTGAGACGTATTCACTATCATGAGAACAGCATGGGAAAGACCTGCCCCCATGACTAAATTGCTTCCCAACAGGTCCCTCCCACAACATGTGGGAATTCAAGATGAGATTTTGGTGGGGACAAAACCAAACCATATCATTCTGTCCCTGGCCCTTCCCAAGTCTCATATCCTCATATTTCAAAACCAATCATGCCTTCCCAACAGTCCCCCAAACTGTTAACTAAGTTCAGCATTAACTCAAAAGTCCACTGTCCAAAGTCTCATGTGAGACAAGCCAAATCCCTTCCACCTATGAGCACATAAAATCAAAAACATGTTAGTTACTTCCTAGATACAATGGGGGTATAGGCATTGGGTAAACACAGTCATTCCTAATGGGAGAAAATTGCCAAAACAAAGGGGCTACAGGTGCCATGCAAGCCCAAAATCCAGTGGGGCAGTCAAATCTCAAAGCTCCAAAATGATCTCCTTTGACTCCATGTCTCACATGCAGGTCATGCTGATGTAAGAAGTGGGCTCCCATGGCCTTGGGAGAAAAAAGGCCACAGCTCCACTCCTGTGGCTTTGTAGGGTATAAACCCCCTCCCAGCTCCTTCCATGGGTTGGCATTGAGTGTCTGCCGCTTTTCCAGGCACACAGTGCAAGCTGTCAGTGAATCCACTATTCTGGGGTCTGGAGGATGGTGGCCCTCTTCTCACAGCTCCACTAGGTGGCGCTGCAGTAGGGACTGTATGTGGGGGCTCCGACCCCACATTTCCCTTCCGCACTGCCCCAGTAGAGGTTCTCCATGAGTGCCCTGCCCCTGCAGCAAACTCCTGCCTGGACGTCTAGACATTTCCATACATCTTCTGATATCTAGGCAGTGGTTCCCAAACCTCAATTTTTGACTTCTGTGCACCCACAGGCTCAACACTATGTGGAAGCTGCTAAGGCTTGGGACTTGCACCCTCTGAAGCCACAGCCCACATTGTACCTAGGCACCTTTTAGCTGCAGCTGGAGTGGCTAGGACTCAGGCACCCTAGGCTGCTCACAGCAGGGGGGCCCTGGGTCCAGCACACAAAACCATCTTTTCTTCCCAGGCCTCTGGGCCTTTGATGGGAGGGGCTGCCATGAAGATCTGTGACATGCCCTGAAGACATTTTCCCCATTGTCTTGGGGATCCACATTTGACTCCTTGTTACCTAAACAAACTTCTGCAGCCAGATCGAATTTTTCTTGAGAAAATGGGATTTTCTTTTCTATTGCATGTTCAGGCTGCAAATTTTCCAAACTTTCATGCTCTGCTTCCCTTATAAAACTGAGGGCCTTTAACACACCCAAGTCATCTCTTGAATGCTTTGCTGCTTAGAAATTTCTTCTACCAGATACCCTAAATCATCTCTCTGAAGTTCAAAATTCCACAAATCTCTACAGCAGGGGCAAAAAGCCACCAGTCTCTTTGCTAAAACATAACAGGAGTCACCTTTGTGCCAGTTCCTGACAAGTTCCTCATTTCCGTCTGTGACAACCTAAGCCTAGACTTTATTGTCCATATAACCATCAGCATTTTGGGCAAGTCTCTAGGAAATCTCTTCCAAATTTTCCCACATTTTCCTGTCTCCTTCTGAGCCCTCCAAACTGTTCCAACCTCTGCCTGTTTCCCAGTTCCAAAGTCAGTTCCACATATTCAGGTATCTTTTAGCCACACCCCACTTCTGGTACTAATTTACTGTATTAGTCCATTTTCACACAGCTGATAAAGACACATTCAAGACTGGGAAATTTACAAAAGAAAGAGGTTTAATGGACTTACAATTCTACATTGCTGGGGAGGCTTCAAAATCATTGCAGAAGTCAAGGAGAGGAAAGTCACATCTTAAAGGGATGGCAGCAGGCAAAGAGAGAGATTAAGCAGGGAAACTACTCCTTTTAAAACCATCAGATCTCAAGAGACTTATTCACTATCAAAAGAATAGCATGGGAAATACCTGCCTCCATGATTCAACTACTTCCCACTGGATCCCTCCCACAACACATGGGAATTCAAGATGAGTTCTGAGTGGGGACACAGCCAAACCATATCAAAAGGATATACAAAATAACCAGAAAACAATGAACAAAATGACAGGAATAAGTCCTCACCTATCAATAATAACTTCAAATATGTGTTAAGTTAACTACCTAAAAGATAGAGGCAGGCTTAATGGACAAAAAATGACCCAACAACGTCTACAAGAAACTCATTTCACTTGTAAAGACACACACAGACTGAAAGTGAAGGGATTGAAAAAGATATACCACATAAACAGAAATCAAAAGTAACCAGGAGTAGCTAAACTTACATCAGATAAAACAGACTTTAAGTCAAAAACTGTAAAAAGGACAAAGAAGGTCATTATATGGTAATAAAGGGATCCATTCAGCAAGAAAGTATAAAAATTCTAAATATGCATGCAACCAACAAAAGCACATCCAGACACACATAGCAAATATTATTAAATCTACAGGGAGAGATAGAATCCAATACAATGATAGTTGAGAACTTCAATATCCTACTCTCAGCATTGGACAGTTCATCTAGACATAAAATCAACAAAGAAACATTAGATTTAAGCTGCACTTTAGACCAAATGGACCTAACAGATATTTTCAGAATATTTCATCCAGCAGCAGCAGAATATACAATCATCTCATCAACACATGGAACATTCTCCAGGATAGACCATATGTTAGGACACAAAACAAGGCTCAACAAAATTTTAAAAATTAAAATCATATCAAGTATCTTCTCAGACCAAAATGGAATAAAACTTGAAATCAATAAGAAGAAGAAATTTGGAAACTGTACAAATACATGGACATTAAACATGCTATCGAATGGTCATTGGATCAATGAAGAAACTAAGATGGACATCAAATTTTTTTTTTTAAACAGAAAATAGAAACACATCATGCAAAACCTATGGGATACAGCAAAAGCACTACTAGGAGGCAAGTTCATAGCAATAAATGCCTACACCAAAAAAGTAGAAAGATCTCAAATAAACAACCTAACGATGCACCTCAAGGAACTCCAAAAGCAAGAACAAACCAAACACACAATTAGTAGAAAGAAAAAAAAAATAACAGCAGAACCAAATGCAACAGAGACAAAAAAGAAATGCAAAGAATCAACAAGATAAAAGTTGTTTTTTTGAAAAGTTAAACAAAATTGATAAACCACTAGTGAGGCTAACCAAAAAAAAAGAAAGGAGACCCAAATAAATACAATCAGAAATGAAAAAGGAGACATTACAACTGTTACCAAAGAAATAAAAAGGATCATTAGAGGCTATTACGAACAACCATACCCTAACAAATTGGAAAACTTAGAGGAAAGGGATAAATTCCCAGACATACACAGCCTACCAAGATTGAACTAGGAAGAAAGAGAGAACCTGAACTGACTCAAAATGAATAGCAGGTTTGAATCAGTAACAAAAAGTCTCTCCAAAGAGAAAAGCCCTAGACTAGGCTTTTATACTGATTTCTACCCAGTTTATAAAGAAAAACAAACACCAATACTTCTCAAACTATTCCCAAAAATTGAAGAGGAGGGAATTCTTCCTAACTCATTGTATAAGGCCAGCATTACCCTGATATCCAATCAAGACAAGGACACAACAGAAAGAGAAAACTACAGGCCAATATTCCTAATGAACACAGATGGAAAAATTCTCAGCATAATACTACCAAGCCAAATCTAATGATGAATGAAAAAGATAATATACCATGATCAAGTGGGATTTATCCCAGGAATGCAAAGATGGCTCAACATCCAGAAATTAGTGCATGTGATACATCACATCAACAAGATGAAAGGCAAAAACTATCTGATCATCTCAGCAGATGCAGAAAAATCACTCAGTAAAACTTACCATTCCTTCATGATGAAAACTCTCAACAAGTTATGCATAGAAGGAACATTTCAACATAAGAAAAGCATATATGATTAATCTACAGCTAACATCCTACTCACTGGGAAAAATTGAAAAGCCTTTCCTCTAAGAACTGGAATAAGACAAGGATGCCCACTTTCACCACTCTTATTCAACACAGTATGGGACATCCAAGCCAAAGTGATCAGACAAGATAAACAAATAAAAGGCATCGAAAATGGACAAGAGGAAGTCAAATTGTCTCACTTTGCAGATGACATAATCTTATACTTGTAAACAGAAAAACCTAAAGACTCCACCAAAAAACTCTTAAAATGGGTAAATTAGGCTGGGCATGGTAGCTCATGCCTGTAATCCCAGCACATTGGGAGGCCAAGGTGGGCGAATCACCTGAGGTTGGGAGTTTGAGACCAGCCTGGCCAACATGGCGAAACCCTGTCTCTACAAAAAATACAATTAGCAAAGCATGGTGGTAGGTGCCTGTAATCCCAGCTACTTGGGAGGCTGAAGCAGGAGAATTGCTTGAACCCGAGAGGCGGAGGTTGCACTGAGCCAAGATTGCACCACTACACTCCAGCCTGGGCAACAGAGTGAGACTCTATCTCAAAAAATAAAAAATAAAAAATAAAAAAAATTTAAAAAGCAGATGTATAATTCAGTAAAGCTTCAGGTCACAAAATCAACCTAGAAAAATCAGTAATGTTTCTATATACCAGTAAGAAACTAGCTAAAATAGAAATCAAAGAAGAAATTCTATTTACAATAGCTACAAAAATAAAATACCTAGGAATAAACTTAACCAAGGAGGGGGAAAATAAACCAAAAAACCTCTGCAGTGAAAACCACAAAACATTGATAAAATAAATTGAGAAGGACAGGAACATATGGAAAGGCATCTCATACTCGTGGGTTGGAATAACTAATACTGTTAAAATGACCATGCTACTCGAAGCAGTTTAGAGATTTAGTATAATCCCTATCAATTATATTATTCACAGAAACAGGAAAAAAAAAGCCCTGAAATTCATATGGAACCACAGAAGACCCGAAATAGCCAAAGCAATACTGAGCAAAAAGAACAAAGCTAGAAGCCTCACACTACCTGATTTAAAAATATACTGCAAAGCGGCCGGGCGCGGTGGCTCATGCCTGTAATCCCAGCACTTTGGGAGGCTGAAGCGGGTGGATCACAAGGTCAGGAGATCGAGAACATCCTGGCTAACATGGTGAAACCCTGTCTCTACTAAAAAAAAAAAAAAAAAAAAATTACCAGGTGTGGTGATGGGTGCCTTTAGTCCCAGCTACTCGGGAGGCTGAGGCAGGAGAATGGCGTGAACCCTGGAGGCGGAGGCAGAGCTTGCAGTGAGCCAAGATCGTGCCACTGCACTCCAGCCTGGGCGACAGAGCAAGACTCCATCTCAAAAAACAAAACAAAACAAAAATATATATATATGTACTGCAAAGCTACAGTAACCAAAACAGCGTGTACTGGTATTAAAAAAGACACAAAAACAAAGGAAACAGACTAAGGAATCCAGAAATGAATCCACATATTTACAGCTAACTGATTTTCAAGAAAGCTGTCAAGAACATACATTGAATAAAGGATACCCTCTTCATTAAATGGTGCCAGGAAAACTAGATATCCAAACACAGAAGAATAAAACTAGACCCTTATCTCTCATCACTTACAAAAATAAACTCAAAATCAATTAAAGACTTAAATGTAACAGCCACAACTATAAAACTACTGGAAGTAAACACAGGAGAAAAGCTTGAGAACAAAGATTGTATGGCTAACACTTAAAAAGTACAAGCAACAAAAACAGACAAATGGGATTATATTAAACTAAATACCTTCTGCATATCAAAGAAAACAATCAACAGAGTGAAAAGACAACACCCCTCCCTTACACCATACACAAAAATTAACTCAAGATGGCTTAAAGACTTAAATTTAAAACCCATAACTATAAAAACGCTGGAAGACAACCTAGGCAATACCCTCCAGTACATAGTGATGGGCAAAGAGTTCATGGTAAAGATGCCAAACGCAATTGCCACAAAAGCAAAAATTGACAAATGGGATCTAATTAAATGAAAGAGCTTCTGCACAGCAAAAGAAACTATCAAAAAACAAACAGATATTTCTCAAAAGAAGATATACAAATCACCAAGTTTATGAAAAAATATTCAACATCACTAATCATCACGGAAATGCAAATCAAAACCACAATAAGATATCATCTCATACTTGTTAGAATGGCTATTATTAAAAAGACAAAGCACAACAAATGCTGGCAAGCATGTGAAGAAAAGAAAATTATTGTATATTGTTGGTGGGAATGTAAATTAGTACAGTCATTATGAAAAAAAGCACAGAGATTTCTCAAAAAAACTAAGAACAAATCTACCACGTGATCCAGCAATCCCACTCCTGGGTATACATCCAAAAAAAAGGATATCAGTGTATCAACGGGATATCTGTACCTCCATATTTACTGCAGCACTATTTACAATAGCCAAGATATGGAATCAATCTGAGTGTCAATCAATGGATGAATGGATAAAGAAAATGGGAATATACGCATAACAGAATAGTATTCAGCCTTAAAAAAGAATGAAATCCTGCCATTTTCAGCTAAATGGATGAAATTAAACGTCATAATGTTAGGTGAACTAGGCCATTCACAGAAAGAAAACTATTGCATGTTTTCACTTATGTGAGCGGTTTATGTTCCTGGAAATCAAAGTGGGGGCCACGTTTCAGGTCACTAGGGTCAGGGATAGAGACCACAGTTATGGACTTGTGTGCCCTGGAGCTATATAAAATTGATATCATAGAGATAAAGAGTAGAATGATAGTTAATAGAGGCTGGGAAGAGGAGGGGTTTGAAAAGAGGTTGATTAATGAATATAAAAATATATAATAGAAGGAATAAGTTCTAGTGTTCATTATCACAGAAAGTGACTACAACAATTTGTTGTGTATTTCTTTTTTTAATTTCAATAGTTTTTAGGGAACAGATGGTATTTGGTTACATGGATAAGTTCCTTAGTGGTGATCTCTGAAATTTTGGCATACCCATCACCAAAGCAGCTTACCCAATGTATAGTCTTTTCTCTCTCACTCCCTCCCACCTTCCCATTGAGCCCCCAAAGTCCACTGTTTCATTCTTGTGCCTTTGCATCATCATAGCTTAGCTCCCACTTACGAGTGAGAACATGCTATGTTTGGTTTTCCATTCCTGAGTTACTTCATTTAGAATAATGGTCAAATCCATCCAGGTTGCTATGCATGCCATTATTTTATTCCTTTTTAAGGCTAAGTAGTATTCTATGGTATACATATATATAACACATTTTCTTTATCCACTAATTGATTGATGGACATTTGTGCTGGTTCTATAGTTTTGCAACTGTGAATTCTGCTGCTGTAAACATGTGTGCAAATGTATCTTTTTCATATAATGACTTCTTTTCCTCTGGGTAGATACCTAGCAGTGGGATTGCTGGATGAAATGGTAGATGTACTTCTAGTTGTTTAAGGAATCTCCATACTGCTTTCCATAGTGGTGGTACTAGCTTACATTCCCACCATCAGTGTAAAAGCGTTGTCTTTCACCACATCCATGCCAACATCAACTTTTGTTTTTTTTGTTTTGTTTTGTTTTTTGGTTTTTTGAGATGGAGTCTCGCTCTGTAGCCCAGGCTGGAGTACAGTGGTGCCATATCAGCTCACTGCAACCTCTGCCTCCCGGGTTCAAGCAATTCTCCTGCCTCAGCCTCCTGAGTAGCTGGGATTACAGCCAACTGCCACAATGCTCGGCTAATTTTTGTATTTTCAGTAGAGACTGGGTTTCACCATGTTGGTCAGGCTGGTCTCAAACTCCTGATCTCGTGATCCGCCCACCTTGGCCTCCCAAAGTGCTAGGATTACAGGCGTGAGCCACCACGCCTCGCCCTCTTTTTGTTTCTTTTACACGTGGTATTGCATTGTGGTTTTGATTTGCATTTCCCTGGTAATTAGTGATGTTGAGCATTTTTTCATGTTTGTTGGCCATTTGTATATCTTCTTTTGAGAATTGTCTATTCATGTCCTTGGCACACTTTTTGATGAGATTCTTTTTTTCTTGCTGATTAGAGTTCCCTGTAGATTCTGCAAATTAGCCCTTTGTCAGATGCAGTTTGTGAAAATTTTCTCCCACTCTGTGGGTGATCTGTTTACTCTGCTGATTATTTCCTATGCTGTGCAGGAGGCTTTTAGTTTAATTAAAGTCCCATCTATTTATCTGTGTTTCTGTTGCATTTGCTTTTGGGTTCTTGGTCATAAACTCTTTGCCTAAGCCAATGTGTAGAAGCATTTTCCAATGTTATCTTCTAGAATTTTTATGGTTTCAGACCTTAGATTTAAGTCTTTGATCCATCTTGTGTTGATTTTTGTATAAGGTGAGAGATAAGGATCCAGTTTTATTCTTTTACATGTGGCTTGCCAATTATCCCAGCACTATTTGTTGTATAGGGTGTACTTTTCTTACTTTGGTTTTGTTTACTTTGTCGAAGATCAGTTGGCTGTTAAGTATTTGGCTTTATTTCTAGGTTCTCTACTCTGTCCCATTGGTCATGTGCCTATTTTTATACCAGCACCATGCAGTTTTGGTGACTATAGCTTTGTAATATAGTTTGAAGTTGGGTAATGTGATGCCTCTAGATTGGTTCTTTTTGCTTAGTTTTGCTTTGGCTTTGCAGACTCTTTTTTAGTTCCAAATGAATTTTGGCATTTTTTTTCTAGTTCTATAAAGAATGATGATGATACATTGATAGGAATTGCATTGAATTTGTAGACTGCTTTTGGCAGTATGGTCATTTTCACAATATTGAGTCTACCCATCCATGAACATGGGATGTGTTTCCATTTGTTTTTGTCATCTGTGATTTCTTTCAACAGTGTTTTGTAGTTTTCCTTGTAGGGGTCTTTCACCTCCTTGGTTAGGTATATTCCTAAGTATTTTATTTTTACAGCTATTATAAAAGGGTTTGATTTGATTCTCAGCCTGGTAGATGTTGGTGTATAGCACTGCTACTGATTTGTGTACATAGATTTTATATCCTGATAAATAGAATTATTATGTATTTCTAAATAACAATAAGATTTGAAATATTCCCAACACAAAGAAATGATCAATGTTTGAGGTGGTTAATATCCCAAAGACCCTGATTTGATCATTACACATTGCACGCATGTACCAGAATCTCACATGGACCCCATAAATGTGTACAATTATTCTCTATCGAAAACATTTTTTTTTAAAGAAACATGCAGGAATACACTGTACCTCTTCCTTGCTGTCTCTGGATATTGTCACATGAGGACTTGACATGCGGATTGTGGCAGCCTCTGTGACCAAGAGCAGAAGACAATAGCAGCATAGAAACCTCAAATGAAAAACCTAAAATCTCAAGCTACTAATTTAGCCAACCTTGGCATCAGCTATCTCTGATCTTAGTACATGAGATGATAAGCCCCCACTGTTCAAGTTGGGTGGCCATCAATTGCTGCAGAATAGAATTTAATGAGGCTTCCTCCTCCTGGATCCTCTACTAGACCCTGACATGCCCATTCAGTCACAGGCAGAAAGGGAAGCTCAGGGTAAGGAGACCTGGCTGACTGCCAGAAGCAGATCTTACCTGTCCTGCTTAGAACACTCAAAACTCAATTGGTTAAACAAAAAAAGGAAAAAGACAGTAAGGAGTATAGCACTCCCCAGATGCAACTTAATGAAACACTCTATACTTTAGATTTTCTAGACATACATAGAAATCAGACCACTACTTCTGCAGAACATTTTACTGGTAAAAAGAATAGCCCACATGAGGGAAAACTGATTTGGTGGAAAGACAACAAAAACAAAACATGGGAAATAGGTAAGGTGATAACATGGGGGGAGGTTTTGCTTGTGTTTCACCAGGAGAAAATCAGCTTCCTGTTTGGATACCCACTAGACATTTGAAGTTCCACAATGAACCCATCAGAGATGCAAATGAAAGTGCCTCTGCAGAGACAGAAAACCCGCAATCGAGCATCATCGACTCGCAGGGTGAACAAAATGTGATATCAGAAGAACAAATGAAGTTACAATCCACCAAGGAAATGGCACATGTGGAGAGCCAGGGAGAAGAAGAGAAAGAAAAAGAGACAGAGATCAGAGAAAGACACAGAAAGAGATTGGGGAGAGAAATAGTGTAAAAGAGAGAGAGAGAGACCGTAAGAGAAGAGAGACAAAGAGATAAAAGGTGCGAGTGAGCAGGTGAGGAGAAAGACTGAAAACTATGAGAAACAGCAACTAAGACACAAAGGAGGTGGGAGACTGCGTTGGTGCCGCAGCAGCCACACCGTCCTCTTGCCCCCGTCACTTGGGTTAAAACCACCGGAAATTCCACTATTGCAAATTTTTTATTAATCCTTGTATGTCTGTCCTTTCTATTTTTAGTCTACAGGTGTATCCAGCAGCTCCAGAGAGACAGCGACCAGCGAGAAGGGGCCATGATGATGGTGGTGGTTTTGTCAAAACGAAAAGGGGGATATGTAGGGAAAAGAAAGAGAGATCAGACTGTTACTGTGTCTACATAGAAAGGGAAGCCATAAGAGACTCCATTTTGAAAAAGACCTGTACTTTAAACAATTGCTTGCTGAGATGTTGTTTATCTGTAGCTTTGCCCCAGCCACTTTGCCCCAACCACTTTGACCCAATCTGGAGCTCACAAAAACATGTTTGTATGAAATCAAGGTTTAAGGCATGTAGGGCTGTGCAGGACGTGCCTTGTTAACCAAATATTTGGAAGCAGTATACTTGGTAAAAGTCATCACCATTCTCTCGTCTCAATAAACCAGGGGCACAATGCACTGTGGAAAGCCGCAGGGACCTCTGCCCTTGAAAGCTGGGTATTGTCCATGGTTTCTTCCCATGTGATAGTCTGAAATATGGCCTCATGGGATGAGAAAGACCTGACGGTCCCCCAGCTCGACACCCATAAAGTGTCTGTGCTGAGGTGGATTAGTCAAAGAGGAAAGCCTCTTGCAGTTGAGATAGAGGAAGGCCGCTGTCTCATGCTTGCCCCCTGGGAACTGAATGTCTCGGTATAAAACACTATTGTACATTTGTTCAATTCTGACATGGGAGAAAAACCACCCTATGGTGGGAGGCGAGACATGTTTACAGCAATGCTGCCTTGTTATTCTTTACTCCACTGAGATGTCTGGGTGCAGAGAAACATAAATCTGGCTTACATGCACGTCCAGTCATAGTACCTTCCCTTGAACTTCATTATGTCATAGATTCTATTGCTCACATGTTTGTTGCTGACCTTCTCCTTATTATCACCTTGCCCTCCTACTACATTCATTTTTGCTGAAATAATGAAGATAATAATCAATAAAAACTGAGGGAACTCAGAGAACGGTGCCAGTGCAGGTCCTTGGTATGCTAAGCGCCGGTCCCCTGGGCCCACTGTTGTTTCTCTATACTTTGTCTCTGTGTCTGATTTCTTTTCTGTCTCTCATCCCACCCGACAAGAAATACCCACAGGTGTGGAGGGGCAGGCCACCCCTTCATTATGAGATTACAGGCATGAATAACCCCACCTGGCCACCTAACTCACTCTTGAGAGGCCAGAAGTGATGCTGGAACTTTCTTCGTCTGTGGGTTAAAAAGGGAAAATTAGGGAGAACACAAGACATGAGAGATGCAGCGATGGATATGTCTATATGGAGCTTCTGTCTGCATCCAGTAGAAAATGCATTTCTAGGCACCAGGTTTAAGAGCGAAAACCTGGAGTCTTGTCTGTTAGCATTCTCCTTCCCCACAAACCAGAGAGGGAATACATTTGCTCCAGCACACCCGGATGTAGGAAATGTCACATTCCTATTTCTGTAACTTCACTTAAATCTGCTCTGAGTCCCTGGATGCCTGGCAGGTGGAGAATTCAATCTTGTCGTTACCAGCATTCCTTTCCCTTCTCCATGGGCTTATGTAAGAATTCTGGGCTTACACACTGTTGGAAAGCCAGGTAGGAACTACATCCCCTGAACTCTCCATTCTTCCACCTGCTCATGATCCATCAACATTCTTTGGGCCACCTGCTATAGCAAGACCCTACTCACAGCATCATTCCACTGACCCACAGGCTCAGCCCCAGGGACCCTCACTAGAACAGGTCTCCACTATGCATAGGAACTCACAAAAACCTTCTCTTCATCTTGGCTTCCTCTGATATCCAGCCACTCCCCCACTTCTCACCTTAAACACAGATGGCAGCTCCTTCCCATCCTTCCAAACCTGGGGGATTGTCCAGCCAAATTCTCTTCAGACACCAAAGCTTCACCCGCCCTCTTTAGGGAGGTGCTGCAAGGGCATCTGAGATCTTTGGAAGCCCAATTCTGGCCTCTCTTTGGGGTGGGCTGAGAGTGGGAAGTAGACTGTCTTTTCCAAATGCCATGTGTATCTTGTTCATCATTATATTATCTCCAATGCCTGACACATAGTAGGCACTACAGACTGGCACATAGTAGGTGCTATTAGTGTCTGTATAATGGGACTCTTGAGGTTGAAGCTATTAGCAGGAACCTGCCAGGCAAAAGGATGGAAAACCAACCACCAAAAAAAAAAAAAAAAAAAAAAAAAAAAAGAAAACAATCGTGGCTTTGAGCTCTAAACACACAAGGCACCAACCCAAGTTTGGGCAATTTTAATACAACAGCCATTTTGCCTCCAAACAAACTGACACTGGGAACCTCCCTCTGCCTCTAAAAGAGAACCAGTTTCCCTTTCTCTAAGTGGGCAGCATTTCTCCCCTGTGGCAGTACCCAGCCCACTACCACCAGCAAAGGACTGCAGCCAGGACCCAAGAGCTTGAGAGTTTAAAGAATAGATTTTATACGGAAAAATAAAGTAACATCCACATAAATCTGGAACTACCACCACTTTCCAGAGGCCGAATCCCATTTGTGGAATCTCTTGCGTGTCAAGCACCTTGCAGTCAGCTCAACTACACACTTTTGGGATTCGTTGCAGACACGAGAGAAGGTTATCAGCAAAATAAAGGAACCAGGGCTCAGAATTACCAGAACAATCCATGACAGAGGAGGTGAGTAGGAAAGGGAAGGGTGAAGTCAAAGGAGAGAAGTCAATGAGTTGGCCAACACCAAACAAGGATCATGGGACCCTCTCCACGACCCCACATCTCAAATGAAGTCAACAAAACCCATCAATGCTTGGTGTAATTGTTGTATGCTCCCGGAAATGAAAGCAGGGGCCACATTTCAGGTCAGTAGGGTCGGTGGTAGAGGCAGCGGTCATGGACTTGTGGGCCCTGGAGGATGGGATGATTCTGAGACATTGAATCCCTGCACTGATCTCAGTTGAAATCTCAGGTAGGGCTTCAACATTCGTGGACCAAGGACTCTGTGGGCCTGAGAGCAACAGCCTTGGTGCATGTCCCAGCTCCATCAATCCCAACTGGGGCTTTGAACAAGTTACTTATTTTTTTAACTAAAGTTATTTTAATTGACAAATCAAAATTGTACACATGTATGTGATGTTTTGATATGTGTATACAATGTGGGATGATTAGATCAAACTAATGAACACGTCCATCCCCTAATTTACTGACAATTTTCATGATGCGACATTTGAAATGTACCCACTTAGTTATTTTGAAAGATACATTATTATTTACTATAGTCACGCTACTGTGCTATAGATTTCAAAGCATATAATCCAGCAACCCAACTTCTGGATATAGACCAAAAAAAAATCAAAATCAATATGTCGAAGGGATCCCTACATTCCTATGTTCACTGCAGCACTATTCACAATACCCAAGATATAGAATCAACCTAAGTGTCCATTAGTGGATGAAAAGATAAAGCAAATGGACTATATACACACAACGGAATACTATTAACCCTTAAAAAAGAAAGAATTCCTGTCATTTTCAACAACATAGATGAATTTGAAAGACATTGTGTTAAGTGAAATAAGCCAGGCACAGAAAGACAAATACTGCATGATTTTACTTATATGTGGAATCTAAAGAAGTAGAACTCACAGAAATAGAGAGTAGGACAGTGGTTATCTGGGGATGGGGTGAAGGAAAGGGAGGGGATTGGAGACACTGGTCAAAGGGTACAAAGTTTCCAATAGGAAGAATAAGTTTTGAACAAGCTAAACTCCTCTGAAAGTTCAGTTCCTCATCTGTAGAGCAGGGACACATCATCAACCTTCTACGGATGTTGCTGTAAGAGTAAGAGATGATGTTCAACACAATACCTAACACACAGTCAGGTCTCCTTAAGCTTGAACCTGCATCCCCATGACCTCTACATCTCAGGACAGAAGGGCTCACAGCCAGTGTCTCAGTTCCCAATGAAAAGTGGATCCCAGACCAGGCTGAACAGCAGGATCCCTAGGGGATACCCCACCCTACTGAGTCAAAATCACTAGAAGTAGAGCCTGGGTATGTATGTATGTGTGTGTATATATATGTGTGTGTGTGTGTGTGTGTGTGTTTGTGTGTGTATGTATAAGAGACAGGGTCTTGCTCTCAAGTCCAGGCTGGAGTGCAGTGTCACAATCATAGTTCACTGCAGCCTCAAATTACTCCTGGCCTCAAGCCATCCTCCCATCTCAGCCTTCAGAGTAGCTGAGACTACAGGCACATGCCACCAAGCCCGGATACTTATTTTTTTTTTCTTCTTTTTGTAGAGTCTCACTCTGTTGCACAGGCTGGAGTGCAATGGTGCAATCTTGGCTCACTGCAACCTCTGTCTCCCGGGTTCAAGTAATTCTCGTGCCTCAGCCTCCTGAGTAGCTAGGATTACAGGCATGCACCACCACACCAGGCTAATTTTGCTCTTTCATTGTTGTTTCTTGTTTGTTTTTCACAAATAGGACTTCTTATTTGCTACTGTTTTAAGTCTGAACTTTAAACAGATTCTTGGACTGATGGTTCATATCCATCAGCTCATTCAACTTTAGCACGCATCTCGTCCCTAGTGGGTTTTCCAGAATCACCACCATCACCAGGAAGCTCTATTCCTTTCAAATCCAGGGTTCTCCAGCATTTTTACTTTTCTAATGAAGACATCATGGAGAGGATAGATTGGCAAGCCTTTTCTACATCTTTTCCAATGTTGTCTGGAATCAATTTATTAACCACTTCTTTCAAGTCATTTGTCTGCACCTCTCAGGTCATGATTTCCATCATCTTCTTCTGGATTTGGCAGACTGTTGGTGCTGAGCATAAGAGGTCTTCAGTATCTGATTGTTGTGTTTTTTAGTAAAACCAACACAAAACAGAAGAAAGAAGTAACCATCGGTAGTCTTGACATCAACATGAGCTTCAATTATTGTTGAACATTTTTCAACCTTGGAATATATTTTGTCACAGGTAATACCCATGCCATTGAAGTTAGTCAGGCAGCTTTTGCCCTGAACATCTTCAGTAATCAGCTTGAATTTTCTAAATGCAACTTCATCATTCTGCAAATCAGCAAGACTCATTTCAAACACTAGAAACTTGAGACCATCAGATGCAATTTGGGTTCCTTTGGTCCTGGTGACCAAGTCTTTCCAATATTTCTTATATTGAACATAGCAGGTGCTTTCACATCATACTGATCTTTCTTAGAGAATGGACCAACTACTTTCTTCTTAACTCCCTTTTTGCCACCTTTCATAAGGCACTTGTTCTTAACAACCGCCATGGTGCTGCTTAGAGTACCAAAAGGTTAAATTTTATAGTTTTGGTAGAGACGGGATTTCACCATGTTGGCCAAGCTCGTCTTGAATTGATGTCAGGTGATCTGCCTGCCTCAGCCTCCCAAAGTGCTGGGATTACAGGTGTGAGCCACTGTACCCAGCTGATATTTATTTTTTCTTTTTTTGTACAGACAGGGTCTTGCCATGTTGCCAAGGCTGGCCTGGAACTCTTGGCCTCAAGCAATCCTCCCACTGCAGCCTCCCAAAGCACTGGGATTTCAGGTGTGAGCCACCATGCCCAGCCTGGAATCTATTTTTAAAGCAATCAAGTGTTGAATAAAATTGCAACTTGGGCTGTTTTTTCTTTGCATTTTTTACATTTCAATGGTTTTTAATATATTCAGAGATATACGCAAACATTACCAGTCAATTTTAGAACATTTCATGACCTCAAAAAGAAACCTCATACCATTTAGCTAACACCCCCATCCTCCCATGCCCCTACCAGCCCTAAGCAACCACTAATCGACTTCCTATTTCTATAGATTTCCATCTGAATGAAATCATGTAGAATGTGATCTTTCATCTGTTTTGAAGGTTTATCCACGCTGTAGCATATGTACATTCCTCCTTTTTGTGATCAAATAATATTCCACCATGTGTGTAGACAACAATCGGTGTCTCTCTTCATCTGGTGATGGGCATTTGGATTAATTCCCTCTTTGTGTTATTAAGAGTGATGCTACTGTAATTATTCATGTACAAATTTTTGTGTGGACCTGTGCTTTCATTTTTGAATATGAAAATATGGCACATCTCCAAGGAAGACATACAAGTGGCCAATAAGCACATGAAAAGATGCTCAATGAAATTCTTCATCAGGGAAACAGAAATCAAAACCGCAATGAGATACCACTTCACACCCATAAGGATGGCTAGAATCGAAGATAGAGAAAATTGGCCTGGTGCGGTGGCTAATGACTGTAATACCAGCACTTTGGGAGACCGAGGCAGGTGGATCACCTGAGGCCAGGAGTTTGAGACCATCCTGGCCAACATGGTGAAACCCTGTCTCTACTAAAAAAATACAAAAATTAGCCAGGCATGCTGGCAGGTGACTATAATACCAGCTACTCGGGAGGCTGAGGCAGGAGAGTAACTTGAATCTGGGAGGCAGAGGTTGCAGTGAGCTGAGATTGTGCCACTGCACTCCAGCCTGGGCTACAGAGCAAGACTTTGTCTCAAAAAAAAAAAAAATACAGAAAATAACAAGTGTTGGTGAGGATGCAGAGAAACTAGAACTTTCATACACTGCTGGTAGGAATTAAAATAGTGTAGCCACTGTGAGAAACAGTTTAACAGCTTCCCAAACAATTCTACATGGAGTTACCAAATGACCCAGCAATTGTACTTCTAGGTATAGGCCCAACTTGGGCTCTTTTAATCTATGGAAAATGAACTATCGGTACTTGGCAAGAACAAAGAGGGAGAGAGGCAGAAATGGAGCCACGAGGGCACATTGATTGGTCTGTAGTACACAGGGCTCCTACTGCAAATGGTCTCTAAATGACTTCATCAGTTGCTCATAAAAAAAAATCATCCTCTGCTCCAATCATGGAGGAAAAAGTATGGATTGGACCTGGTGAGCCACGGTAAGACTGACTGCTAAACTTCATGAATGATGAGGGGATTTGCACGTATAATCTTGACTGTACTAGATTTTTTATTTTATCCACTGTCTTTGAAAACCTAACTCTTGACTAAGAACTAACTTTCCTGTACTTGTTGTTGAGTCTAAGTAAACTTCCAATTCCACATAGTCCAAAGATGATGTGTTGAGAAATCTCTCAAAAGAAAAATGCTAAGAATACAGGCAGAGTTATGCGGCAAGTTTTGCAGAATTAACACAAATTGTATTGTAGGTATGAAGCACAGAACATTTTCATGGGTAAAGAAAAAAGTGTTCTTCATTCTAGTAGACACTGCAGGATGAGGCCGATCAAGGTCCTTGCCCAGCCAGACCTTGGGCTCTTACCTAATTTGTGTTAGAGTCAACCCTGATGGAGTCTGTATCTCAGTCATCTTTTTTTTTGACATGGAATCTCACTGTCTCCCAGGCTGGAATGCAGCGGTGTGATCTTAGCTCACTGCAACATCTGCCTCCTGGGTTCAAGCGATTCTCCTGCCTCAGCTTCCCAAGTAGATGGGACTACATATGCATGCCACCATGCCTGGCTAATTTTTGTACTTTTAGTAGAGACGTTTCATCATGTTGGCCAGGCTGTGCTCAAACTCCTGCCCTCAAGTGATCCGCCTGCCTTGGCCTCCCAAAGTGCTGGGATTACAGGCATGAGCCACCATGTCCGATCTCAGTCATCTTTTTATCCTCCATACCTGGCAAGTTCTAGACACACTGTGGTTCCATACAAGTTTGTTGAATAAATAGGAGACAGATAGAAAGTGGGAACTCTGCAAGTAGAGAAGATTCCAGAAATTGTGCATATTTCCCAGAGACTGTGGCCAAATTCCTCAGTCCTGCCAGAGTTTCTCTATCTCAACTCAAACCTTATGTGTGGGCCCAGGCGCAGTGGCTCACACCTGTAATCCCAACAATTTAGGAGGCTGAGGTGCGCAGATCACTTGAGGCCAGGAGTTTGAAACCAGCCTGGCCAACATGGTGAAACCCCCTCTCTACTAAAAATACAAAAATTACCCAGGCATGGTGGTGTGCACCTGTAGTCCCTGCTACTCGGGGGGCTGAGGCACAAGCATTGCTTGAACCCAGGAGGCGGAGGTTGCAGTGAGTCACGATTATGCCACTGTATTCTAGCCTAGGCAATAAAGCAAGACTGTCCCAAAAGAAAAAAAAAAAAACCCTTAAGTGTGGGCCTTGTTACAGAATTAACGTTTATATGGACAATATGTACATGGGTGTATGTTAAGAGCATGAGTCATCCACAAGATTTTAGCAAAGTCCATTTAGAAAGCTCAATGCTTTGGGCTTCCACTTGCTTTGCTGCCTCTGTCCTCAGAAGGAGGCTTCATCCTTCCATATAATCAGCAAATCCTTTATGCAGAGATGTACACAACACACTCCTCTCCTTGGCTATGACACCTTGAAAGGGTCCTCTTGGTGTCCCCTGGTGCTCATTTCAGAGTAGTTCAAATTAAGGTGATCAGCTTTCATGCCAATCACTCTACAAATCACTCCTATTATGACCAATTTTTCTAAATGGTTTATTGAATTATTACTTAAAGAAATGTGCACATAGAAGAGGTCAACACAGTACTTTCCTTACAAACTGAACATACTGGCCAGACGCAGTGGCTCATGCCTGTCATCCCAGCACTTTGGGAGGCCGAGGTGAGCAGATTGCTTGAGCCCAGGAGCTCAAGACCAGCCTGGGCAACATAGTGATACACCCCTCTCTACAAAAAATAAATAAATACAAAAATTCAGCAACAGTGATGGCACATGCCTGTAGTTCCAGCTATTCAGGAGGGCTGAGGTGGGAGGACTGCTTGAGCCCAGGAGGCAGAGGCTGCAGTGGGCCATGACGGTGCCACTGTTCTCCAGCCTCGGTGACAGAGCAAGATCCTGCCTCAAAAAAACAACAACAACAACAACAAAAAACTGAACATCTCCATATTACTGACACCCAATTCAAGAAACAAAATATTCCAGCCCCTTCCAGGATATTCCTGGGGTCTTTTCCATCTCTATTAACCCCTGACTACAAACAGCCTCCACCTATTTCACCTGACATTGTACTTTATGAAAGCAGCAGTTCTCAGATGGGGCTATTTTGTCCCCTGGGGACATTAGGCAATATCTAGAGACACTGGGGTTTGTCTCTACTTGGGGGGAGTTGTGTTACTGCATCCAGTGAGTCCAGGGATCCAGGGATGCCGCTCAACATCCTGAAATGCACAGGGAACCCCCACACATAAAACAGAGAAACTGCTGAGCCAAAATGCCAGCAGTGTCACAGCTAACACCCTGACATACACACTATCGCACAGTATCTGCTCTTTTGTGCTCAGGATCTCTTTCATTCTAATCATCTCATAGGAAACGGAAATGTTATTAGGAGGTAGGTAGAGTCCAAAACAAAGAAGATCCAGAGTTTTTTTTTTTTTTTTTTTTAATCAGCCTGGTGCCTTTAGAGCTAGGATTTAGTTTCCATTCTTTCTATCTCATTTTCAAGTGATTTTTCTTCAAATGGCATCTGCTGGGCTCAAGATCCGGAAATCCCCACAAAGCTGAGATTCACATGGGAATTTTGTACACACCCACACAGGTATACACTGCCATTTGCATGCAGACATCCACCCACAGATACACACATCCGGAGACCAAGACAGAAAGCAAACTCCAACATAAAAGCACGGTTTCCCGAACTGGAGAAACCCACCATTCATTCCAGGGAGGTACCTATTTGTTTAATTCAGCCTCTGATAGTCAGGCTGTTGCCAAGCCCAGTTCTGAAACTCTTCCCTTCTAGGAAAGAGAGATGGATTTTTTTCTTTACTCAAGAATATAGATCTAAAAAAAGCAAACACTTCTGCATCTCAAAGCAGGCTCTACCTCCTGAGCTACACATATTGATCAGCATTTTATTGTCAACTTTCTTTTATTTGAATTGGAGAAAAATATAACTTAATTATGTTCTTACTGACAGTTTGGAATCAGGTACACTAAATCCAATTCTCTGGGTTCTCGTGATTAATGTGTTTAATTTGGGGGACAACAAAGCAAAAGCATTGGTCGTGTTTTAATATAAATAGTACAGGATATATCTAAGGGGTTGAAGTATCACTGTAGCAAGAAGCTCATTCTGCAGTAAAAGGCAGGTTCTGCCACTAGGATTGAGTTAGGGTGGTTCATGGCTGCACCGTTTTATCAATGTCTCTTCAAGAGTCCATGGAATGTGGAATGGGAAAGACTGAAATAGTCCAAGTCTTGGCTAAGCTTCTATTAAGGGGTGTTAGGAGCTGATAAAATAACCTGGTCTTTAAAGACATCCCACACAGTAGTTCTCTAAGCTACAGATTCTCAGATTTTTCTATTTTATAAACGGGTAAAATTTGTTTTTTTAATTTGAGAACCAACATAAGGTTGCTATTTTCTTTTTCTTTTTGGTAAGAAGGAAATTTTTTAAACTACCAGTTACACACACAAACACACACACACACACACACACACACACACACGGAATTTCCACCATGATTGGTCAGAATAGGTGAGGTTTTGCTGCAATAACAAACAACTCCTAAATCTTGGTAACTTCAAACATCAGAAGTTGTGTTTCTTACTCATGCTACATCTGCAGGGAGGTGTGGGGTGCTCTGTTTCCCATCAAACTTTCCCTAAGAGTAAGGCTAATGGGGGTTGCAATACCTCGAGTATCACCAAGCAGGGAACAGAGGGAGAAGAATGCTAGAGAGCCTTGTACTAAGAATTAAATGCTTCGGGCTAGAAGTCTAACACTGCACCTCTGCCCCCAGCCTCTTGGCCAGTACTAGCCACATCCCTTCCCCCACCACACTGCAATGCATGGAGACAGGAGAATTGGATACATTACAAATTTCTACCCCATGGCATTTCATAAAAGAGAAAAAAATGCAAATACAAAAATGTTTTAATAGAATAGAATATATACATTTTTAGAATAAAGAAAAATCCTCCAAAAAGGACAGCTGGTGGTCTTTCACCAATGGGCACATGTCTGTGACATTTTCTCTGTTTTTCCATCTTATCCTTGACCTATGAATATTTTATACAGATGGTCCAAAGAACACAATTTGGGAACCACTGCTCTTATCAGGTGACGAAAACGGCCCCAAGAACAGAGCAGAGTCTCTTTAGCAAAGACCCAGCAGGGCCAGGGTGACCACGTTCTCACCATCAATGTGCAGACATCCACCTGCAGCATACTTACAAACCAACATCAAACAGTGGCTCTTTATAGCTTGATTCTAATGCCCTTTGATCTTCATACTCATTGTAAAGCTCTCTGGCCCCAAGATCTAACATCGCCACTCTAGCTACGTCCTGCAACTGTTCACCTCTCCTGACTCCTCATCCCTCTAAACTTCTCTTCACAACCTCATGTTTCCTTCTTGCTATACATTCCTGCTCAGCCTGGACTTAACAGTTACCTTCCTCTTGTAATGTGCTCCTAAACTCGTTCTTCCCTGCCTTCAACCACACCCACCTGGAAAATCTCCATACCCCATTGATGACTTGCCTCGCAACTGACCAAGGGCTGCTGAATGATACTGGAAAGAATCACAACAGGGATCTCGTAGTTCCACTAAATAATCTCACCGTCCAACTCTAGGAAAGACTTCACTTCTGTTCAGCAATATTTTTAAGCATCGCAAATAAATTCCAAACCATATTTGCCATAACAATTGACTTTAAGCCTCTTCCATATCTCAAAAACCCCCAAACCCATCCCTAGGGGTGAAAAGAGCCCAGAGCTGAGTTCTCTCAACTCACTTCCATCTCACCCCTAGATCACTGTATCTTGACCCTCTTCCTCTGCCTTTCCCATCTTATAAGGAGAAACATCCTTCTCCTTTCCCAAGCTACCTTCCCCACTTGTGCCTCATTTGAGACCTCCCTTTATCACCCGTTCCCTTGGAACTCCCATGACTCACCACCTTCACTTGTCATTTCACTCATAAATATTTTGCACCATGTATGTGCCAGGCATTTAACATATAGTCATGCTTAAGTCTCCACATGCTAATAAGAAAAACCTTGATTATCCCTGCTATGCCCTCAAGTCATTACCCTCCCCGCTCCTTTCCTGTGTTCCCAAACTTTGTTGATCTTCATCAATCCCTCTGATGCAGATGGCTCCGAAGTTTACATCCTATTAGGTTTGTGCAAAAGTAATTGCGGATTTTGCCATTAAAAGTAATGGCAAAAATAGCAATTATTTTTGTACCAGCCTAGTATCTTTTCTCCTTCTACCAAACTTTGTCCCTGAGCCATCTCATCACCTATAACTACCTCCTCCATGCAGTTGATTCCCAGATCTGTATTATTCTACTGAAAGTCCATTCCCCAACTTTCTCAGCTAGAATAACAGAAGCCCAATTAGAATTCATGATAACAGTTTCCCACCACCACCACCACCACCACCTTCGCCCTGCCATTGTTAGCAAAACCATCTCTTGAGTGGAGCTCAAAGATTTGTAATCTCCCACTCCCCAGAAAGATAACTTCAGACTCAGCCTAGAAGTAAAGATCCTCCAGATATGGCCTCAACTACCCTCCAACCCATGTCCTCAGTGCATCCCTCTGATGCCCCCTTCAGTGGAGTTAAAATGGAGTGAGTGTTTTTCTTTTCACATACTCCTGGTGTTCTTCCACAAATACAATTTTCACCTCTTGAATATTTTCAAAGATTCTGCATGCTACACACAGTGAAATCCAAACTCCCCATCAGGACCCCCGTCTTCCCAAACCCTCTTTGCAGTTTTCTGCCTCCACGCTTTTCCTTGGGTCATCCTCTTCTCTAATGTAACCTTGTGTATTACTCTAAGTTCTCCAGAGAAAGAGCAGAGAGATAGAGTTAGATCTATACACATAGAGACAGATTGATTTGTTGTAAAGGATGGCTCACATGGTTATGGAGGCTAAGGAGTCCTGGAGTCTGCAGCCAGCAAGCTGGGGACCCAAGACAGCCAATGATATTGTTCCAACTCGAGTCCACATCTAAAGTCAGGAGAAGATTGATGTCCCAGCTCAAATATAATCAGGTAAAAAGAGCAAATTCTCTCTGACTCTACCTTTTTGTTTTGTTCAGGCCTTCAGTGGATTGGATGAGGCTCACCCATATTGGGGAGGACAATCTGCTTTATTCAGTCTACCAATTAAATGTTATCCTCATCCAGAATACCTCAGAGACACACCCAGAATAATGTGTAACCAAATATCTGGGCACCCCACAACCCAGTCAAATTGATACATACCGTTAACCATCATGTCTTGTTTCTACTCTCTCCCCATTACTGGATGGCCAAATCCTTCCCTTATTTCAAGGCTTAGTTCAAATGTTACCTCTTAACTATGCCTTCCCTGCTAACCCCAAATATTAATAGAATTGGTTTCCCCCTTCTCTGATATCTCAAAATATGTTGTGTGTTTCTCTTTTACTGTATTTATTACAAACTCCCTTATAAATGAAGACAGTGATTCCCAGACAAATTATCACAAGAGTATAAAAGAAGTCTTCTTTGAGTGTGAAATATCTCATGGAATATAGCACATGGCCTCATCATGAAGAAACTACTGGGAGAGAAAAAGACAAGCTGGAAGAGGCCAGGGAGAGGGGGTCAGTACAAAGCACAATGAGGCTGGGCTCATACAGTTGCTCACACCTGTAATCCTAGCACTTTGGGAGGCCAAGGCCAGTGGATCACGAGATCAGGAGATCGAGACCATCCTGGCTAACATAGTGAAATCCCGTCTCTACTAAAAATACAAAAAAGTTAGCCAGGCATGGAGGTAGGCCCCTGTAGTCCCAGCTACTCGGGAGGCTGAGGCAGGAGAATGGTGTGAACCCGGCAGGCAGAGCTTGCAGTGAGCCAAGATCGCACCACTGCACTCAAGCCTGGGTGACAGAGCAAGACTCCATGTCAAAAAAAAAAAAAAAAAAAAAAAAAAAAAAAGCCCAGTGAAATGTCAGTGGATGGGTGCCTATAATTTCTAAGGGAAATAGAGTATAATCCAAGAATTTTATAGCCAGCTAAATTATTGCCCAATCAAAATAGGCAATAGACACTATCACAAGTTCAAGAACTTAAAGAATACAGTATTTCTGAGCTCTTTAAAAAAAAAAAGTCTTCATAATAAAATTTAGTCAGCCAAGAAATTAAAAAATAAGCAACTTGTGAATTGAATGACCATGACAAAAGGCTAGTGATGAGAGGTGAATCCATTTAAAAATAGGACTATGAGTGCAGAACAGAAAGAAAAGGTGGCCCACCTTAACAACACAAAACAACCTAGAAATCACTAGTTTCCAGAGGTAAAGGGAGGGACTGTAGGAAGTAGAAGTGCTAATGCCCTTTATTTAGTCAATTAATCAGGTGTAAAATTGAAACGTGGTTTTAAATATATAACTTCTTGTTTATTTTCCTCCCTAACTACCTGAGGATCAACCACCATGATGAATGACACAGCAACTATCTGGACCAGGAAGTTCATGACCAATCGACCGCTCCAGAGGAAACAAATGGTCACCAATGTCCTTCACCCCAGAAAGGCAACAAAATGTACAAGACCACAATGGATGTCATCTTCATGTTAACAGTTGGACTCAGAACCCATGTTGGTGGTGGTTAAACAATCGTCATCCACATTGGAGTGCAGTGGTACGATCTCAGCTCACCAAATCTCTGCCTCCCAGGCTTAAGCAATTCTCCTTCCTCAGCCTCCCACGTAGCTGGGATTACAGGCAAGCACCACTACTGCCTGGCTAATTTTTATATTTTTAGTAGAGATGGGGTTTCACCTTGTTGGCCAGGCTGGTCTTGAACTCCTGACCTCAAATGATCCACCCGCCTTGGCCTCCCAAAGTGCTAAGATTACAGGCATGAGCCACCGTGCCCAGCCTTTTCTGTATTAAATTTTTAAAAACACAACATTTAAAATAATCAAGTCATTCTTTTTCAATCTACTTTGTATTATAGGTATTCAAATACTCACCTATTCTCTCTCACATGATGACAAACTCGTTGAAATGTCATGTCATTTTGTGGCTCCAGCCCCAGGGATTCTGACTCTGATTCTAAAGGGCCTGCATGCAGACCGAGCAAGCCCCCTGGATGCTTCTCTTACAGGTGTTTTAAGGGCAGCAGTTTGAGACACCCTGATGCAAAAGAACGAACCCTCAAGGAAGTTGGCTGTACATGTATTTTCCTTCCTAGCACAGGAAACGACAGAAAGATTATCCAATCAGTACCACTCATAGCACCTGATTATATGTGTATGAGGAATTCAGAAATGGTTTGATCAAGGTTCAAGACCTAAAAAGAAGCTTTTCTCTCGGCCACCAAATCCCCATCTCATGCGTGGTTGAGTTAGTAGAAACTGAGGATGATGCTTCTTCCTCCAGCATTGGTATCCTATGGATTTTGTTGTTCAGTAAATGAAGTAACTCCATCCCCCAACATCCTCAAGCTCAATTCCAGTTTTCTCACGTACACTTTTTTTTTTTTTTTTTTTGAGACAGAGTCTCGCTCTGTCACCCAGGCTGGAATGCTGTGCAGAGGTGCAACCTCAGCTCACTGCAACCTCCACCTCCCAGGTTCAAGTGACTCTCCTGCCTCGGCCTCCTGAATAGCTGGCATTACAGGCATGCACCATCATGCCTGGCTAATTTTTGTATTTTTTAGTAGAGATGAGGTTTCATCATGTAGTCCAGGCTTTTCTCAAACTCTCAGCCTCAAGTGATCCACCTACCTCAGCCTCCCTAGTGCTAAGATTACAGGTGTGAGCCACCGTGCCCAGCCCCCTCACGTACACTTTTACAGAAGATCTGATCATACCCACTCTGAAGAAGTCAGAATGGCCCCCACGTGGTGTTAAACGGGAGTGAAAACTTGAGTTCAATCAACTGAGGGTGACACAGAAACATTTCCCCCAAAACGCTTTTGGCAG
Organism: Homo sapiens; assembly: GCF_000001405.40. Lineage (NCBI taxonomy): Eukaryota > Metazoa > Chordata > Mammalia > Primates > Hominidae > Homo > Homo sapiens. The sequence goes on along the minus strand of NC_000008.11, from coordinate 8,085,269 downwards.
CTCTGCTGATCCATAACCTGGCTCCATTTCAGGGCAAGACCTCCACTTAAGCTGCACTGCCTTCCACTAGAGTAAATCACATTAACTCATGGCAAACACAACTGAAGGGCAAAAAGTTTCTTTTTAAAATGATTTTTGTCTCTCACTTACCAACACACGCTGGCCTCCCTACAGCCTGACTCCATTCAGCACCTGTTCCACTGAGCACCCACTGAAAGCTCAGCTCATGAGCTGAGATGACCCAGACATCAAGGAGTTTACAATCCAGGGGAAGAACAGACCTGAATACAAGTGATGACAATACAAGACAGAGTCAAAGAGCCCAACTTGAAGTATCAGCAGAATAGCACCAAAGACTAGTTCCCAACCCAGCTCCCAGCGCCAGAGCCAGAGCCAGGCTGGCTGCATGAGATCAGCTGGGAGCTTTTGCAAACCTAGGTCCTAGCTAAGCCCCTAATCATCAGACTGGCAGTCACTGGGAGTGAGCTTCAGGAACTGGTTTATTTAATAAGCACCCACACACACATGATTCTGATGTTCCTAAGGGTTGTAGAAACATGGAAGTATAGAAAACACTAAAAAAAAAAGGCACTAAAAGAAACCTATAAATATTCACTACCATTCCAGGCATCATGAGGACACTCCACGTGCACTCTTTACAATACTTAGAATAACCTGCAAGGGAAGCATTCATTCATGACGATGGGCTTTAGTGAGATCAGAGCCAGCCCTGGGAATGTTTGAACCTGCGCTGAAAGTCACCCCCTCCTCCCAACAGGAGGGGGCTAACATTAAGGAGCAGGGGCCAGATAGGAAATGGAGTGTCCTTTTATTATGAGACCACAGTGACAGACTTTATTTTTTTTTTCCAGAGTCTCGTTCTTTCCACCCAGGCTGGCCTCCAGTGGTGCAATCTCAGCTCACTGCAACTTCCGCCTCCCGGGTTCAAGTGATTCTCCTGCCTCAGCCTCCCGAGTAGCTGGGACTATAGGCACCCGCCACCACACCTGGCTAATTTTTGTATTTTTAACAGAGACAGGGTTTCACCATGTTGGTCAGGATGGTCTTGATCTCTTGACCTTATGATCCGCCTACCTTGGCCTCCCAAAGTGCTGGGATTACAGATGTGAACCACCACGCCTAGCGTCAGACTTTCAAGTAAAGCCACAATGGACCACAGAACTTAGACATCAGGGCTAACATGGAATCTCTGTCATTAAATCTTGAGATCTTACTATCTTTGGTCAAAGAAAAAAATAATCACAATTGACATTTTGAGGACAAGACATCTGAATGTAAACTTGATCTTAGAGGATATTAAGGAATTACTGCTAATTTGATTAGGTATGACAATGATCATATAAAAAATGCCCTCATGTTTTTAGAGGGAAAGTAAATTATGTAGGGGTGAATATCAGGATGCAATTAAATAACTACTGTAAACTATTTTGTAAATACTTCAGAAAAACAAATGGAGTAAATATTGCAAATGTTAATAGTTTTTAAATCTATGTGATGGGTATATGATAGCTCATTAAACTGGTGTCTCTACTTTTATGTTTATTGAAAAGTTTTCGTAATAACAATAAAAAAAAAAAAAAAAAACCTCGGCCAGGCACAGCAGCTCATGCCTGTAATCTCAGCACTTTGGGAGGCTGAGGTGGATGGAGGACTGCTTGAGCCCAGCAGTTTGAGACCAGCCTAGGCAACATGGTGAAACCTCATCTCTACAAAAAATAGACAAATTAGTCAGGCATGGTGGTGTGCACCTGCAGTCCCAGCTACTCAGGAGGTTGAGGTGGGAGGATCACCCGAGCCCAGAAGGTCAAGGCTGCAGTGAGCCAAGGTCACGCCACTGCACTTCAGCCTGGGCGACAGACCCTGTCTCAAACAAACAAGCAAGCAAACAAAAACCGTCTTGATCCCATTTCCCAAAAAAATCATTTTTTTGAGATCTTACCATCTCCTGGCTTGGTGCAGAGTACAGGAAATCAAGACAAAGTACAGCACACAAGGAATAAGGAGGGAGGGAAGCATGGGGGAGGCTGACACCGTGGACTCTCCCAGCTCAGTCGACCCATGCGTCTTGCTTCATGGAAGAAAGGAATGGAAGATGAATCATGCCTTCAGCACACAGTGACCTTCCTCACTAGTAAATGTGCCTCCAGAAGTGTCCAAGAACTCAGTGCCAGAGCCAGGCTGGCTGCATGAGAATCACCTGCGAGTTTTTGCAAACATAGACCCCTACTGGCTCCAAATGTATTCATCTCTTGGAGAGGAGGAGAGAGGCAGAACAAGGAAAAGGATGGGAAGAAACCAGCCTTGTGCACAGGAGGATGCTGGGATTCCTCCTGCAAGTTTAGCGCAATGCAGCCTATTTTACAAGGTCACAGAAGCTCAGAGATGTAAACCTGCCCAGGTTCTCATAGCTTGTAAGTGGCAAAACCCGCCCAAGTCTCTGTCTCTAGAGATATTTCCACTTGCTTCAACTCTGGAGCTGTCTTAGTTGTAAAGATGACAGATTCCACTCCTCACTCACTTTTGTTAGCAGATATTGCCTAAGGTCCCTTGTGAATATTTAGGTCAGGGCTTTTTTTTTTTTGAGTTTTTTGTTTGTTTGTTTGTTTTTATAAAAGCAATCTTGTAGAAAGAACCCAAAGTGGCTCCCCGTTTTAAGACCCTGCAAACAGAGAGACCAGAGTATGGAGTCTTGGTCTGATTTCCACACCTTCCTTAGATTTCCCTGTGTGTAAAATCCAACAACAATCTTTGACAAATTGCCTCCCCCAGGGGAGAGATGGAGGAAGTGTTAACTTTGCTTTTTTTTTTCTTTTTTCAGACAGAGCCTCACTCTGTTTCCCAGGCTGCAGTGCAGTGGTGCAATTTTGGCTCACTGCAACCTCTGCCTCCTGAGCTCAAATGATTCTTGTGCCTCAGCCTCCCGAGTAGCTGGGACTACAGGCAGATGCCACCACACCTGGCTAATTTTTGTATTTTTAGTAGAGATGTGGTTTCGCATATTGGCCAGGCTGGTATCGAACTCCTGGCCTCAAATGATCCACCCTCCTCAGCCTCTCAAAGTGCTAGAACTACTATAGGCATGAGCCACCATGCCCAGCCACTTTGCTATTTTTTTAATAGACAGCTTCGAGGTCCAGTATGATTTCACAGATTAGGAAACATCACAGGCAAAGAAGAACACTTTGCACTCAAATAGTAGAATGTTTTCATTTTCAAAGAGCTCTCACCTGCCATCTAATCTTGTCTTCCTAGCAGTCCTGGGAGAGAAGTAGATGTGGTTTCCAATCCCACTTTCCAAAAGAGGAGACTGAGGCAGAGGCTTTGCAGATACACAGAGGACATGTGAGGACAGGTGAAGGTCATGATCATTGTCAGCGCCCTCCCCCAACTTGACATTCCCAGACCTAGTGGACTTCCAAACACAGGAGACAGAAGAACTGATCAATCAATTCTGCCATGGGTGCCAGGACCCAATTTTTCCCTGGCTAACTCGGTCACATCCTGTCTGGGATCTCCAACTATTATCCATCCCACAAGTCTCAGCTAAAACAGGAATTCAACGGGGAACATTTTTCTGAGGCTCCAGGATTGGGCTAGGCCCTCTCCATGGCTCTCTGACCTTCCCCTACTGCAGAACGTAGCACCTGTATGTCACTATTTGTTCAAACATGTGTCTTTCATATGCTCTCCATGTTGTCTGCAGCATCTGCCAAGAATAATAATGAATGGTAAAACCTAATTTCTATTGAGTGCCGATGATGCACTTTTAATGTGACATCTTATTTAATCCTCACTATATCTGCAAAAGTAGAAGGTATTAATAGCCAATTTTCAGATAAGAAAGTCAAAGCACAGTTTCTATAACTTACCCAAGCAGCTAACTAGGAGGCAGCTCAGTTTGAGCCCAGGGAATCATATTCCAGAGACCATGTTCTCCATTACTAGAGCAGGTACCTCCCCAGAATCTAGCAGGTGGTTAACGAGTCTTTGTGGCATAAATGAACAGAAGGACAACAGATGGATGGATACATAGGAGGATGGATGGATAATGGGTGGGTGGGCAGGTGGACGAATGAATGGATGGTTGAGTCAGTGAAGTGATGGCTGAGTGGGTGGAGAAATGGATGAGTGGGTGAGGGGTTGAAGGGATAAATGGATGGATGGGTGGGTGGATAGATGGTTAGATGAGTGAATGGGTGGATAGATGCATGGGTGAGCGGATGGACAGATGGGTTGGTGGGTGGGTAGGTGGATGATAGCTGGGTGCATAAGACAGTGGGTTGGATGGATAGATGGGTGGGTGGGTAGATAGATGGGTGGGTGGTTGGATGTATGCATCTCTGGATGGATGGATGGATGGATGGACGGATGGAAGGAAGGAAGGGTGGATGGATGGATGGACAGATGAACAGATGGACTTGGGCATTTATTCGGGGTCCTCCAAAGAATTGAGTGATTTCCCTAGGGTGTCTCATCACCTGCAGGTAGGTGGGCAAGGGGGCTTGCCTCTGTAATACTCATGATTATAGGTAGTGCTCAGCCTTAGTCACCACTCTCAGAACACTTTATTGACTAGGAAAGTCAAAACTGGCATTGATAACTAATGCAAATTGCAGCTATAACTAACAGAAGATGTTGAGCTGATGACAGCTGGGCAACCAATAATCAATAACTTGGCTGTGTCATATTACTGTCATGCTGGGCAGGTAGAGCCACGGATTCCTTCATCCCTCCATCACATTGAGGATGCTTATCAAGACTTCCCCAACAATGGGGACAGGGATATTATCAAATACTTGCAGTTCACCCCAAAATGCTCACCCTCTTCGTTCCACCTGCACATGACCTTCAGCTCAAAGACATTTCCAGTCCTCCAGGTCAGCCCTTCTTCCAGCCTTTGAATTAACCCTGATGACGGCCTGCCCATTAGGTGTCTTCAGCTTTCATCACACAGCCTTTTCCAAGGCTCTCCCTCAGTCCAGCCCTCACTAAACGCTGGAACTGTTGTTGACAAAATCCAGAACAAGCTGGGTGGGGGATGCAGTTGGGAAGCAGACTGTAGTAATGGGGAAAAATTCTAAGCAATCTCGATCACAGAAAAGAAACTGAACAGGTAAGAGAGAGGCAGTCAAGAGAACAAGTGTGAATTTTGCATAACTGAAGCTGAAGAAGATCGGGGGGCATGGTAGACCACAAGATAAATATGATATAGCCTCCTTTTTAAAAAAGTATAAACATCCACCCTTTCCTACTGACAACTGTGCTTCAAATATTGCTAAGGTCTTTACTAAGGGTGAGTCAGAAAAACTGGGTATTTTATGCAATACAGTAAGAAGGCCCATAGGCAAGTATGTTCCTGACAACACCTTCTAGGATAAGCCCTGAGATTCTAGTTACACCTATCCTAAAGTTGTCTCTCACTCCTGCTGTTGGAGAGCTACCATGAGAGAAGAACCATAGTAAAGTGGTTAAGAGTGTGCACCCAGCGACTGGCCAGATGGCTACAAACCATCACTATCTAATACCGAGCAAGTTACATAATGTTCCCAAGCCTCAACTTTCTCATCTGTAAAATGGGTATGTTGTCATTCATTAATCAAATTCTAGGTGAGCATATACTAAACACCAGAGACACAAATGAGAATCAGAACAGGCATGTCCCTGGCCCTTATGGTGACCACAGTCTTGAAGGGGAAGGATGACACGCACAGAAATAGGAAGCCATAGCTGAGCTAGTGTCTACCACAGAGAGGCACCTGGTGTCATGAAAGCAGATAACAGGGGGTTACTGGGACTGAGTCAGTGTGGCCAGACGTCCCTGAGGATGTAGTGACTCCACTGTCAGATGAGACCGTGACCAGGTGAAGAAGCAGGGAGAGGGAAAATTTTTCCAGGCGGAAAGAGCAGGATGTGCAAAGACCCTGTGGCAGGAAAAGAACAAAGGAAGTGCAAGAGCCTGAAAGAGGCCAGAGAGAGCAAGTGAAAATGTGGATAATCACAGCACCGACCTCATACAGGACTTGCAAGAAATCGAGACCCTGTCTGTAACAGATTCAGCAATGACTAAATAGAAACTATCTCCTAAAAGCACACGATGAGGCTCCTTGGTGGTATTTCCCACTTGAGGCTGCCATGCACTCAGAGGCCAAGTTCAACCTGTCTGTAGACAACCTCCAAGCCAGCTGGACACACATACACCCTCAGGCTCAGGATACCCAGGACAGAGTCCTGGATGCTTGAAGTCATGATAACTATCCAGAATGACACAGAATTCCAGCCAGGCGTGGTGGCTCATGCCTGTAATCCCAGCACTTTGGGGGCCGAGGTGGATCACCTGAGGTCAGGAGTTCAAGACCAACCTGGCCAACATGGTGAAACTCCCTCTCTACTAAAAATACAAAAAAAAAAAAAAAAAAAAAAAAATTAGCTGGGTGTGGTTGTGGGTGCCTGTAGTCCCAGCTACTCAGGAGGCTGAGGCAGGAGAATCGCTTGAACCAAGGAGGCAGAGACTGCAGTGAACTGAGATTGCATCATTGCACTCCAGCCTGGGCAACAAAAGTGAATCTCCGTCTCAAAAAAGAAAAAAAAAAAAATGACATCGAATTTGCTAAAGGGGGAGAAAGGGCTTTCTTCCAAAGCTGGGCCTGGTTTCTACAAAGAGTCTTTCACATGAAAATTAGGCAGCTCTTTGCAAGCACCTCAGAGGAGAACCCCTCACCCTGATGAATCAGGCACAGGGGCGGATCCAAGACAACTGGCTGCGTGCATGTGAACAAGTCTATGGTGGAAATGCAGTGCTTTATTTGTTTGTGGTGGTTTAATCACCAGGAGGGAGAAGCTTCTAAAGCAGCATTCAGAGGTGGCTGTTGCCTGGGTTTTCTGGAAGCGGGAGGCGGTGAGGATGAGGGCTTTCCTTTCATCTGCAGGCCCCTTGCAGAAGGAGCTGGGGAAAGCTTTGCAACCCTCTGCACACTGTTTGCCATCTTGTCTGGCTGGGACGCCGAGCTCCAGATGGGGGCAGATGGGATAGCTCTTGCCACCGTATTTGGAGAGAGATGGCAGGGAAGTCAGCCCCCGTGGAGAAGACAGGAGCAGGCACGTGCTGGACAGTGCTGCCCAGGCCCCTGGGGCTGAAGTGTCCAACCCCACAGCCTCTAGGTGCCACTAAAGCAGCCCAAGAGGACCTTCTCTGTCCATCTCCATCCTGACACCTACAGACACTTGGAGAGAGTCCTTCACATGGGAACTCACAAATGCACACTGATAACCCCCACACGGAACTCTCATACGTAGCAAGTGAAAAGACAGGATGCCAGCTTAACTTGAATTTCAGATAAACAACAAATCATTTTTTAGGGTAAGCAGGTCCCAAATATTGCATGGGATATATTTGCACCAAAAAAAAAAAAAAAAAAAAAAAAAGGTTAATGAGAAGTTCAGGTTTAATTGGACCTCCTGTATTTTACCTGGCAAGCCTAACCCTGCATAAACACAACCTCGAGCTTGAAACTCACAGAGAAGCCACGGCCGTGCTCACACACGTGCACAAACCCATATGCCTTACAGAGTCAAGGGCTGTGATGAGGGTCCCCACCCTTGCACACTTCTCTGTCCTCTGTCTGGGCTCAGAGTAAACAGGGGGTCACCTGGAATCCAGGTCTAAGCTGGGCTTGGAGGTGTCCTAATGAAGCAGGATGCTGACATGCACTTCCCCAGGTCAGCTGGGGCTGTAGCCAGGCCTAGCTTCCAGTCTCGGGCCTAGAACACACAGCACAGCCCCAGACCTTGGCAAGAAGGCTTCATCTCAAGGGCCACTGGTGCAGGAACTATTAGAAGCCCCACTTCTTTCCTCTGTTTCTGCTGCCATTGCCCCAGTCTCTGACCCTGCCACTCAATCACTCTATAAACACAGCAGGTACTAGGGGTGGCTCTGGGCTCAGCACTAAAGACACTGACCCTGGTAAAGCCACAGTCTAGCAATGACAGTCAACCACGTATCAGCAACAGCCCTGCCCCACACGTGCTGACTGCGCACAAGGCCGGCGCTGTGAACGTGCTCTCAACAGTGATCTCACTGAACCCTCATGGCAGCTCTAGGATGCAGACAGTAGCATCACATTATCCCCATTTTACTTTTGAGGAAACTGAGGCCTGAAGAAGGCAAATGCAGGCCTCGAGATTTGCAGTAACATTGCCAGGAATGTTTGAGAAAGCAAACTTCTCCAGAGTGAGGCAGTCTGCCAGAGCTCAGAAGCCAGAGTCCCTGTTAGCAGGGGCTGGGGGCACTGTGGGGTGGAGGCAGACAAGCAGGTAGGGGCTGGAACCCCCAGGACACCAGGGTGCAAACTGGTGTGAGTAAAAGAAAGAGGGGCTGTCATGCCATCATCTGCAGAAGATGATGTCTACAGAGGACAGTACCATGTGAGCCCTTGGGAAGCTGGATGACCGGATGGAGTTTTGCACAGGATGCAAATTGAGCACAGATCCCCCTCTGACCTAGACAGCCCACTTCCAGGAACATCTCACAGAAATGCAGGCACAGAGCACCAAGTGATGTGTGTAAGGAAATTCATCAGAACACCGTCTGTGACTGGGAAAAGGCGGAAACCCTCCAAAGACGTATCGGTGCAGGGCTGGTTAAACGAAGCGTGGTGCATCCACAGGTCAGAATAACTGCAGGGAGAAGAAGGTGGTACCCAGGTTCCAACGTGAGACAATGTCAAAGACATGCTGCCTGAAAAGCAGGCTTTCCAAAGAATAAATATAGCATTATTGCATTTTTACTTTTTTAAAAATATTACAATAAATACTTATGTGCAAATACATGTGCTTGTGTGCACAGAGGAAAAAGCTGTGGACAGAAACAGAAAACCAAACACGGTGTGTTCTCACTCATAAGTGGGAGTTGAACAATGAGAACACATGGACACAGGGAGGGGAACATCACACACCGGGGCCCATCGAGGGTGGGGGACAAGGCGAGGGAGAGCGTTAGGACAAATACCTAATGCATGCGGGGCTTAAAACCTAGTTGACGGGTTGATAGATGCAGCAAACCACCATGACACATGTATATCTATGTAAGAAACCTGCACATTCTGCACATGTATCTCAGAACGTAGAATAAAAAATAAAAAGAAATCAAAGAAAAAGGTGGGGAGAGGTATAACCCAACCCTTCCCAGTGTTACCTCTGAGATGCAAGATCAAGAAAAGCAAATCAAGAGGTAGTTTTGCTTTCTGTTTTCTATATAAATTTTTTTTTTTTTTTTTTTTTTTTCTGGAGACATAGTCTCGCTCTATTGCCCAGTCTGGAGTCCAGGGACACAATCTCGGCTCACTGCAACCTCCTCCTCACCACAACCTCCTCCTCACTACAACCTCCTCCTCAGTGCAACCTCCTCCTCACTGCGACCTCCTCCTCACTGCGACCTCCTCCTCACTGCGACCTCCTCCTCACTGCAACCTCCTCCTCACTGCAACCTCCTACTCACTGCAACCTGCTCCTCACTGCAACCTCCTCCTCACTGCAACCTCCTCCTTACTGCGACCTCCTCCTCACTGCAACCTCCTCCTTACTGCGACCTCCTCCTCACTGCAACCTCCTCCTCACTGCAACCTGCTCTTCACTACAACCTCCTCCTCACTGCAACCTCCTCCTCATTGCAACCTGCTCCTCACTGCAACCTGCTCCTTCTGGGTTCAAGGGATTCTCTTGCCTCAGCCTCCCAAATAACTAGGATTACAGGCATGCACCACCAAGCCCGACTAACTTTTGTATTTTTTGTAGATACAGGGTTTCACTATTTTGGCCACCTGGTCTCAAACTCCTGGCCTGCCCACCTTAGCCTCCAAAAGTCCTGGGATTACAGGTGTGAGCCACCACGCCTGGCCTGCATTGCTTGAATTCTCAGACCACATGGACCCTCTCATCTGGCCCAATTGCAAGAGTCCAAGGCAGGAAAGGCAGAAGGCAGGGGCTTACCCCTCCATCAGGACAACATAGAACAGAGTCAAAAAAGGAAAACATGAATGGATCAGTCAAGAGGGCCGTGCACATGCCCTCCCAGGCACCTACATCTTGCAACTTAAGCCGACAGCCTTTCAAGCCACAGAGTCTTCCTCCCCAGAGACTAGCAAGGACACAAGCCCTGGCCAGGCCCTTCCAGGAAGATGTTCTGAGGGACAAGGTGGGGGGCACAGTCAGGGGTGGCAGGAGGAAAGGGGGACACGAAGCCAAGGAAACCAGGGCACCCCATGCTTCCTGAAGGCAACTAGAACAGGGCGCCACACAGAGCCCCTGTGTACCTGTTTCTACAACAGCCTGAATACAAGGAAAAGGAAAACAAGGAAAATACACAAAGCCCAGCCTCACCAGGAGCAGGTTAAATAAAGGTGTGTGAATTTTCCTCATGTCCTTTGGAATTGGAAATCCAAGCTTCCTCTTCTGTGCCTTTAAGGTCCTGGCCGCTGCCGCACAGCTCCCTTCTCTTCCCTCCTCCTCCTGTCCTATTTTTTTTTTTTTTTTTTTTTGAGATGGAATCTTGCTCTGTTGCCCAGGCTGGAGTACAGTGGCACAATCTCAGCTCACTACAACCTCCACCTTCCGGGTTCAAGCAATTCTCGTGGCTCAGCTTCCCGAGTAGCTGGGATTATAGGTGTCACCATGTCCGGCTAATTATTGTATTTTTAGTAGAGACAGGTTTTCACCATATTGGCCAGTCTGGTCTCAAACTCCTGGCCTCAGGTGATCCGCCCACCTCGGCCTCCCAAAGTGCTGGGATTACAGATGTGAGCCACCATGCCCGACCCTCTTGTCCTAACTCTGCCATCTCTTTGCAGTCTCCCCTGAGCAGCTTTTCCTGGGCCCGCACTGCCCCCCTCCAGAGCTGCACTCTCAAACCACCCCCAATGCCCCCTGGCCCTGGCTCCTGCCCCGGGGCTCTGATCCTCAGCTGGTGAGGTCTAGAGGGTCAGAGGGAGCCAGACTCCTTAGAGAAGCTAAGGCGGGAGACCTGTGCTGGGCTGTGGTTAAACTGCCCCCTTCCAGCTGGGGCCGAATAGAAAGTGAAAGACTGCCCCCAGAATACAGGGCCCTCAGAGGCCCTGGGGATCTGTGCTGGCAGTCAGGAGGACTGTCACCTCAGTGCAGTTGCCTGCAAGGAGGGCTGTGCAGGAAGCTGCATGTTGCTCAGAGAACAAAAAAAGGAAATTAAATGCACCATCTCCTTATTAGCATGAGCTTTTGAGGCAGACACTTAAATATGCATGCCTAGACATTGTAAAACTTGGGGGAAATGTTAATTTCAATAACGCCACTTCTTGTGCTTGCAGAAACCATTCTTTTATCTCCCTTCCTAGTCATTTGCGGGCTCCATCCCTCAGAGTGGCAGCGCCAAGACAGCCGGCCTCACTGGGTTTTGTAAGCTGTGCAAGGTGAGATCCCAAGCCCTGGCCTCGAGACCCATCTTAGGAAAATGTTAGAACAGGGCAACAAGTTGCCATTTCCTCCCTCCTTTCTCTTCCCCATACAAAAATCAGAAAGCACCCTTGCCCAGTGCCCAGCCACAGTGAGGAAGAAACCCCACACAAAATCCTGGGTTGTGCCCCTGATACCAAAGACCTGCAAAATTGGGCCTCACCTGCTGCAACCTCAGCCCAGACTTGTGTACATTTCAAGGGTGGCTGGACTCATGGCCGCCTGGGACGTCAGAGTGGTACGAAGTCCTCTTAACCTAAGACTGTCGGGGTACAAGGATCAGCATTTTTTTCCTTTCTCTCCAGGGCCAGATGGTAAATAGTTCAGCTTTGCAGGCCATAGGTCTCTGTCCCAAATATTCAACTCTCCATTGTAGCAGGAAAGCAGCCACAGACAATAGGCACTGAAATGGGTGTGGCTGTGTTCCAATAAAACTTTATTTGTGTGAACAGGCAGGGGGCTGGTTCTGGCCTGTGGGCTATAGCCTGCCTCCTCTGCTACAGGGTGATCTCCAAGGACCCATCCATCTTGTAGACCAGCAGCTGGCACACAGGAGCTGCTCAGATACTTGAAGGAGGAATGGAGAAGGCAAACAGCCCCCAGTGTGCAGATGTGAGGGTCTCCCAGCGGCACCATCCTTTGCCATCTCATGCCAAGGGACAAAGCCAGAGCAGGGCTCTCCACCAAGGCTGGGTTCTCCTCCAAGGAAATGTGATAACAGGACAGAAAGCATCGTGGAAGGATAGGGGCTTTGGAGTCCCACAAACCACAGTTTGCAAGACCAGGAGCATCCTGCACTTCCTTGCACACATCCTGGGTGGGTACTGGAGCATCTAGACTTAGAGTGAATCTTCTCCCCATCCTCCCCCAACTGGCCTCCATTAAACTTCCAGCAACAATGTGGTGTATGTACACAATGTAATACTATTCAGCCTTCAAAAAGAAGGAAATCCTGCCATTTGAGACAACGTGGATGAGCCTGGAGGATATTATGTTAAGTGAAATAAGCCAGGCACAGAACGACAAATACCACATGATCTCACTTACATGTGGAATCTAAAAAAGTTGAACTCGGCCAGGCATGGTGGCTCACGCCTGTAATCACAGCACTTTGGGAGGCTGAGACCAGCAGATTGCTTGAGCCCAGGAGTTCGAGACCAGCCTGCATAACATAGCAATACCCCATCTCTACAAAAAATACAAAAATTAGTGGAGCATGGTAGTGCATGCCTGTACTCCCAGATACTCAGGAGGCTGAGGTGGAAGGATTGATTGAACTTGGGACCTCAAGGCTGCAGTGAGCCATGATCACAACCCTGCACTACAGCCTGGGCAATAGAAGGAGATTTTCTCAAAAAAAAGAAAAAAAAAAAAGAGAAGAAAAAAGTTGAATTCACAGAAGCAGAATAGAATGATGGTTGCCAGGGTGGGGAAGTGGGCAGATGCCAAAGGACACAGAATGTCATTTTTAGAGAAGAATAAGTTCAGGAGATCCATGGGACAACAAGGTACCTATAGTTAATAACAACATATCATACACTTGGAAATCACTAAGAGAGTAGATTGTTTAAGTGTTCTCACCCCTAAAAGTAAGTCTGGGAGGTGATATGTTATTTAGCTTGATTTAGCCATTTCATAATGTATACATACCTCAATCACATCATGTTGTATACCCTCTTGTACATAATTTTTGCCAATTCAATAAATTCAACAACTCCAAAAAACAAGACATTCTCTTTACAAAAATAATTATTAAAAATAAAATTCAGAATTCTATTTTATTTATTTATTTATTTTTGAAACAGAGTCTCGCTCTGTCACCCAGGCTGGCTGAAGTACAGTGGTTCAATCTCGGCTGACTGCAACCTCTGTCTCCCAGGTGCAAACGATTCTCCTGCCTCAGCCTCCCAAGTAGCTGGGATTGCAGGTGTGTGCCATCACACCTGGCTAATTTCTGTATTTTTAGTAGAGACAGTTTTGCCATGTTGACCAGGCTGGTCTCGAACTCCTGACCTTAGGTGATCCGCCAGCCTCGGCCTCCCAAAGTGCTGGGATTACAGGTGTGAACCACTGCACCTGGACAGAATATAAAAGATTGTTTAATTCAACTAAAACATTAAAACACAGATTATTTCTATAAGTGGTAATTGTTCTAACATGTTTTGGTCAAAATAGTCTCCTTACTTATCCACAATTAAATGGTTAATTGATATTTGATTGGATTTTTATAAAGTTTTCAAATCATGATTGACTTTTCCAATGTACAGTAAAATGTGTTTGAAAATATTGCATAAAAATTAATATTTAAAAATGGTCAGGCATGGTGGCTCATGTCTGTAATCCCAGCACTTTGGGAGGCCAAGGTGGGCCGATCACTTGAGGTCAGGAGTTTGAGACCAGCCTGGTCAAACCTCATCTCTACTAAGAATACAAAAGTTAGTCAGGCATGGTGGCACGCACCTGCATTCCCAGCTACTTGGGAAACTGAGGCAGGAGAATCGCTTGAACCTGGGAGGTGGGCTCCCCAGGCTTAAAGCAAAACCCCCATCTTGTCTGTCTCCACTCTCATCCCAGGCAATCGCCGTCATTTCCACAGCCTCAACCACTGTCTACCTGGGATGCCTCCCAAGCCCGGGTCGCCAGCCCAAACCTGCCTTCCTAGCCCCAGACCCATCTGTCCTGGCACACATTGCCCCCTGGGTCCCCAGCAACCTCAGCCAATGAGACCAATGCCAACTTCCTGTCCTTGCCTGACACTGTCAGCCCTGAGATCAGACTTGACCATTCACCTCCAGTACCTGATAGGTCCGTCAGTCCTTTGGAACATATCCCACGAACATTCCCCAAACCAGGCACCGGACTCCACACATCAACACCGTCACGTGAGTCACCAGCATCCCTGGCAGGGACCCCTGTCCCAGCCTCCAACTCATCTCCTTCCTGTCCCTTGAGTTCTGTGTCACATTCCAGAGGCCACAAGAAGAAAAATGACCACCTTAATGAAATTAAAAGAATTGAGAAGACATTTCTCTATGGTCCAAAATCTTTCCAACTGAGAAACACATATCAGGATCCAGCCTGCTGGCCCTGTGGTTAAATGTTCCTGAAATAATTAAAGCCCAGGGCAACACAGCCCCCACTCCACAAGTACTCCCAGCACAGTAAGACTTGCTTCTCTACAGGGGCTTGAAATGTCCAGTGTGTACCCTGCCCCTCTCTGTCGTAGCTAACAGGAATGTGCTCCGTGTCTTCTTCCTGCTCAAAGGACCGTCCACCAACCTGCGCAGGCAGCACTTTCGGCAAGGGGAGGATGGGAGAACATCCTACCATTTCCCACTTACTCACTGCATTCATCAGGAGCCTGCCTCACAAATTACAAGAGCGCCACGGCAGACCCACGATGTTCCAGCGGGTGGCCATGTCTTCATGTCAACTTGAAAGATCATCGCCAGGGAAATATCTATATCTCGGCAGAGAACTTCAGCCTGTGTAGTCCAGCTGTGCTCAAATGGAAATCCAAAAACCCAGATGTTGGTCAAAACACCCTGTCTCAGGGAGCTGGCTCTGCAGGTCCCCAGTGTGAGAGTGAACTGGGTGGGCCACCTGACCTGTCTACCCACATCCCGGCCTCCTGGAATCCTGGACCCTGAGAACCAGGGGGATGTGGTGGGGAGCAGGCAAGTCTTGTGCAGAAAGCCAAGATGCCACCCAAATCCACTCTGCAGTCTAGGAGGGCGATATTCTGGTCTGCACCACACCAGTGCACGAGGGGATGGAGGATGGAGTCTAGACAAGCCAAATGTAAAAATATATTGTCCAAGTATTTTGTGCTTTGTCTGTGTTACAATGCGATGACAAGCCCAGTGTGCTGGCTCACACCTGTGATCTCAGCAACTTGGGAGGCCGAGGCAGGCGGATCACCTGAGGTCAGAAGTTTGAGATCAGCCTGCCCAACATGGTGAAACCCCATCTCTACTAAAAATACAAAAATTAGCCAGGTGTGGTGGTGGGCACCTGTAATCCCAGCTACTCTGGAGGCTGAGGCAGGAGAATCACTTGAGCCCAGGACGTGGAGGTTGCAGTGAGCAGAGATCATGCCACTGTACTCCAGCCTGGGCAACAGAGTAAGACTCTGTCTTAAAAAAAAATTAAATAAATAAAGGCTATGCCCAGTATTTTCCATGTACTGTCTTATTATCTCAGTAAATCCCATATAACCTTCCTATGAAAGTGTATCTCATTTATCTCCATTTTATAGATGAGAAAACTGAGGCCCCTGGAGTAGTATTAATTTTCCAAGACAGCATTGCTCATAAAGGGTACAGCAGGGACCCAAGCTCGACACTCTCACCCTCAAACATTTCCACAAGTGTAGACCAATGGCTCTCAACTGTGGTGGTTTTCCTCACGTACCACTCCCTTGCCCCACAGCATTGAAACCATCTGGAGACATCTGGGGTAGCCATAGCTGGGAGGGTAGAATGGCACCTAGAGGATGGAGACCACAGATGCTGCTAACCGTCCTACAATACACAGGATGCCCCCCCACCACCACCACGAATGGTCTCACCCCAAATGTTGTGACTGTGCCAAAGCTGAGAAATCCAGGTTTCTCCTCAGCAAGAAGGAAAATACCTGCAACGTGGATGCACCTCTACAGGAGCCCCAGGCTGACAATAACCTTCCTGATCTGGTTTCAACCCTGGATGCTTTTACCTGGTGCGTCCATCAGGGATTTCAGGGACTCCAGTGAGTTATCACCCTCGAATGCTCGGTTCTGCCTGACAACCCAGAAATCTCTGCCAAGGTGCCTGGTCTTGGGGAAGGCTCAGCAAGCAGTTGAGGTTGACAACCAAATACCTAGGAGAGACTTTTCTCTGTCTCCAGAAGGAGCTGTGGGTCAGACACACCCTGAGATCATTCACAAGCGGTCAATAAAGGCTTGGGGAGGGGCAGATTTTCTAGGCCTTCTCAATGGGGTGGGTGTTTGTGGATACACAAGAAGCCTGTGAAACTTCTGATATTGGCAGGAAATCAATGCCCCCATCCTCCACCCCCACCCCCACCTCCCCACCATAAACACATGCCCTGCAGCAGGACTTGACACTCAGGGGCTCCTGGGGTCCCGATTTATCTGCTAAAACATCCTCTAGCCACCACCGAATAAAGCAACCCCTTGCCACCCAACCACAAGAGCACTGCCTGGGAGCCACTCTAAGGGACACCAAGTCACATTAAAACCTCAGCCATCCAGAGCACCAGGCCTGGTGATGAGAAAGAACATTTTATCCTTAAAAGCATCTGAATGCCCATGCTGCTTCTTGCAGAGAAAAGTCCAAAATAATCTGTTATTAAAGAACGAGGATGGTTTTGACATTTTTACCAAGCTAGTGGTCTACGCAGACAAAATCTCATAAAAGGGCACTCTGTTCTTCTTGATCCACTCAGACATGGCCTGTGAGTGAAGAAACGGGCTCTCCTCCTCAAAGAAATCACTGCTGATCCTCGTACCAGCCTGACACTGCTTCATGGGTTCTTCAAAGAGAGTATTCCCATAGGAACTAAAAGGGAAGAGGAATGTGTCTGGCGGGCATTGTGGGCAGCAGTGGGCTTTGGGCCAAATTTTAAGTTTGAAAATCAAGATTCCCTCTTTTCAAGGGGCCGCCGGACTGAGCAGATACAGGCACCGTGAAAAGAGCGTGCCATGTTCAGATTCAGGAAACAAGGATGGTTTCTGTTCAGTTCCTCCATCATCCTTCAGGTCATGCGATTCCCATTTCCCTCTGTGGACCAAACAATTCAGTGGGGTTTCTGCCTTTTAAACATTTCATTATCAACATATCATCCTTTTAGCCTCCAGAAAGCATTTTAACATGGAGATTCTGGCTTAAGACTTTTGTGGGTCTGTCTCTCTCTCTTTTCCTTGAAACGGTCTCACTTTGTCACCCAGGCTGGAGTGCAGTGGCATGATCACAGCTCACTGCAGCCTGACCTTCTAGGCTCTAGCAATCCTCCCACCTCAGCCTCCCAAGTACTTGAGACTGCAGGCACTCACCACCATAACTGCCTTTTTTTTTTTTTTTTTTTTTTTTTTTTTTTTTTTTTTTTTTTTTTTTTGGTAGATATGAGGCTTCACCATGTTGCCCAGGCTGGTCTTAAACTCCTGGGCTCAAGTGATCCCCCCCTTTCGGCCTCTCAAAGTGCTGGGATTATTGGCTTCAGCCACCATGCCCAGCCAAGGACCTTGTCTCTTGTGACGTACTCCAGAACAAAACATCACTGAAAAACACACCAAGGCATGAGTTTTAGTCCTAAGTCCCACTTATCCACCATACACTATGTGCCAGGCACAACGCTAAGTGCTTCTATGGACGAGCTTCCCTTAATCTCAGCAGCAACAACCCCAGGCAATGGAGCCTGTTGACAGATCCATTTGCCACTGAAGACAGTAAGGCTCAGAGAGGGTAAGTGGCTTGTGCCATGTCAGCCAGCTAAGGAGGGGCAGAACCAGGATGCAAACCCCAGCCGCCTGGCTCCAGAATCGCGTTCCAAAGGTCTCACTACAGTTGGTCACTCCACCGCATTCTGGTATCCTGGTCTTTGGCAGAGTCCACGTAAAAGAGGGAGGTAGAGGGAGTGAGAGGGACTTCATGCAATAAAGTTTCCCGGCGTTACACTGCCACCGTAATTGTGTCCCCAACCAGGACCTCTCCCTTCTCATCCTTTCCGTGATCGGCCCTGGAAAACCTTCCAAAGAACTGTCCTCCTTCTCCCGGGATCTCAGAGAAAATTCACCTGAGTTCAGTGTCCAGGTGACCCAAGCTCTGAATGCGGTAACGTGGACGGGGAGATGAGGATGTCACCATGAGCAAGCCTCCCAGACAGCATCCAGGAGCAACCCCAAGACTGGGCAGGGGGGCTCTGATGCCGCCCACGGCGAGGAGGGCTGCCCATGCTGCCTAAATGGGTTCAGAATGAAGACCGCCCTCTCTCCCATGTGGGGCTCATTAACCATGAATCCAATTATTAAGACAAGCTCAGCTGAGCAAATGGTCAAACATAAAAACATGTGGAAGGAACAAAGAGGTCAACCCCATTATCCATTAAAAACCATCAAGGTGGCGGCCCTCACTGAGGGGTACAGTTCTCCAGCGGGCCCTCATCTGCCCTCCAAACCCACATGCCTCCCCAGTGGAAGGCCAGCAAAGCCACACAGGAAGAGTTGGGGTAGGAAAGCCGAAAGTGAACCCCAGGAGGCCAGCCTGGCTACGCAGCCCCATCCCACACACACTGGCCCGGTGATTCAGGGGCCAACGTTTGCAGGACACCAGGAGCTCACAGGGACAGCGCCCCGGGGATGCAAGGAACTTTGCCTCTCTGTCCCTCTCTGTAGGGATGGAAAGAGGAGAGCGATTTCTGGGATGGAAGCCATCTGCCTCCTCTCAACTCTTGCTGCCCAACCAGAAAGGGAAGAAAAACAGGAAGATGCGGGACGGGTGAGGAGCTGGGTGAGTGCCGCCAGCCCGCAGTCCAGCAGAGCAGGGCTTGGCCAAGCCTGGCGCCAGGGACTTCCCCCCTACCCCACCACAGGCCCCTCGCCAGGTGAGAGGCACCGACAGGGTCCCAGACAGATGCCCCAGACAGGATGCCCAGCGCAACAACCGCCACTTCCCCTGCTAGGGGCCCCCAGGACGCGGGGCTGCCCCTCTCTTTTTGGCCAGCCGCAGAGTCCAGCGGGTCTCCCAGCCAGGGACGTCGTGGGAGAATCAGGAAGTCAAAGCCACACAGCCGAGAAGCGGCAGCTGGCGTCTCGGAGGCCGTCACGCGCTGTCACTCCGCGCCCTTCGGAGTTGCCGCTAAAATACCAACTTCAACCCGAGGCCGGCCACTGAGCCTCCCGCCGCCCCTACCGGCGCCCCCGGCACCCCCGGACCCCGGCGCCCGCGTCACTTACTCCTCTGCCTTCGCCACCTGTCTGGGTGCCGGTCTCCTCCCTGCCTGGCCGCGGCGCGTCCTCCCCGTCCTCGCAGTCCTCGGGTTCTGCGCTTCCCCCCTCCAGCTACAGCCGCAGCCTCTTCTCTTCGGGAGGGACGTCGTCCTCCTCCCTCCTGGGCCGGCCATCCCTGCCTCGGGGCTTGCCAGTGGCTTCGGAGCTGCCGGAAGGGCTGGCCACGGCTGGGGGGCTCTGCCTGCACCTGGAGAAGAGGAAGGATACGGCGCGAGCGGCCTCTCGGCGGAGCTGGGGCGTCTGAGCGCGGGCTCGGTGGGTCCGCCGGGCGCGGGGCTGGGCATAGCGGCCGGCGCGGGCTCCTACGCGGGCCGCTCCTGGCTCTCGCGCCCTCTGCTGGCCGCTCGCGCGCACCGCGGACAAGCCGGGCCCTGGCCTGCGCTGCACTCACCTGCCCCCGCCCAGGCAGTCGCTGTCCCCTGCCTGTGGCCAGACCCGCTCTGGCCAGGCCCTGCACCTCCTCCCCACCCCAGCCAGGTTGCACCCCGATGGTCTCCCTGCCCAA
The DNA here is from genome assembly GCF_000001405.40 of Homo sapiens. NCBI lineage: Eukaryota > Metazoa > Chordata > Mammalia > Primates > Hominidae > Homo > Homo sapiens. The sequence continues at coordinate 8,065,257 of NC_000008.11, read as the reverse complement.
GGAGGAGAGAAGAGAAGGGAAGCCCCGAGAGGGTGGACATCGGCCACAGCCACCTTGTCTTTGCTCTTACCGTGTATCTTCCATGATTTGGAGGTGGTGGGAAACCCGAGGCTGCTCAAAACTCGTGGAGAATTCCGCCTGCAGGATGACATGAATGCACCTTCCCATTGCCTACCAACAGACCTTTTTTGAGCATCACTGTGGACCAGGTGTGGTGATGGGGGAGGGGATATTGTGGAGAACATGACAGGCATTGCCTTCACCCAGTGGGGCTCAGCGCTGGGTGGGAAGGCATTGAGAATGGACATTGTCAATTGGGCCAAAGGAGGCCAAGGAGAAGTGCTGGGGGCATGGGAACTGAAAAAGACAGGAGGCTCAGCAGGTCTTGGAGCTGGGAAAGTGACAGCAGCAGCGGCTGTTCCAAAGGAAGCAACAGCTGAGAGAGGTCTCGGAGAGTTGTTCTCAGCCCAGTGGAGGGTGTTCAGGCAGAGGGAACAGCGTGTGCAAAAGCCCAGAGGCTGGGAAAGAAGCAGAAAGAGGACTGTGGGGTTGGAGCATGGTGGGCAAGGGGAGGAAGGTGTGGTGGGCAGACAGATTGACTGGGACCCAGCTGTGCAGGGGCAGAGGAGATAGGGGATCCTTGCAGGCCCCCAGCCGGGGCTCAGGCACAGAGACAATGCAGGTGGGCAAAGGGAGGAGACGTGGAGAAATATTTTGGAGGCATGCCCTGATGAATGAGCCCAGGATGCACCCTTAGTGTCAGTGTGGAGCTCCTTCCTTGACTGTGTGATGAGCTGAACTCGGGGGTATTTTCTGGACATTGAGGTGCTACACCAAGAGCCCAGGACAGGCTAAGTGAGCACTAGCAGCTCCTGGCCCACCTCAAAAGCAGGAAAGACAGGGGAGACTGGGGAGGCCGGGGTGGAAGGGGAAGCCAGGAAGGTAGGAAAGGCCAGGGAAGCAGAGGAGGCCAGGGAGGCAATGGAGGCAGGAGAGGCTGGGGAGGTTATGTCCTTTCCATGATTCTGCCCTGGATCCTAGGCCCCTGAACTCCCTGAGCTTCCCCACCCCAAGCGCTGGAACCAGGTTGCACAATGGTCTCCCCACTAAGCTCCTGATGGCAGCCCCTACCCTGCTGTGCTCCCTATTTCAACCCTAACAGCTCTCACAGTGGGCAGCACATAGTAGGTGCTCAGGAAACACTGGTGGGAGAGCACGTGGGTCTGCTCAGCACCTTCCTCTCTCCTCCAGCTCTCCCCATCATGAAATAATTCTGATAACGACACATGGACTTTGAGACCCTCTTCTATTACTTTCCATATGCTAATCCATCTATACCTCACAGCAGCCCTGGGGGTGGGTGCAATGAGGATGCCCATTTTATAGAGGAGGAGACTGAGGTATAAAGAGGGTAAGTGACATACGCACACTACAGGGGCTGGGGCCAAGTGATCAGAGCACTCAATCCCCAAAGGCAAGGTAGATGCAGTTATCATAAAAGACAGCAGAGTCAAAGCTGCAACCAGAATAGCCTGACTCCCAGCGACCTATGGTGCCTGCTGATCGTGGCTTTCCTAGAAGTGAAATAGATAAGAAGCCTGCCACATTTCACTTGATCTGTGTTTGCAGAAGAGCTCTAGGTCAAGTGAGCAGAAGTCTAATCTGAATCATAAAAACAGAGTCACAATCCCCAGTCAATTTCCAGACATAAGCCAGTTCACAGACCTGGAGTCCCTTGTCTGAATGAGAAGCCAGGTCCCCTCCAGAAAGGACTCTGCTCCACTGCCAAAAATTTATACTGTCAGTCTTTCTCCCAACCTGCCCCCAAGGGAATACACAGCCTTTCACCAGGATGAATGAACAGGAGAAAAGGAACTAATGAGACCTGTGCAGGATCACTGGACACAGGCTCTGAACTGGCACTAGGGCGAGACTAGGTTCTACCAGTCAGAATAGGCATTTTGGAGGTCAGGTGAATGTTGGTGCAAGTTCATGTCACGGTAGGTCCATTGGGTCCCCAAATCCATCCTCTGGTTATATACAAAGCGGCAATGCTGAGATTCAAATTCAGGGCATCCGACATAGAGGCTGGGCTCTTACTCATGAAACATTCTGACACTAGTAACCAATTTAAAAGTGCAAACACCTCCTGGGACTAGAATGGGTCCCCAAAACAGTCATGTAAATTGGTTCTGTCAAGAATTTCCTCCCACCCCCTGCTGAGAGCCAGTTGCAAGGAGAGACTAGGGAAGGGCATTGGGTAACTTTGTTGCTAAAAGCTCTTCTGGATAAAGACGTATGGGAAAAGAAGTAAATAGAGTTCAGCAGAAGAGGTAAGAAAGTAAGTTTATGTTTGGCCAGGCACGGTGGCTCACGCCTGTAATCCCAGCACTTGGGAAGGCCGAGGCGGGCAGATCACGAGGTCAAGAGATCGGACTATCCTGGCCAACATGGTGAAGCCCCGTCTCTACTAAAAATTCAAAAATTAAATGGGCATGATGGCGCGCGCCTGTAGTCCCAGTTACTCGGTAGCCTGAGGCAGGAGAATCACTTGAACCCAGGAGGTGGAGATTGCAGTGAGCGGAGATCATGCCACTGCACTCCAACCTGGGCAACAGAGTAAGACTCTGTCTTAAAAAAAAATTAAAATAAATAAATGCTATGCGCAGCATTTTCCATGTACTGTCTTATTATCTCGGTGAATCCCATATAACCTTCCTATCAAAGTGTATCTCATTTATCTCCATTTTATAGATGAGAAAACTGAGGCCCCTGGAGTAGTATTAATTTTACAAGACCGCATTGCTCATAAAGGGTACAGCAGGGACCCAAGCTCGACACTCTCACCCTCAAACATTTATACAAGTGTGGACCAATGGCTCTCAACTGGGGTGGTTTTGCTCACGTACCGCTCCCTTGCCCCACATTATTTGAAACCATCTGGAGACGTCTGGGGTAGCCATAGCAGGGAGGGTAGAATGGCACCTAGAGGATGGAGACCACAGATGCTGCTAACCATCCTTCAATACACAGGACAGCCCCACCACCAGCACCACGAATGGTCTCACCACAAATATTCTGACTGTGCCAAAGCTGAGAAACCCAGGTTTCTCCTCAGCAAGAAGGAAAATCCCTGCAACGTGGATGCACCTCTACAGGAGCCCCAGGCTGACAATAACCTTCCTGATCTGGTTTCAACCCTGGATGCTTTTACCTGGTGCGTCCATCAGGGATTTCAGGGACTCCAGTGAGTTATCACCCTTGAATGCTCGGTTCTGCCTGACAACCCAGAAATCTCTGCCGAGGTGCCTGGTCTTGCGGAAGACTCAGCAAGTGGTTGAGGTGGACAACCAAATACCTAGGAGAGACTTTTCTCTCCCTCCATGAGGAGCTGTGGGTCAGACACACCCTGGGATCATTCACAAGCGGTCAATAAAGGCTTGAGGAGGGGCAGATTTTCTAGGCCTTCTCAATGGGGTGGGTGTTTGTGGATAAACAAGAAGCCTGTGAAACTTCTGATATTGGGAGGAAATCAATGTCCCCCCCTCCACCCTCCCCCACCTCCCCACCATAAACACATGCCCTGCAGCAGGACTTGACACTCAAGGGCTCCTGGGGTCCCGATTAATCTGCTAAAACATCCTCTAGCCACCACCGAATAAAGCAACCCCTTGCCACCCAACCACAAGAGCACAGCCTGGGAGCCACTCCAAGGGACATCCAGTCACATTAAAACCTCAGCCATCCAGAGCACCAGGCCTGGTGATGAGAAAGAACATTTTATCCTTAAAAGCATCTGAATGCCCATGCTGCTTCTTGCAGAGAAAAGTCCAAAATAATCTGTTATTAAAGAACGAGGATGGTTTTGACATTTTTACCAAGCTAGTGGTCTACGCAGACAAAATCTCATAAAAGGGCACTCTGTTCTTCTTGATCCACTCAGACACGGCCTGTGAGTGAAGAAACGGGCTCTCCTCCTCAAAGAAATCACTGCTGATCCTCGTACCAGCCTGACACTGCTTCATGGGTTCTTCAAAGAGAGTATTCCCATAGGAACTAAAAGGGAAGAGGAATGTGTCTGGCGGGCATTGTGGGCAGCAGTGAGCTTTGGGCCAAATTTTAAGTTTGAAAATCAGGATTCCCTCTTTTCAAGGGGCTGCCGGACTGAGCAGATACAGGCACCGTGAAAAGAGCGTGCCATGTTCAGATTCAGGAAACAAGGATGGTTTCTGTTCAGTTCCTCCATCATCCTTCAGGTCATGCTATTCCCATTTCCCTCTGTGGACCAAACAATTCAGTGGGGTTTCTGCCTTTTAAACATTTCATTATCAACATATCATCCTTTTAGCCTCCAGAAAGCATTTTAACATGGAGATTCTGGCTTAAGACTCTTGTGGGTCTGTCTGTCTCTCTCTCTCTCTTTTCCTTGAAACGGTCTCACTTTGTCACCCAGGCTGGAGTGCAGTGGCATGATCACAGCTCACTGCAACCCAACCTTCCAGGCTCTAGCAATCCTCCCACCTCAGCCTCCCAAGTACTTGGGACTGCAGGCACACACCACCATAACTGCCTTTTTTTTTTTTTTTTCTTTTTTTTTTTTTTGGTAGATATGAGGCTTCACCATGTTGCCCAGGCTGGTCTTAAACTCCTGGGCTCAAGCGATCCTCCCCCTTCGGCCTCTCAAAGTGCTGGGATTATTGGCTTGAACCACCATGCCCAGCCAAGAACCTTGTCTCTTGTGACGTACTCCAGAACAAAACATCACTGCAAAAAGACACCAAGGCATGAGTTTTAGTACTAAGTCCCACTTATCCACCATACACTATGTGCCAGGCACAACGCTAAGTGCTTCTATGGACGAGCTTCCCTTAATCTCAGCAGCAACAACCCCAGGCAATGGGGCCTGTTGACAGATCCATTTGCCACTGAAGACAGTAAGGCTCAGAGAGGGTAAGTGGCTTGTGCCATGTCAGCCAGCTAAGGAGGGGCAGAACCAGGATGCAAACCCCAGCCGCCTGGCTCCAGAATCACATTCCCAAGGTCTCACTACACTTGGTCACTCCACCGCATTCTGGTATCCTGGTCTTTGGCAGAATCCACGTAAAAGAGGGAGGTAGAGGGAGTGAGAGGGACTTCATGCAATAAAGTTTCCCGGCGTTACACTGCCACCATAATTGTGTCCCCGACCAGGACCTCTCCCTTCTCATCCTTTCCGTGATCGGCCCTGGAAAACCTTCCAAACAACTGTCCTCCTTCTCCCGGGATCTCAGAGAAAATTCACCTGAGTTCAGTGTCCAGGTGACCCAAGCTCTGAATGCGGTAACGTGGACGGGGAGATGAGGATGTCACCATGAGCCAGCCTCCCAGACAGCATCCAGGAGCAACCCCAAGACTGGGCGGGGGGGCTCTGATTCTGCCCATGGCGAGGAGGGCTGCCCATGCTGCCTAAATGGGTTCAGAATGAAGGCTGCACTCCCAACTTCAACCCGGGGACGGCCACGGAGCCTCCCGACGCCCCTTCGTCGCGTCCCCGGCACCCCCGAGCCCCCGGCACTCCCGGACCCCCGCGCCCGCATCACTTACTCCTTTGCCGTCGCCACCTGTCTGGGTGCCGGTCTCCTTCCTGCCCGGCAGCGGCGGGTCCTCCCCGTCCTCGCAGTCCTCGGGCTGTGCGCTTCCCCCCTCCAGCTACAGCCCCAGCCTCTTCTCTTCGGGAGGGACGTCCTCCCCCATCCTGGGACTGCCATCCCTGCCTCGGGGCTTGCCAGTGGCTTCGGAGCTGCTGGAAGGGCTGGCCATGGCTCCGGGGGCTCTGCCTGAACTTGGGGAAGAAGAAGGACCCGGCTCAAGCGGCTTCTCGGCGGAGCTGGGGCGTCTGAGCACGGGCTCGGTGGGTCCGCGCGGCGCGGAGCTGGGTATCGGGGCCGGCCCGGGCTCCTCCGCGGGCCGCGCCTGGCTCTCTGGCGCCCTCTTCTGGCCGCTCTCGCGCACCTCTGCCACGCCGGGCCCAGGCCTGCGCAGCTGTCACATGTCCTGGCCCAGGAGGTCGCTGTCCCTTGCCCATGGACAGGCCCGCTCTGGCAATGCCCTGCACCACCTCCCCGCCCCAGCCAGGTTGCACCCCGATGGTCTCCCTGCTCAAGGAGGAGAGAAGAGAAGGGACGCCACGAGAGGGTGGACATCGGCCACAGCCACCTTGTCTTTGCTCTTACCCTGTGTCTTCCATGATTTGGAGGTGGTGGGAAACCCGAGGCTGCTCAAAACTCGTGGAGAATTCCGCCTGCAGGATGACATGAATGCACCTTCGCATTGCCTACCAACAGATCTTTTTTGAGCATCACTGTGGACCAGTCGTGGTGATGGGGGAGGGGATATTGTGGTGAACATGACAGGCATTGCCTTCACCAAGTGGGGCTCAGCGCTGGGTGGGAAGGCATTGAGAATGGACATTGTCAATTGGGCCAAAGGAGGCCAAGGAGAAGTGCTGGGGGCATGGGAACTGAAAAAGACAGGAGGCTCAGCAGGTCTTTGAGCTGGGAGAGGGACAGCAGCAGCGGCTTTTCCAAAGGAAGCAACAGCTGAGAGAGGTCTCAGAGAGTTGTTCTCAGCCCAGTGGAGGGTGTTCAGGCAGAAGGAATAGCGTGTGCAAAAGCCCAGAGGCTGGGAAAGAAGCAGAAAGAGGACTGTGGGGCTGGAGCGTGGTGGGCAACAGGAGAGAGGTGTTGTGGGCAGACAGATTGCCTGGGACCCAGCCGTGCAGGGGCAGAGGAGATAGAGGATCCTTGCAGGCCCCCAGCTGGGGCTGAGGCACAGAGACAATGCAGGTGGGCAAAGGGAGGAGACGTGGAGAAATATTTTGGAGGCATGCCCTGATGAATGAGCCCAGGATGCACCCTTAGTGTCAGTGTGGAGCTCCTTTCTTGGCTGTGTGATAAGCTGAACCCGGGGGTATTTTCTGGACATCGAAGTGCTACACCCAGAGTCCAGGACAGGCTAAGTGAGCACCAGCAGCTCCTGGCCCACCTCAAAAGCAGGAAAGACAGGGGAGACTGGGGAGGCCGGGGCGGAAGGGGAAGCCAGGAAGGCAGGAGAGGCCAGGGAACAGAGGAGGTCAGGGAGGCAGGGGAGGCAGGGGAGGCTGGGGCGGCTGTGTCCTTTCCATGATTCTGCCCTGGATCCTAGGCCCCTGTAGTCCCTGGGCTTCCCCACCCCAAGCACTGTAACCATGTTGCACAACGGTCTCCCCACTAAGCTCCTGATGGCAGCCCCTATCCTGCTGTTCTTCCTATTTCAACCCTAACAGCTCTCACAGTGGGCAGCACATAGTGGGTGCTCAGGAAACACTGGTGGGAGAGCACGTGGGTCTGCTCAGCACCTTCCTCTCTCCTCCAGCTCTCCCCTGTCACGAAATAATTCTGATAACGACACATGGGCTTTGAGACCCTCTTCTATTACTTTCCATATGCTAATCCATCTATACCTCACAGCAGCCCTGGGGGTGGGTGCAATGAGGATGCCCATTTTATAGAGGAGGAGACTGAGGTATAAAGAGGGTAAGTGACATACGCACAGTACAGGGGCTGGGGTCAAGTGATCAGAGCACTCAATCCCCAAAGGCAAGGTGGATGCAGTTACCATAAAAGACAGCAGAGTCAAAGCTGCAACCAGAATAGCCTGACTCGCAGAGACCTATGGTGCCGGCTGATCGTGGCTTTCCTAGAACTGAAATAGATAAGAAGCCTGCCACATTTTTACTGGATCTGTGTTTGAAGAAGAATTCTAGGTCAGGTGAGCAGAAGTCTAATCTGAATCATAAAAACAGAGTCACAGTCCCCCGTCAATTCCCAGACATAAGCCAGTTCACAGACCTGGAGTCCCTTGTCTGAATGGGAAGCCAGGTCCCCTCCAGAAAGGACTCTGCTCCACTGCCAAAAATTTATACTGTCAATCTTTCTCCCAACCTGTCCCCAAGGGAATACACAGCCTTTACCAGGATGACTGAATAGGAGAAAAAGAACTAATGGGACCTGTGCAAGACCACTGGACACAGGCTCTGAACTGGCACTAGGGCGAGACTAGGGTCTACCAGTCAGAATAGGCATTTTGGAGTTCAGGTGAATGTTGGTCCAAGTTCATGTCATGGTAGATCCATTGGGTCCCCAAATCCGTCCTCTGCTTATATACAAAATGGCCATGTTGAGACTTAAATTCAGGGTATCCAACTTAGAGGCTGTGCTCTTACTCATGAAACATTCTGACACTAGTAACCAATTTAAAAATGTAAACACCTCCTGGGGCTAGTGAGAGTCCTCCAAACAGTCATGTAAATTGGTTCTGTCAAGGATTTCCTCCTACCCACCCCCCCCCACCACTGAGAGTCAGTTGCAAGGAGAGACTAGGGAAAGGCATTGGGTAACTTTGTTGCTAAAAGTTCTTCTGGATAAACAAGAGCCTTATCCAGGAAAAAGAAGCAAAATAGAGTTCAGCAGAAGTTGCGAAAAGAAGCACATAGAGTTCAGCAGAAGAGGTAAGAAAGTAAGTTTATGTTTGACCAGGCACGGTGGCTCACGCCTGTAATCCTAGCACTTTGGGAAGCCAAGGCGGGCAGATCACGAGGTCAAGAGATCGCACCATCCTGACCAAAAAGGTGAAGCCCCGTCTGTACTAAAAATTCAAAAATTAGCTGGCCATGATGGCACACGCCTATAGTCCCAGCTACTCGGGAGCCTGAGGCAGGAGAATCACTTGAACGCAGGAGGCAGAGGTTGCAGTGGGCCGAGATCATGCCACTGCATTCCAACCCGGTGACAGAATTAGACTCCATCTCATAAAACAAAACAAAACAAACAAAAAAAAGTAAGCTTATTTTTAAGCCTGAACAAGTGTAGTGGTTTAGGGGTTCTGCAAACACGGCCCCAATCAGGCTACAAGATGTTGTGGCAGCAATATTTACAGCCAGTCACTCCTGGCCGGCTGAGCCACTTTTCAAAACACCCTTGCACGGCCGTGCAGAGAGGCTGGCTCCACTGGCAGCCGGCAGAGCCATAACTCACACTGTCACCGCTGCCCTCAAACCACTTCGGTAAGCACTTTGTATTTTTGAGACGGAGTCTTGCTCTGTCATCCAGGCTGGAGTGCAGTGGCACAATCTCGGCTCACTGCAAGCCCCGCCTCCTGGGTTCATGCCATTCTCCTGCCTCAGCCTCCCAAGTAGCTGGGACTACAGGTGCCCGCCACCATGCCCGGCTAATTTTTTGTATTTTTAGTAGAGACGGGGTTTCACCGTGTTAGCCAGGATGGTCTCAATCTCCTGACCTTGTGATCTGCCTGCCTCGGCCTCCCAAAGTGCTGGGATTACAGGCGTGAGCCACCGCGCCCGGCCTGGTAAGCACTTTTAATCAATGCAACAGGAATAAACATTTGCTGCAGAGCGGCAATGTGCAGGGAAGAACATGCTTCCACTTAGGATCAGAAAGCAAAACCTCCTGGCTGTTTGCATCTATGCAAGAGCTCACAGGAAAAGCCCTCTGTGTGGCTGCCAGCCTCACACACTCCCCCCAAGGGGTGAATTTCTCTTTCCATGTTAATCTATGCTCTGACGTGCCATCTGTCAACCACCACACCATTCTCAGTTGACATTTCAAAGCATCTTTGCCCTGAGAATGGTCACCAGCTCTGCCCTGCAAGCCCCCAGGTGACAATGAACTTAAATGAGAGAGAAAACAGGTTTCGAGGTGGATTTCAGTTCAGCATCTTGGAGTCTCTGTGTGGACATGAAATCTGTCTCCCCAGCTGTGGACTGCATCCTTGTTTGTCATCTGGTTTGGTTCTTGGGGACTTGGAAACTCGTGGGCACCTTTGCAATTTGTCAAGAAGCTGCACGGCCCTTCCAACAAAAGCAAGGAATAGGAACAGAAGCCCAAGGCTTCAGATCAAGGTGCAATTTAAAGCAGCCTCAGTATAAAAGCAAACAAGAGCCAGAGGGATGCCTAAGGCAGAGTCTACACCCCAGGGCAGCTATAAGGCAAAGAGAAAGAGAGAGAGAGACAGAGACAGAAAGACAGAGAGAGATGGGAGGAGACATGAGGCACCCAGGCATCTGGATCAAAATCCCTACAAGAGGGGCCTCCTAAAAATGCAGGAGGCTGAGGTGGGTGCACACAGAAGTTCAAGACTAGCCTGGGCAACACAGCAAGACCGTGTCTTTACAAAAAATACAAAAATTAGCCGGGTGTGGTGGTGTATGTCTGTGGTCCCAGTTACCCAGGAGACTGAGGTGGGAGGATTGCTTGAGCCCAGGAGATAGAGCTGCAGCAAGCTGAGATAGCACCACTGCACTCCAGCCTGGACAACAGAGTGAGACTTCATCACAAAAAAATTTAAAAAATTTTTTAAAAAGGATCACCCCGGCTACTCGAATGGGTAATAAGAAGGTAAGAGCAGAAGCAAGGAGACCAGCAGGGACATTTTGCAGGTGGGAGTCCACAGAGGTTCAGACCAGGCTGGGGCTGAAGACTGCCTGAATTCTGTGTATATTTTGATGATGAAGCAACTCACCGACTCTTGAAGAGTGGGATCCAGGAGATGGTATTTTTAACAAGGTCTCAGAGGATTCTAATGCAGGCTGAAGTTGAAGAACTGCTTTAGGTGAAGCTTCTGTTTCATCCTTGGGGAAGTACCTACTGACTTTTCTCTAAGCCACCACAAAAGAGGTGCTAGACAAGATGTGCTCCAATGTCTGAACATGTGTGCACAGCTGTAGAGCCAACCTAAGGACACTGAGTCAAAGGTTAGGAGTACAACAGTGAACAACCACTGTCCTCTTTTCAATAAGCTTTGCATTTAATGAGAGAAATAAAAAGCAAAAAAAAAAAATCATTTTCAACTCAGAATGGTAAGAGTTATGGTGACAGTATGCCTGGGGCAATGGGAGCACATAGAAGGGGTACCCAATCGGCCAGGTGCAGTTGTTCATGCCTGTATTCCCAGCACTTCGGGAGGCCAAGGTGGGTGGATCACTTGAGGCCAGGAGTTCGAAAACAGCCTGGCCAACATGGTGAAATCCTGTCTTTACTAAAAATACAAAAAAATTAGCCAGATGTGGTGGGGGGCACCTGTAATTCCAGATACTCAGAAGGCTGAGGTGGGAGAATTGCTTGAACCCGGGTGGTGGAGATTGCAGTGAGCCAAGATCGCACCACTGCATTCCAGCTTGCATGGTCAGAGCGAGACTCTTTCAAAAAAAAAAAAAAAAGAAAGAAAAAAGAAAAAGCTCGGAGGTGGGTGGGCATGCAATCTATATCAGGTGGTGAGAAATCCTTCTCCACCACAGGACTCCTCAGTTGAAGACTAGAAAATGGTAGGAACTAGCCAGGTCGATAGGAGAGGTGTGGAAGATCATTCTCAGCAGAGGGAAGAGCATGTGTAAAAATCGAGACGTGAGAGGGTGAGGAGCTGAGAGATGTTCATATAATTGTAAAAAGTGAGTAATATAGAGGTAAGTTGGAGCCAAATCTTAAAGGCTCTTTGTCGTGTCTATCCTGTAGAGAAAGGGAGACAGTAGATGTTTTTATGCAGGGGAGTAATGATCCACTTTGTGCTAGAAGAAGAGCAGTCTGGCTGGAGGAGAGTGGGTGGTGAGTAGACCAGGTAGGAGGCTGCAATACGCCAAGTGAGACAAGATGGTTGGCTGGACCAAGGCTGTGGCAGTGAGGATGGAGAGGAGACAGTAGACTAACTTGACTGAGAAAGAGGGAGGAATGAAGGAGGAGGCCCAGGTGATTTGGAAGCTGGGTGGATGGTGGTGTGAATCTGACGTGGTGAGCCCTGGCAGAAGAGGAAATCAGGAGAGGAAAGGTAAGATGAGGTCAATGCAAGACAGACAGCCAAGTGGAGATAACAACTGGGCAGCTGGATTCATCAGCCTGGAGTTATACAGAGAGCTCTGGAATGGAAATAAAGAGGAAAGGACTTTGGGAATAGGTGAATCCTCCCAGAATAATGTGTAAGAAAGGAGAATAGAACACAGGGGACAGAAAAAGGGAAGAGATTTGTTATTAAAACCAACCATCCATCAGACATCTTCCAATAAAACACTTGTTAGAGGTTTCCTCAGTGTGAGTTATTCAGGACCAGAGCTAAAGACCATATTCCCAATAAAATCACTGGTGGGAAGGTCTTCATGAAAACATTTAATGCTGCTTTTAAAACAACAACAATAAAAAGGCTTTAGCTACTGCACAGACCCTGGAGCAATTTTTCGGCAAGAGTCTATCAAACACGAATCTGATCTGACTCAAGGAGGTGTCATATCAAGTGTAAAAATCCAATTCCAATGTCCATAAGAGCCTTTCTGCCAGGTACAAGACCCTAATCCAGTTGAAGTGATTTTCTATTGATTAATAGGCTGGGAATACACAGGTTGTTGGTTTTTGAGATTTCCCTCCCTGTGCCTTCATGCCAGCTGTGAAAGAGTCAAAAGGCTCCTAACTGTCAAAATAAAAATGACACTTGGTCACAGAGGAAGCAGATTATAGGTCAATCACATTGATGACTTTTTAACTATGAGAAGCCATTAATGTTACTGAATAAGCAAATCTGTTTGCATAAGCAGATTTTTATAGGCTACTGGGAATAAAGGTTTTCCTAAGTGGGTGATTTGTACAACGATAGCCTTTGGGTCTCTGATGGAACAGCTCTGATGAGGAAATGTTCCTTTAATTATGTGGAAGGCCAATTACCACGTTATAGCCACATTGTTTTGCAGATTGCATATAATTTCACCATTTCCATAGTTTCAGCACGATAATTCTGGAGAAAATTCAGGCACCAAGGAGACACTTGAGGCACACTATGCTGGAGACAAAGATGTTTTAGCGAATTCAATTTAAGCTTCAACATTAAAGTTATTTTGTTGAATAAAACATAATGCAATAATGAGCTTGTGTATGTCAACTCTATAGTGCAGGTAATAATAGCTAGAGAGAGCATGTCCCGTCTCCTCTTTTTAATGCTCATTTGAGTAATACATAATGCTATAGAGAGAACTTTTCTCTAATATGTGCTTCACCTCAGGCTAAGCGTGTTTTGGGCAACTGTGCTTCATGAAAAAAAGGTAAAGGATCTAATTTGGGAGCCACTCACAAAAGTGCTACCACTTGATGTTTTTTTATACTCTGAGATTTCTTATTCCCAGTGCCTACCAGGAATGGACTTTCTGGAGAAGCTCAGATTAATCACTCCTTATGAGAGGTAACAGCGTGTTGGCAACCCTCACAGCCCTCGTTCACTCTCGGCACCTCCTCTGCCTGGGCTCCCACTTTGGCAGCACTTGAGGAGCCCTTCAGCCCACGGCTGCATGGTGGGAGCCCCTTTCTGGGCTGGCCGAGGTCAGAGCTGGCTCCCTCAGCTTGCAGGGAGGCATGGAGGGAGAGGCATGAGCTGGAACTGGGGCTACGTGTGCTGCTTGCCTGCCGGCTGGAGTTCTGGATGGGCGTGGGCTTGGTGGCCCTGTACTAGGAGCTGCCGGCTGTCCTTGCCGGCCGGGGCTGTGAGGGGCTTAGCACCTGGGCCAGCAGCTGCTGTGCTCGACTTCTCACCGGGCCTTAGCTGCCTCCCTGCGGGGCAGGGCTCGGGACCTGCAGCCTGCCATTCCTTAGCCTCCCCCCTCTGTGGGCTCCTGTACGGCCCAAGCCTCCCCGATGAGCACCGCCCCCTGCTCCATGGCGCCCAGTCCCATCGACCACCCAAGGGCTGAGGAGTGTGGGTGCATGGAGAGGGACTGGCAGGCAGCTCCACCTGCAGCTCCTGTGCTGGGTCCACTGGGTGAAGCCAGCTGGGCTCCTGAGTCTGGTGGGGACTTGTAGAACTTTATGTCTAGGTAAGGGATTGGAAATACACCAATTGGCACTCTGTATCTAGCTCAAGGTTTGTAAACACACTAATCAGCACCCTGTATCTAGCTCAGGGTTTATGAATGCACCAATTGACACTCTGTATCTAGCTACTAGGGTGGGGACTTGGAGAACCTTTGTGTGGACACTCTGTATCTAGCTAATCTAGTGGGGACGTGGGGAGCATTTGTGTCTAGCTCAGGGATTGTAAACGCACCAATCAGTGCCCTGTCAAAACAGACCACTCAGGCTCTCTGTAAAATGGACCAATCAGCAGGATGTGGGTGGGGCCAGGTAAGAGAATAAAAGCAGGCTGCCCGAGCCAACAGTGGCAACCCACTGGGGTCCCCTTCCACACTGTGGAAGCTTTGTTCTTTTGCTCTTTGCAATAAATCTTGTTGCTGCTCACTCTTTGGGTCCACACTGACTTTATGAGCTGTAACACTCACCGAGAAGGTCTGCAGCTTCTCTCCTGAAGCCAGCAAGACCATGAACCCACTGGGAGAAATGAACAACTCCAGATCTGCAGCCGTAAGAGCTGTAACACTCACCGTGAAGATCTGCAGCTTCACTCCTGAGCCAGCGAGACCACGAGCCCCACCAGAAGGAAGAAACTTCAAACACATCCGAACATCAGAAGGAACAAACTCCAGACACGCCACCTTTAAGAACTGTAACACTCACCAGGAGGGTCCACAGCTTCGTTCTTGAAGTCAGTGAGACCAAGAACCCACCAATTCTGGACACACTTATACACTTGACACTGGGAGGTCTGTATGGAGCAAGTGAAGAAATCAGCAGAGTGAAGATAGAAGGAGAACAACATGATGGGGGAAAGGCAAAGTTAGTGCCACATTGGTTTCAATTCTGCCACTCATGAGTGAGACCCATGACCTCCTCTCTCTAGGACTCTGTTTTTCTTATATGTAGAGTGGAGGAATAGAAGGGCCTTTTAAAGTATTAACATTTCCTGACCTATCTGTAAAACACTTTCATTCAAACTGATGGGAATCTTGACTACTTTGCCAAGAGGACATAATAATCATCAAGCTGAATGCACCAAACAGCATTGCCTGAAACTATCTAAGCAAAAACTGAGAAAGTTACACAGGACAGACAAACCTCCTATGAGAGTAAGAACTCTTCAGCACATGCTTAGTGTGTCAAAGACAATACTGTGTTCACACCATTCCTCTTCCTGGACATGCAGAAAGACTACATTTCCCAGCCTCATTTGCAGTTAGTTTGGAACCATGTGACTGCATTTCCACCAATAGGAATGTAAGAAATCACTTCTGGGCCAAGGTTATCAAAGTGTGAGCTATGTTCCCTCTCTTCCTATCCATATGGCTACAAGTGAAAAACTCTGAGATGGCAGAATTAAAAGATGGAAACCTCCAGAATCTCTGAATCACTGTTGGACAAGGGCCCCCAAGGAGAACCCCTGCCCTGCACCAGACTATGCTATGGGTGTCAACCCACTGAGAGTTCAGGGTTTATTCGTCTCAGCAGCAGTCTATTGTTACACTGACTAACATCCTGAGGTTTGAGAGGTCTAGCATATTGTTAACTGAAGTTAGATTTCAATTACACTGAGAACCTTATCTATTTAAAAATAAAAACTCTCCTAAAAAAAACAAATAATCCACATTCCTTTTAACCACATGTGGCAAATTTGCAAAAAAAAAAAAAACAAAAAAAAACTGGCCACATATTAGGCCATAAAGAAGTCTCAACAAAATCCACTATACGATTGACAGTGTCCAGACCACATTTTCCTGACCATAATGCCACAAAATTAGAAGTCAATAGCAAGAAGATAGCTAAACACAAGCATATATTTGGAAAATTAAAAATATCCTTTCATGAGTTAAATGAAAAATCACAATAGAAATTACTAAACATTTACAACTGAATGAAAACACAACTTTATATATATATGTATATATATATAATATGTATATATATATATATATTTTTTTTTTTTGTGAGTCTTCCAAATTTGTTCTTCTTTTACAAGGTTATTTGGGAAATTCTGGGTCTCCTGCAATTCCTCTTACAGTTTTATGCTGTGTGTCAATTTCTGTGGCTGGGTCTATGAGAACTTATCGTAGTTCTCATAGACCAGGGTTTGCATGTTGCTGTCTAGAGCCCGGATCTGCTGCACCATGTCCGTCTCACTATCCATCAGCTGGGCCAGAGGGCACTCTCTAGGAAGCTTGTCTAGGTAAACTTCCGGGTCGAAGTGTACCCCGTTCATATCAGTGGGGTCCAGGGGGTCGGTCCCCGCAGGGAGTCCCACCGCCTCCACTTCCGAGAGGCCGTTGTAAAACTTCAGCATCCTGTCCGCCTTCCACCGACGCTCCTTGAGCCTCCCCCTCGGGCCCTTCTGGGGAGTCCCCAGGTCCACACCCCGGGCTAGGCCCAGTGACAGCTGCCGCCGCCATAGCTCCAACTGCAGCCCACGGGCGTAACTTTTATATTTTTAAGTTGGATACATGGAGCTACTTGGCTTTTGCTTTCATCACCTCTTTGAGGAAAGAGCTGGTTGCTTATGGTACCCCTGTTTTTACTGCAACGTGTAATGGATGAGAACCTCCCTGTTGCAGAGAGCAAAACACTGAACTAAATTGTGCTGTAACACAGCTCTGTATTGGGGGAGTGGGAGTGATCATGCAAACGCTTGCAAATTTGCACAGTGACAGAGACAATCGTTTGGGCACCTGTTCACTATATGAAAAGGCAATTGACCAAAAGTCAGTTACTGAGCTATCTCAATACTTTCATTTTATTTTAACTTTTGGCAGCAGCGTGCAATTAAAGGAGAGAAAGAAAACAAAGTGATAAGTGTAAGATAATGTACACACATGTGTAAAAGAAAATGACAAGACAGGATGACCATTTGTCTCTTGGTTAGCTCCTTGGGCTCTATGTCTCCTTCCTCGGAGAACCTCGTTTTCCTTTGTCCAGATTTGTTAGGGTGGGTAATCCAGGCGCCTGCTCCCCCATGATGGAAGCCAAAGACATCCCTGGAGCAGCGTCCCGCTGCATCCTTTCCTGCACTGCCCACATGGACACAACTCAGCCGATTAGTCTTCCTCTCAGAACTTTAGTCTTGAGCAAAGGGATTAAAGGGTGAAGTGACTAAAGGTATGCCCTTCCAAAGTGGTACGTGAGCTAACGGCTGAAGTTTGCCATTTTTTCGTAATTTTTATTTATTTATTTTTTTGAGACGGAGTCTTGCTCTGTTGCCCAGGCAGGAGTGCAGTGGCGTGATCTCGATTCACTGCAACCTCTGTCTCCCGGCTTCAAAGGAGTCTCCTGTCTCAGCCTCCCCAGTAGCTGGGATGACAGGCGTATGCCACCATGCCTGGCTAATTTTTTTGAGTTTTTTTGGTATTTTTAGTAGAAACAGGGTTTCACCATGTTGGCCAGGCTGGTCTCGAAATCCTGACCTTGTGATTCGCCTGTCTCAGCCTCCCAAAGGGCTGGGATTACACACGTGAGCCAACGCGCACAGCTTCAAAGAGTTTTAAGCAGAGCTCAGAGGTCTTAACCACAGGCACATCGGAGGAGCATTTTTGAAACACTTTCCAGCTTCCTCAATAGGAATGGAAGCCAAACTCCGAATTGATGACTCCTTTGAGGAAGTTGAGAGCTGTAAGGAAAGCCAGGAACAGGGGCAAGGGAGAGATGCGTCCCGAATGATCCTGTGCAAATTCTTTCTGGAATCCTTGATGTGATCTCAGCTGCCCTTTCTATACATGACACAGTGATTGTGGCACCCACTGGTCTAGCTGTGGTCAACAAGGAACCCACAAAGGGAAGGGCACAGTGAGTAGGGGCATCCGCCTGAGTGACGAGGATTTGAGAGGGCAGGTTGGTTGCAGGGAGAGGACTTGCCAAATGCCATGTGTCTGGACTTAGACTGCCTGGTTCAAATTGGACTTCGCCCTTTTTGACTTCGTGATCTGGTACAAGCTGCATGAAAATCCGTTGCGCTTTTTCTAGTCTGTAAAATCATCATGAAATGTGCACTAATAACGTGGAGACTATGTAGATGAAATGAAACAAGCTGCATAGAGCACAGAGCTCAGAGCCTGGCCTTTAGGAAGCCCTCAGTAAGGGTTCATGATGCCATGGTGTCTGTCGTCATCCTCTTTATCCTCATCATCACCTTCATAATCTCTTTGTTGTTCTTAGGGAATAGTTAGAGGGACTGATTCCCTGCTATCATGGGTGAGATGTTTATGAAAAGGACAACCAGTGGGGGAGGAAAGCAAAATTTTGAATAAGATTTCTGAGACCCCCAGCACAACCAAGAACATAAACTGCACAGTCTGCTGAGCAGAGAGTTGCACATTGGTCTCCTCACATCTGCCCACCGCACTCTCCTGTTTGTCCTGAGGATGAGGAAACAAACAAGTCTCCCGACCATCCCTCAGCACTCACTTGAAGGGGTGGCCTCCTCCTCCACAGCTGTGGGTATTTCCAGTCGGGTAGGAGGAGAGACTGAGAAAAGAAATAAGATACAGAGACAAAGTATGGAGAAACAACAGTGGGCCTAGGGGACCGCCGCTCAGCATACCAAGGACCTGCACCGGCACAGGACTCTGAGTTCCCTCAGTTTTTATTGACTATTATTTTTATTATTTTAGCAAAAAGGAATGTAGTAGGAGCGCAGGGTGATAATAAGGAGAAGGTCAGCAACGAACATGTGAGAAATAGAATCTATTTCATAAGGAATTTCAAGGAAAGGTACTATGACTGGATGTGTACGTAAGCCAGATTTATGTTTCTCTCCACCCAAACATCTCAGTGGAGTAAAGAATAACAAGGCAGCATTGCTGCAAACATGTCTCGCCTCTCACCATAGGGCGGTTTTTCTCCCATCTCAGAATTGAACAAATGTACAATCGGGTTTTATACCGAGACATTCAGTTCCCAGGGGCAGGCAGGAAACAGCGGCCTTCCTCTCTCTCAACTGCAAGAGGCTTTCCTCTTTGACTAATCCACCTCAGCACAGACCCTTTACGGGGGGCGGGCTGGGGGATGGTCAGGTCTTTCTCATCCCACCAGGCCATATTTCAGACTATCACATGGGGAGAAACCTTGGACAATACCCTGCTTTCAAGGGCAGGGCTCCCTGCGGCTTTCCACAGTGTATTGTGCCCCTGGTTTATTGATACTAGAGAATGGCGATGACTTTTACAAAGTATACTGCTTGGAAACATCTTGTTAACAAGGCAAGTCCTGCATAACCCTAGATCCCTTAAACCTTGATTTCATACAACACATGTTTTTGTGAGCTTCAGGTTGGGTCAAAGTGGCTGGGGCAAAGCTACAGATTAACAACATCTCAGCAAAGCAATTGTTGAAAGTACAGGTCTTTCTCAAAATGGAGTCTCTTATGTCTTTCCTTTCTACATAGACACAGTAAGAGTCTGATCTCTCTTTCTTTTCCCTACACTCACTGAACTGCCTCTCCCCTCTGCTGGGACATGACCACGGAGAACAGGTCCACTGTCCTCCCTGCGTGGTGCACCATGGAGGCTCAGGCTCCGTCCTCAAGGCTGGCAAGAAGACAGGGTGAGACATGAGCCTCCTGATACAGGTGACGGCTGTGGAGACCACAGGACTGCAACCTCACACTGCAGGGCGGGAGGCACAGACTGAGTATTTACTATCCTGTGGCCTGGGAGGCTCAGGCACAGAGCTCCTCATTAGCCAAAGCCGCCCAAGTTCCCCAACCTCTAAGGATGTCCTCATAATAATGCAAGAAGAAGAGAAAAGTGAGTGTCCATAGAAACTATGGGGCTCCTCCTCTAATCAGAAGAAAGCTGGTGTGTATTCTTCGCTTCTTTCTTTTCTTTTTAAACATCCAACTGCTTTAATTTTCATCTTTTATAATGGGAAAATATACCACGTATAAATATTAAAAATTATAAATATATATTAGTTCATATAGAATGGCCAGTAAAAACATTTACAATTTCCACTCTTTTTCAGTTTACAGATTAATGACATTAAGTACGTTCACATTATTTAGCAAGCATCACCGCCATCATCTCAGGAACAGTTTTATCTTTCAAAATGGAAATTCCACCCATTCACCAAGCTCTCCATTCCTTTCTCTCGCCCACCCCTGGGGGCCACCTTTCTAGTTTGCAACTCTATGAGTTTAACTACTCTAGACACTTGATAGATAAGTGGAATCATACCGTGTTTATTTTTTTTGTTTTGGAGACAGAGTCTTTCTCTCTCACCCAGTCTGGAGTACAGTGGTGTGATCTCGGCTCACTGCAACCTCCACATCGTGGGTTCAAGCGATTCTTGTGTCTCAGTCTCCCGAGAGGCTGGGATTACAGGCGTGCGCCACCACGCCCTGCTAATTTTTGTATTTTTAATAGAGACGAGCTTTCACCATATTGGCCAGGCTGGTCTCGAACTCCTGACCTGAAGTGATCCGCCTGGCTCAGCCTCCCAAAGTGCTGGTGTTACAGGTGCGAGCCACTGAGCCTGGGCCTGTTTATCCTTTTGGGATTTATTTATTTCACTGACGATAATGTCTTCAAGGTTCATCCATGTTGCGGCCTGCCTCAGAAGTGCCTGTCTGTTTTTTTTTTGTTGTTTTTTGTTTGTTCGTTTGACTTTGTTTTGTTTTGTGTTTCCATAGAGTCTCACTCTGTCGCACAGGCTGGAGTACAGTGGCACAATCTGGGCTCACCTCCGCTTCCCGGGTTCCAGTGATTCTTGTGCCACATCCTCCCGAGTAGCTGGGACTATAGGCACACGCCTCCATGCTCATCTCATTTTTTGCATTTTCAGTAGGGACAGGGTTTCCCCAAGATGGCCAGGCTGGTCTTGAATTCCTGACCTCAGGTGATCCGCCCACCTCGGTCTTCCAAGACGCTGCGATTACAGGCGTGAGCCACCGCACCGGCCAGAAGTGCCTGCCTTTTGAAGGCTGAATAGTCTTCCATTGTATGAAGGAACTGCAGTGGGCTTTTTCATTCATCTGTCCACGAACCCTTGGGTTGCTTCCACATTTTGGCTCTTGTGAATAATGCTGCTATGAATATGGGTGTACACAAATCTGTCTTCCACTCCTGGCTTCTTTTTGTAGGTACCCACAAATGCAACTGCGGCAACATATGATCATCCTGTTTCTAATTTTTCCAGTAGACGCCATACTATTTTCCCCGTTCCTTCACGGTTTTACATTCCTTCTGATCAGATTCGAGCATTCCTACTTCCCTCTAGTCTCACCAATCCTGTTTGTTTATCATATCCATCCTAATGTGTGGTGTCACATTCTTGGTTTGATTTGCGCTTCCCTATGATGAGTGATTTTGAACATCATTTTAGATGCTTATTGGCCATTGCTATATCTTCTTTAGGAACACGTCTACTTGAGTCTTCTGACCATTATTGATGGGATGCTTTGGGTTTCTTGTTCTTTAGTTCTGCCTGTTCTTTATGTATGATGGATATCAGCCTCTTTTCAGATATATGCTTTGAAAATATTTTTCCTAATCCATGGGTTATCTTTTCACTCAGTTTGCCGTGATTTTGCTGCACAAAAGTGTCTGTCATTTCGATGTAATCCAAGGAATCTAATTTTCTTTTGTTGCCTATGCTTTTGGTGTCATATCCCAGAGAACATTGCCCAATATGATGTCATGAAAGCATGGCCAATGTTTTCCTTTAGGCGAATGATTCTTTTAGCGCTTGGGGTGAGGTCTTTGATCCAGTTTGTGTTAATTTTTGCACCTGGTGTGACATAGTGTCCACCTTCATTCTTCTGCATGTGGAAATCAAGTTTCTCCAACACCATTTCTTGAAAAGGCTGTTTTTCCACCAATGAGCTTTCTTACCACTCATGTTAAAAATCGTTTGAACATACAGGTGACAAGTTATTTCTGGGCTCCAAAATAAACAAACAACAGCAGACAACAGATAATGTTACAGCATGGGCCGGGCCCGTCGCTCACGCCTGTAATCCCAGCACTTTGGGAGGCCGAGGTGGGCGGATCACCTGATGTCAGGAGTTGAAGACCAGCCTGACCGACAGGGAGAAACCCCCGTCTCTACTACAGGCGCGTGCCTGTAATCCCAGCTACTCGGGAGGTGGAGGCAGGAGAATCGCTTGAACCCAGGAGGCAGAGGTTGCGGTGAGCCAAGATTGCACCATGACACTCCAGCCTGGGCAACAAGAGCGAAACTCCATCTCAAAACAAAAAACAAAAAACAAAAAACCAGCATGATTTCAAGAGCAGAAAGAGAAGAGCTGAAAAACCAGCATAATGAGAAAATTAGGAAGTTTCTTACCAAAGCATCTGGAAATATTCAAGAAATTCTTGTGAACTAAAATTTTCATACTGTACAATCAAACACTAGAACTCACTTATTCCATCTTTCTGTATTTTGGGACCCAATTATCCACTTGTCTTCATTCCCCATCCCACCCCTTTTCTTCCTAGCGTCTGCTAACCACCTTTATACTTTCCACCTTCCTGAGATTCCTTTTGTGTGTAGGTGTGTGATGGAGTCTCTTTATGTTGCCCAGGTTGGAGTACACAGGCACAATCCGGGCTCACTGAAAGCTCCGCCTCCCGAGTTCAAGCGCTTCTTGGGCCTCAGCCCTCCGAGTAGCTGAGACTAGAGGCACGCGTCACCACGCCCGGCTAATTGCTTGTTTTTTCCGTAGAGACGGGGTTTCACCATGTTGGCCAAGCGGGTCGCGAACCCCTGGACTCAAGTGATCCCTGCGACTCGGCCTCCCAGAGTGCTGGGATTACAGGTCTGAGCCACCACGCCTGGTCAAGGTTTCCTTTTTTCTTCCTACGTAGAAGTGAGGACATGAAATATTTGACATTCTGTGCCTGGCTTATTTCATTTAATATACAGACCTGCAATCTCATCCATTTTGTCTGCAGCGGAGAGGATTTTCTTCCTCTTTAGGCTGAATAATACTTCATTGGGTGTGTATACCACAGTTTCTTTATTGAAACAAATTTCTAAAGAGCAAATATTTTTAAAGTCTCAGAATGTGAAACTTCAGGGATACCGTGCCCATTTTATTCTTTTCTATTTCCCATCTTATGTATCTGCAAGTGTATAACAAAGCAGCAATTGATGTGTGTATAAATCGATAACTTCAACAATTGCAAAATGTAAATGCTAAGTGGTGTCTGGGCGCGGTCCCTCATGCGTGTAATCCCAGTACTTTGGGAGGCGGAAGCGGCCGGATTACCTGAGGTCGGGAGTTCAAGACCAGCCTGACCAAAATGGAGAAACATTGTCTCTACTAACAATACAACAACAACAACAACAACAAAAAGATAGCCAGGCATGGTAGCGCATGCCTGTAATCCCAGCTACTTGGAAGGCTGAGACAGGAGAATTGCTTGAATATGGGAGGCAGAGGTTGCAGTGAGCCGAGACCGTGCCATTGAACTCCAGCCTGGGCAACAAGAGTGAAACTCTGACTCAAAAAAAAAAAAAAAAAAAAAAAAAAAAAAAGGACAAGAAGGAAATAGAAAATGCGAAATGGTAAGAAAAAACAGCATAATAAACATTCGTATGGTGTTGATGGACAATGCATTTGAAGATAATATTTGAAGAAATCATATTACAATTAATTTCTGTTCTTACTCATTGCAGCTTGATGCCTCTAAAAACTTCGTCATTGGAACCACCTCTGGTGCTTTAAAAGAAAAAAAAAAAAATCCACACACTCACACAGGTGCAAGGAAATCAGAATCTCAGGTATTGAGAACCAGTCCTCATCATGTGTAAGCTGCCCAGGTGATTTGACTCAAAGCCAAGATTGAGGAACGGCGACATGGATATCTACACAGAACCTGCCTAAATAGATTCTCTAGAAGAAGTTTATAAAGAAATTCCACATGAACTGTGGAAGAGGATATGAATTTGATGTACAGTATGTCCTCACTTAACATCTTTGAAAGTCTCTTGGAAACTTCACCTTGAAGCAAAATTATGTATAGTGAAACCACTTATTTTTCATCAACAGTATAACTACACGACTTTGAACAACCAATGCTGTTGGAGGACCTTCTGTACATTGTTTCCATAAAGTCAGTTTTCAGGGAATTCCAAAACGAAGTGAGGACTTCGTGTATATAAAATGATGGTTGTGATTCCACCTGGATGGCATGGTTATTGCTCAGAGACTAAAAGAGGCCACCTAGGTATAGAAGATTCTGTCATGAGGTTTCTGCTAAACCAAGGATCCCAGAATCGTCACTCATTCCAGATAAAGGCATAACGAAGAAAGCAATATTCACAAAGGAAATGCGGAAAGGAATAAAAGCCATCAAGCCACAAAAAGAATGTGACTGAGGGGCAGGATTTGCAGATGTAGAGATTTAATGTGGTTGCCCTTTCTCACCCACACAAGAAAAAGGATGGAACAGATCATGATATTCGACTGCTCTGCTGCGCAGCCTCCGCAGGGCACTTTGTATGTCCCTGTTTCTCAGGCTGCAGATGAAAAGGTTCAGCATGGGGTGACCACAGCGTACATCACTGAAGCCACCACACCATTCCTGGGGGGTGGTGACCCAGCTGAAGTCAGGTACAAGCCAATGCCTGTTCCATAAAACCAGCAAACAACTGCTAGATGACAGCCACAGGTGGAGAAGGCTTTATACTTCCCATCTGACGATGAAATCCTTAGAATGGAGGGGAAAATTTTATAGTAAGACAAAAAGATCCCTGAAATGGGAAGAAAACCAAACATAGTACTATCGAAATATATGAATATGTTATTGATGACGCTGTCAGAACAGGCAAGTTTGAGAAGTTGAGAGGGGTCACAGACCAAATTAGAGATTTCCACATTCTTGATGATGGTTAATTGTAACACAATCCAACTGTGCAGCTGGGAATCCAACAGGCTAAGGAAAAAGGACACCAAAACGAAGAAGACACAGAGGTGAGGATTCACGATGATTGGGTAGTGCAGAGGGCGACAGATGGCTACAAAGCAGTCATAGGCCATCACAGTCAGGAGCATGCCTTCTATACATGCAACAAGGAGCAGGAAAGACATCTGTGTCAGGCAGCCCGCATGAGAGATGACTCTGCTATGCGACTGCGTGTCCACAATCATCTTGGGAACCATGGCCGAGGTGAAACCGATGTCAGGCCAGCACAGGTTGGAGAGGAAGAAGTACATGGGGGTGTGGAGGGGGGAGTCAGAGCTGACAGCCAGGATGCTGAGCAGGTTCCTCAGCACCGTGACCAGATACATGGACAGGGACAGGGACAGCAAAGCGAGGACCGGCTGCAGTTCTGGATCCTCTGAGAGTCCCAGGAGGAGGAATTCTCAGACATCTGTGAGATATTAGTCCCAACATCCCAGAGGGTGTACACTACCCCTGTGATATTGTCCCTAACTTCCAGAGGGGAGAGGATGACATCACTCCCAATATCTCAGAAGTTGTACATCCCCCGTGATATTGTTCGTCATATCCAGGGAGGCGCAGGATGACATTCCATTGAATTTCGCGACAGGCCTACACGCACAGTGTGATACTGTTCCTACTATCCAAGAAGGGAGAGGATGATATTACTCACAATAAAGCAGTGGGTGTACATCACCCCTGTGTTGTTGTCTCTAATATCCGGGGCCGGGGGAGGAGGGGAGAGGATAACATTGCCTCCAATTTAGCAGGTGGTTTGACGCCCCTTGTGCTGTTGTTTTAAATATCCAGCGGGGAAGACAGTAGTACTATTTTTGATAGTCCGATTCATCCTCTCCACCTTTCCGGAACTCTGAGGCCGGGAGGCGGCATGTAGTTTCCGTGTGATCCCCAATACCTTTGCCGTTTTCTGTACCAAGGCAGCCAAAAACGCAGGCCCGTTGTCTGAGCCGATCCATAAGGGCGGTCGAAATCTAGGAATCACATCTCGAAGAAGCACAGGGGTTACTTCACCAGCTTTCTCAGTTCGTGTTGGATAGGCCTCCACCCACCCAGAGTAGGTACGCCCAAGAACCAGTAAATGCTTGTTACCTCCACACTTTGGCATCTCTGTGAAGTCCACCTGGAGACCTTCAAAGGGGGCTGCTCCACAAGCTCGTATGCCGGGCGGAACGGCTGGACCTTGACTCCCATCATGCTGTCAGCAGGTAACACACCGCTGCCTCACCGTTTTGGCAAGGGTTGACAAAGGCGAGATGTAGAAATACCGGCCTAACAACTTTTCCAGTGACTCCTGACCTCGATGGGTGTTTTCTTGCACAGCCAGTACAACTGCAGCTCCTAGCAGCTGTGGCACAGCTACTCTCCTATCTGGTAACTGAATCCATCCTTCCTCCATCACTTGTCCTTCCCTCTACCTGGAGAAAGTCCTTTCTTCTTTAGAAGAAGCAGGTCCAAGATCAGGTGCTTGAGGGAGCACTGATGCCCAGAAGAGGGCAGTTGCTGCTTTTCGAGCCTCTGACTCAGCGCGGGAATTCCCCAAACACAGCAAGGTGGAAGCTCGCTGGTGTCCTCTGCAATGCCTAACTGCCACCTTGTGGGGTTTCCATACTGCTTCTAATCATTGCAAGATTTCTTGTGGATATTTTCTGTCTTTCCCCCCAGAATTCAATAGGCCCTTTTCTTTCTATCACACTCCATGCACTTGAAGGGTTAAAAAGACATACCGAGAATCAGTGTAAGTGTTGACAGTCTCACCCTCACTGAGTTCTAAGGCCCAAATGAAAGCATTGAGTTCAGCTTTCTGGGCTGAAGTGGCCTGGGGCAACGACCTGGTTTCAACAACAGTGTCCAGAGTTATCACTGCATACCCTGCACCTCTCTCTCCTTGGGGGTTGAAGAAGCTGCTCCCATCCACGTGTGGTTCCCAGTCTACTGATGCCCAAGTCTGGTCCCGGAGCTCAGGTCTGCTAGAGTCAATTGAGTCCAACACTTCTACACAATCAGGCTCGACAGGGCTCCCTGATACCGGCAGCAAGGTGGCGGGGTGTAGGGTGTTACAAACTTCAATGGTTATACGGGGATTTTCACAGACCAAAGTTTGGTACTTGGTGAGCCTGGTATTCGTTAGCCAATGACGTCCTTTAGTATTCATCACCACAGCACGGGAGGCCTTTATGTTCAGGTTTCGCCCAAGAGTCAGCTTATTTGCTTCTTATACTAGCAGGGCAGTTGCTGCCAAGACCCTCCAACAGGGGGGCCATCCTTTAGAAACCCCGTCTAGTGGTTTACAGAGGTAGGCCACCAGCCTCAGCCAGGGCCCCACAGTTTGGGTTCAAAGTCCAGCTGCCATCCTTTCTCTCTCTGATGCATACAATGGAAAAGGCTTTGTCAGATCGGGTAGCCTCAGGGCTGGTGCTGCCAGAAGTTTTTCCTTTAACTCATGAAATACTTGCTGTTGTTGGGATCCTCATTCCAAAGATTCCCCGTCCCCGCCCCCCTTGTGACCTCATACAAAAACTTGGCTAATACTGCAAAGTTTGGGATCCACAGTCTACAAAACCCCACAGCTCCTAAGAATTCTCTTACCTGCCTTCTGCTCTTAGGCTCCGCTAGATGGCAAATGACCTGCTTTCTTTCTGATCCCGGGCTGCGTTCCGACCCCTGTCGGATAGTAAATCCCAAGTAACGTACCTGCTGTCGGCAGATCTGAGCTTTCTTCTTGGACACCTTCTACCCACAGTCCTCCAGGTGCGGTGTAGGGCATCTGTTCCCTTGGCACACCCGACTGCCGTGGGGTGTCCCAGCAGAAGGTCATCAACCTACTGGAGCAACACGCAGCCTAGGTCTCTGCTAGGAAACTTCTGGAGGTCTCGAGCCCATGCCTCCCCGAAGATGGTGGGGGAGTTCTTGAACCTTTGGGGAAGCCCGGTCCAAGTGTACTAAGTAGTGACACCTGACTCCGGATCTTCCCACTGAAAGGCAAACAGCTTCTGCCTCTCAGGGGCTAATCTGATAGGAAGGAAAGCGTCTTTTAGGTCCAAGCAGGTGAACCAGCTGTCCTCAGCTGGCGGCAACCCCAACAATGTGGACGGGTTAGGTACTGTTGGATGTAAAGTCAGTGTGGCTTGATGAAGCAAGCGCAAATCCTGTACCGGCCGGTAGTCCTTGGTCCGTGGCTTGGGAACAGGCAGGAGGGGAGTGTTCCATGGAGACTGACAAGGAACAATCATTCCAAACGTTCTTAGGTGCTTGAGATGGACCTGGATACCTTGAAGGGCTTCTCTGGGGACCGAGTCCTGTTTTTGCCTCACCGGCTGGGCCCCAGTCTTAACTGGCCAATCCTGGAGGGTTCTCTTCTGCCCGAACTCTTGGCCAGCGCTTAGCCAGAGCTGGTCTTTTCTCTTTGCCCGGGTCAGTTCAGAAAAGTCTCCATTCCTCCTCTCGGGGGACCATAAGCGTCATAATGACTCCCATTCCGGGTAACTTTAGCAGCAAAGAGCCGTGCTCTGTGAAAGAGGCAGTGGCTCTCAGCTTGCTGAGCAAGTCCCTTCCTGAAAAGTTCAAGAGACTGTCAGGCATGTAACAAAACTGATGAATGACTTTATGTCCTCCTACAGGACAAGTCCAAGGCAAGCAGAAAGCTTGCTTTGCTGAAACCCCCGTGGCTCCGATGACGTCAGTAGTCTTTTTCGGTAAGGGGACGACCGGGGCGGTTACTAGCGAATGTTCAGCACCGCTATCTACAAGAAAGTTAATGTCTCCACCCCTGACTGTCATTCTGAACAGATGTCAGAATGGGGATGCTTGAGCCCGGTCTCCCTCAGTCCAAGAACCCTTCTGCCAGGTTGAGCAGGGCCCCTTCCTCCTTGTCCGGGGCCTCTGGCTCTGAGTCACCTTCTTTTCTTTTGAGCTGAGGGCATTTGTTCTTCCACTGTCCTATTTCTTTACAATCAGCACACTGGTTACGCTGCAAACTCTGACAGCCAAGCTGAGTTTCTTTCCCAGGGCCCCCTTTCCCTTGCCTCTTTGCGGGGGCCCCTCTGATTGCTGCAGCTGACAAACAGGTCGGCGTGTGGCCGGGACTGACCTCCATCCTCTTTGCCGTTTTCCTTACGGCTTACTGCATACCTGTTTACAAACACCTGGCTAGCTATTTCTAGTAATTGGGATGGATTCTTCCCTGCAAGCCCAGTCTGTTTCTGCAGTTTTCTTCTCATGTCTTCTGCACTTTGATGGACTAAAGCCATGTGAATCATGCGCTGATTTTCAGGGCTATCGGGATCAAAGGGAGTATACATATGATA
Source organism: Homo sapiens (assembly GCF_000001405.40). Classification (NCBI taxonomy): domain Eukaryota; kingdom Metazoa; phylum Chordata; class Mammalia; order Primates; family Hominidae; genus Homo; species Homo sapiens. The sequence continues at coordinate 8,036,106 of NC_000008.11, read as the reverse complement.
GGCCTCATACAGTCTCTCGTAGAATTGTGCTGGACTTTCTTCTTTTCCCTGAATGACCTCAGAGAGCTTGTTAACGTTTGTGGCCTTCTGAGCTCCCCTCATTAATCCTTCCAAGAGAGCTTCCCTGTCTCGGTTTAGCCTTTGCATCTCCTCTCTTTCATGTAGGTCCAACTGGGGGTCGGTTCCTGGCAACTGGGTCCTTCCATACTGTTGGGGGTTTTGATAATCAGCTGGTGCATGTTCCTCTAGCCACTTAGTTGCTGCTTGGAGGACTCTCTGCCTTTCTTCACTGTTAAAGAGGAAAATGAGCAACTGGTGCCAATCGGTCCAGGTGTGGTTATGGGTCTGGATAACAGTTTGGAGCAAATCAATTAGGGCTTGTGGCTTTTCGGTATAGGGCGATGTATTATTTTTCCAGTTGAGAAGGTCGACGCAGGTGAAGGGCTGGTACCCAAAAACACGTCTCTCCACTACATGAGCATTTTCATCTATCCCAGTATACCGCTGCTCTCTCAGGGGCATTTGTGTCCCCGTTTTGGGTCGTAAACGAGCTGCCGAGGAAGGGGTGGAATGGCGCAATGCGACTTACCGCAATTAATAATCTCAATTATGAACTGACACTAATAATTATCAATATTAATAACCCATAATATAATTTTTAAAATCAATACCGATACTAATGATAATTAATATTAAATAGTTATACTAACAATAACAATACATGATTAATATTAATGATTATGACGCCTGATATTAATAACTGATACGGATCTTATTCATTAGAAAATAGTAATATTAGCTCCTAATAATTAATATTAATATTAATAATCTGAGAACTTTTTATTAGCAATTACTTCTTAATATTAATATTAATATCGGCCATTCATATTCATGTTAATAAAAAACAAGGAATAATTCATACTAATAGTATGCCCTAATACCTCAGTGGGTGTACACCCACCTGTGATATTGTTCCTAATGTTCAGGGAGTGAGAGAGCATGATATTACGTAGAATATCGCAGCAGGTGCACACCCAGCCGGTGATATTGATCCGAATATAATCTCCAGGGGGTGGAGTATAACATTACTCCCAATATAGCACTGGGTGTGCATCCACCCGGTGATTTTGTTCCTAACATTCATGGAAGAAGAGAATGCTATTACTCCCAACATCGTAGGAAGTGTACACCCCCGTGTGACATGGTTCTTAATAATATTCCAAGGCGGAGGGGGTGATATGACTACACATATGGCAGAAAGTGGACACCCCCAAGGATATTGTTCCCACGATCCTGGAGGGAAGAGGATGATATTACTTTCAGTATCACAGAAGGTGGACACGCCCCCACTGATATTGTTTCTAATTGCAACGTGGGAGAGGATGATATGACACGCGATATCCCAGGGAGTAGAAACACCCCTGTGATACTGTTCTTAATATTCAGAGAGGAAGAGGATGATATGACTCCCAATACAGACGGGTGTACAACCTCTGTACGCCGGGGTGAACACCGGTGGGTGAAACAGTTCACAATCTCCAGAGCGGGAGACGATATTACTCACAATATGATAAACAGGCTGTGAGTCCACCGCGGATCCTAAAAACCAGGGGGGCAAGAGGGGTTAGCTCTTACTCTCCGCATGGCGGGGCGTGCCTCACCCCCTGCGATGGGGGTCCTAAGAGCCAGGAGGTAAGATGGGAAGGCTCTTAATACCCGCATCAAGGGGCGTGCCTCACACCACTGCGATGGGGGTCCTGAGAGCCAGCGGGGCAAGAGGGGCTGGCTCTTACCCCAAGCATAGCAGGACGTGACTCACCCCGCTGCGATGGGGGAAACTAAGAGCCAGGGGGGCAAGAGGGTTTGGCTCTTACAACCCGAAATGGGGGGAGTGCCTCACACCCTGCGATGGGGGTCCTAAGAGCCAGGGAAGCAAGAGGGGCTGCCGGAGACAGCGGCTGTCCTCCATCTAAATTGCAAGAGGCTTTCCTCTTTGACTAATCCACCTCGGCACAGACCCTTTACGGGTCTCAGGCTGGGGGCCAGTCAGGTCTTTAACATCCCACGGGGCCATATTTCAGACTGTTACATGGGGAGAAACCTTGGACAATAACCTGCTTTCAAGGGCAGAGGTCGCTGCGGCTTTCGACGGTGCATAGTGCCCCTGGTTTATTGAAACTAGAGAATGGCAATGACTTTTACCAAGTATACTGCTCGCAAACATTTGGTTAACAAAGCACGTCCTGCACAGCCCTAGATCCCTTAAACCTCGATTTTATACAACACAGGTTTTCTGAGCTCCCAGTTGGGTCAAGGGGGCTGGGGCAAAGTGGATGAGGCAAGGCAACAAATGAACAACATCTCAGCAAAGCAATTGTTTAAACTACAGGTCTTTTTCAAAATGGAGTCTCTTATGTCTTCCCCTTCTACATAGACACAGTGACAGTCTGATCTCTCTTTCTTTACCCTACATCCAAGGGCTTGAACATTTCTTGACTTGTTGGCAATCCAAATCGTTACGTCTCCGAAACAGAGTTGACTGAGGGGACCGCAGGGCTGGGCAGGACCTTTGACTTCCTATACATCCACAGGAGCAAGAAAACCTCAGCCCCACTCTACCAACACGCACCTAGTAAAATTCCGCCAACCGAATCTCACGCACGCTAACACGTGGGGAGCGTTGCTTGCACCACAAGTCCCCATTTGGCTCAACCGCCGATGCCAAGTGTGTGGTTCCAGTTGCGACGGCCCCCCGTGAAGTGGCTTCCGGATGTGCGAAGGAACCAGGCAGAGTTTCACTGGCCAAATAGACCCCAGCAAAGCTGAAGTTAACTCCCACATTTGGGATGTACTTCAGAGGTAAAACATTCATCCCGTCTTCTTTCCGGATGTCTGACACCATGGTTCTCCCCCTGATCCTAAGAGTAGCTGAGGCAGAGACTCACTGAAAGATCTAGGCGGGGATATCCCATCATGCACAGGCTCTCTCCATTCTCTGACCTGGGAACAACTCTCAGCAGGATTCCACATCTAGGAGGCCTCGGAACTCAGCGGGATTTTCTGAGACACACCAACTGGCTGCTCCCTCTCCGCCGCTGTTGAGGGTCGTTATCTTGATTATCCAGATCAACTAGAAAGTATCCGTATCCAGAATGAATAAGATCAACTCTCTGCTCCTCTGACAGCAGAAGGAGCAGGACCGTAAGGAACCAAAGAGCGTGGAAGGAAACGATGTGACAGGAAAGCTCAGAGAACGGCCACAGGGGGTCTTCAGCAGGCCTTCCAACCTGAATCATGAATAATTAATGGAGCGCAAATCAAAGGGGACTCGAGTTTCAGCAGGAGCAATCCATCCAACGGGAGATCGCCGGAGGGCCAACAAGATTGAGTGACTGGGAGCCGGGTGCAGTGTCAAAGGGGACGCGACTGGTTCCAAAGCTCGAGAAGACCATGGGGTCACTTGGGCTACATGAGAAAACGCCCCAGTGTGCTGGTTCATCATTCCGACTCCTGCCTGTCTCTTCCCGTCCAAGGAACATGGACCCTAAGTCGTGCAGGTGCGGATGACCATGGGCAGAATTAGGGGCCGTGGCACAAAAGTTCACCGACACGGGAGTTCCACAGAAGGTGCGGTGGATCTTCGCAAATCCAGAGACATGGCAATGGGACCCAGGGAATTAGAGCCTCACAGGCGTCCGGGAGACTTTTCAGGCATAATGCCTGGAGTCGCAAGACGAGCTGAAAAAGGAGCCAGGCACTGAAGGACAAAGCGTTGTTGACTTTCCTCATCTGTGTTTCCCAGTGCGGTCCAATTCACGGTTGTTTCCAAGCGCCTCCTGGGGGAGAAAACACAAGAGGGTGCGGTCAGGGTTCTCTGCTGACAGACTTAACTTGGGGAAGAAAGAGAAGCTCTGAAGATGGATCATGGCCGTGACTGCATGTCAAGGAGAGTCTCCTTGATGACACTGAGGCCTACGTCGAGATAGACAAAATGTGGTCCAATTAAAAGGTGTCTATTTTACCACATTTTTTAAAACAAAACAAAACAAAACAACAAAAAAGATGGAAAAGAAGACAGGGGTACAGGCACCAGTGTTACATGTCTGACGGGGAACATCTATTGTTCAAAGCTTGCAGCTGTACAAGTAGGTTTTAGAATGTCTGTCAGCAGTGGACATGATCTTAGAGTGGGCTGTGCAGATAGACCTTTCCAGGTCATGTAATTGGATTAAGTTAATTGCAATTAAGGTACAGGTAACTGATTAGGTTAGGGTACGTTCCATGTCAGGTGACCAGAGGCAGTATAAAAGGCAGCCTGGAAAGCAGAGGTCCCTCTCTGCCCCTTCCTCCGTCGTCCTGGATGCTGCATCGCTTCCAGCCGGGCTGCTGCAGCACCTGCCCATCTCAGCGCCAGCCTGGGAAAGAACGTAGACGTGTAATTTCAGGTTAGTTTCGCTGAACAATTGTTTGTTTCACGCAATCCCTGAGGGGTATTTGCGGGGGGTGTGGGGGAGGAAGAGACAAAGGAGGCCGAAAGAAACCGATCACACTGGGGCTTGCTGGTGGGGTAGGATGTGTTCTCGTTACTAGTAATTCTTGGAACAGAAAACGAGAAAACATACCCGTCTCCACGTGTGGGAGAAGACCAAGATGGGAATGCGAAAAGAAATGTACTGCAGCATGCTGAATTGGTGGGTAAATGGAAAAAGGACTTTGGAAAAAAGGGGGTTTTGCCCTTCAGCCGTGTAAGACGTCGATACGATACGGCACTTCTTCCCCGTTTGTTCAGATGAATTCGTGTGGTGTGCGTAAAATACCAGGAAAATAAATAAAGAGGGGCTGGAGCTAAAGCCAAAAGATAGAACAGGAAAGACCATCACCTGCTACTGCGGTAGAGAGGAAGGTAACTTCTCTGTATGAATTTGTGTTTGGAGGTTGCCTAATGAAACGGCAAGAGTGGCGATTCAAGTTGTCACAGGAAGCATCCCTTATCCGTGACTTCAAGCAGACCTGCCAAAGGGTGGCACACGCCATGCCCTGTGTCTTCGATCATTCTGTCCGTCAAGGGAGATAGAATCACCGTGTCTTCTACCGGAGTGAATCGTGAGAGACCTAAGTCCAGTCTCCAGAATCAGTTGTTTGTTTGGGGTTGAAAGCTCAACCCCCCATACCTAGGCCACGGGCCCTGTGGCAGGTGGGGTTTACTCTTGGACTAGGTAGTCATGGCAGAGGAACACACAATATCCGAGGATGCGCACAGCACATTGTGTTCTACAGATTTGACCGACTGGTGGTGAGGTCTCCTCATGACCACACAGGCAGGGAGTTAGCAGGTGGCTTCCTGTGGGTGTGTGAATATCCAACGTTTTAACCATCGACATGTGTGTGTTTGTGTGTGTTTCAGGTGGCCCAACAGTCCACCCCTGAAAAAGGCGGTCATAAAACCCCCAGGAGACGAAGATGATGGCACGTCGGGACCCCAAATCTTGGGCCAAGAGACTGGTGAGAGCCCAGACCCTCCAGAAGCAGCGGAGGGCCCCAGTTGGGCCAAGGGCTCCCCCGCCCGATGAAGAAGATCCCAGGGTAAGTCTAGCCCTGGATCTCTTGGGTATCGGGGTGGGGGTGGGGACGGGGGGAGGGGGTGTCCCACGGTCCTCAGAGACTGGGTTGGATTCCAAAGAGTTCTGTCACCACCAGCCAGGTTGCTTTTCCCATCCAAGGTGGGCGTGGCTTGGGACCTTCTCCCCGGCCCGATAGGTCCCTTGAGAGACTCTTGGGGGCAACCTCCCTTTCTACTTAGAGTCCTGTGTAGCCACGTTTGGCTGCGTTGTTGACATCGGCTTCACCATCGTGCCCCTTGGAACCTTGAGTCCTTCCTTTCAGAGTTCCTCCGTCACATGGGCTTTGCGAGGGAACATCGTATCCGAAGTCTCCCAGCACTTAACGGCCCCCATGCCGGTGTCCCCTCTTTGGAATCCTTATTCAGCTCTGAATTCACAATCCGTCCCAATGTTGACGTGGGATCGCTGCCTGTGGCTTCAGCTCACTCACTGACATCACTTCCTTTCCACCCACAGCTCAAGTGCAAAAACTGCGGGGCCTTTGGCCACACGGCCAGAAGTACCAGGTGCCCCATGAAGTGCTGGAAGGCAGCCCTGGTTCCAGCGACCTTGGGGAAAAAGGAAGGGAAGGAAAACCTGAAACCATGGAAGCCCCGGGCTGAAGCCAACCCGGGGCCTTTGAACAAGGATAAGGGAGAGAAGGAAGAGAGACCAAGGTGAGCAGTGGGAGGGGTTTTCACCACTCTTAGGGTACGGCCTCCTAAGGACATGGTGTCTCTGCACCTGCACACCGTGTGCCTTTCCGTCTCCGGGCCAGGGAAGGAACGCTGCAGAGAAATAGGCCGGAGCTCCGTGTCCTCCGGGGTTCCATACCCAGGAGCTCCTTGGGCTCTGGGAGATTCAGGGACGGGGAGAGGCGGGGGCGCTTCGTGCAGGTTCCCCACGACAGCGGGAAAAGCGATGGAATCCAAATCACAGTCCTTAGTTGGGAAGCCTAGAGGGCCACCTGGAGGATGGGAAGGTTGGCACGTGAGGGAAGGTGCAGAGGCGGAAAGGGCACCAGATGTCCATTTCTGTATCACAAAACACGGAATGGGGCTGGGCCCCAGACGGGGTTCTCCCTGTCTCCTGGGGAAAACCAGGGGGCACGGCCTGACCTTCTTCTGTTCTGCAGGCAACAAGACCCGCAGAGGAAGGCTCTCCTCCACATGTTTTCCGGGAAACCTCCAGAGAAGCCGCTGCCGAATGGAAAAGGATCCACGGAATCTTCTGATTATCTGAGGGCGAGTGTCACCCCGGGCCCCTGGTCTTTTTCTCCTCTAGGTCACCCTGGTTGATTTCCTTTCAGCTTCCCGTCTGCGGGAGGAAATCGGGGAACCCCTCTTTCTTGCCTTCTTGGGGTCAGGGACTCCACGATCCTTCCAGGTCAATTGGATTCCAGGCGAAGGCATCTGAACATGCCGTATTTCCTGTTGCTTTCTTTCTGTCCAATTATGGCAAGCCTGCCAACAACACGTTCCTAGCGGCATGAGGAAATTAGTCCCTCAGAGGCCCCAAACGTGGAGAAGGCGAAACCCAGAAACATGCATGTGTTCAGAGAAGACGTCCCGAGTACCCTTGAGCCAGCAACCTGCCTTGGGAAGGGCATTAGTCCGTTCCACTTCATGGAAGGCTGAGTGGAGGCGCTTTGATCCAGTTAATGCCCAAGACGCGATCTTTTGAACAATGGTGTGCTTAGATGAGCTACACATAGCTCGAGAGCGCATCTTTCATGTGTCTTGTCCTGATCAGCACTCAGGTGGAGGGTCTGTCCCTACTTCCAAGGACCGCCTGTCGATACTGTACTAAGAATTTCATGGCGTGTGCACCTTGTCTTTGGATGTGCTTGATTTTCACGTTGGCTCCATGCTGAGGAACTTCTAACCTGTGTTGTTTCCTCTCTTTCAGGTTGCAAGCGGGCCAATGCCGGTCCACACAAGCAGTAAGAGGCCGCGCTTGGACCCTATCCTCGCTGATCGCTCAGCTACCGCAATGTCTGGCAGGGGCTCCGTCTTGGCTTCACTGTCTCCCCTCAGAAAAGCCAGCCTGAGCTCCTCCTCAAGTCTTGGACCAAAGGAAAGACAGACAGGGGCTGCGGCCGACATGCCTCAGCCTGCAGTCAGGCACGAGGGCCGCGAGCCTCTCCTCGTGGTGAAGCCGACACACAGCCGCCCCGAGGGTGGCTGCCGAGAAGTTCCCCAGGCTGCCTCCAAAACCCACGGACTGCCCCAGGCCGCCAGACCCCAGGCACAAGACAAACGTCCTGCGGTGACCTCACTGCCCTGCCCGCCAGCCGCCACACACAGCTTGGGCCTAGGCTCCAATCTCAGCTTCGGGCCAGGAGCCAAGAGACCTGCCCAGGCTCCGATTCAGGCTTGCCTGAACTTCCCCAAGAAACCGAGACTGGGTCCCTTCCAGATCCCCGAAAGCGCCATCCAGGGAGGTGAGCTGGGGGCCCCGGAGAATCTCCAACCTCCGCCAGCCGCAACCGAACTTGGACCAAGTACGTCGCCCCAGATGGGCAGGAGGACACCGGCCCAGGTGCCCAGCGTCGACCGGCAGCCTCCGCACAGCAGACCTTGCCTGCCTACTGCCCAGGCCTGCACCATGTCCCATCACTCAGCGGCCAGCCATGATGGGGCCCAGCCTCTCAGAGTGCTCTTCCGGAGACTGGAAAACGGACGCTGGAGCTCCAGCCTCCTGGCGGCCCCCTCATTTCACTCTCCTGAGAAGCCGGGAGCCTTCCTCGCTCAGAGCCCTCATGTGTCAGAGAAGTCTGAGGCTCCCTGTGTTCGTGTCCCACCGAGCGTCCTCTATGAGGACCTTCAGGTTTCCTCCTCCTCAGAGGACAGCGATTCTGACCTGGAGTGAGACTGCAGGTGGCAGGGGCTCCTTGGCCTCCAGCTCCCGTGACTTGGAGGGGACTGTGGGACTGAGGAGCGCAGAGCAGAGAGCACACTCTGTGCGGTGACTCCGAAGCTCCCCGGCTGTGGCGCTTCTGTGGATGTGGGAGCCCAGGCCAGGCAGGGAGCAGATGCAGGGACTCTGCCTCATTGAATTCTGGTGAGGGACGTTGTAGTTGGCGTGGTTCTCCGGAAACGCGCCAGGAAAAGCTTCCGTGCCAGAGATTCGTTGCCTCAGAAACTGCGTGACGCGCAGGAGTCAGACTTCCGCTGGGACGTCAATAGGAAACTGGGGAATTACTGTGTATTTGCTGTCTAGATGACTGAATAAGGGAAAAGTTAGGGAACCCTGAGAGGTGCAGCCCTTCCGCTGTGCCCCGCCCTGAGAGCAGTGTTTCGGACGCTGGGAAGCGTGCTGTGCGAAGCGCTCTCGGGGTCTTTCCTCAGCCTCGAAAACTGGGCTCTGGAATGCCTTTGTACATATGTGTGTTTAATGTGTTTTGAAGTGAATAAAATTCTCAAAAAGATGACATATTGTCTTTTGACTCTCATTCCGTGTTTGTGTGTAACTGATTTTCCAAGTGAAGGGGTGGCCTGCCCCTCCACACCTGTGGGTGATTCTAGTCGGGTGGGATGAGAGACGGAGAAAAGAAATAAGACACAGAGACAAAGTATAGGGAGACAACAGTGGGTCCAGGGGACCGGCACTCAGCACACCTAGGACCTGCACCGGCACCGGCCTCTGAGTTCCCTCAGTTTTTATTGATTATGATTTTCATTATTTCAGCACAAAGGAATGCAGTAGGGGAGCAGGGTGATAATAAGGGTAAGGTCAACAACAACAACAACAAAACAAACACGTGAGCAAAAGAATCCATATCATTATTAAGTTCAAGGGAAGGTACTATGCCTGGACGTGCACGTAGGCCAGATTTATGTTTCTCTCCACACAAATATCTCAGCGGAGTAAAGAATAACAAGGCAGCATTACTGCCAACATGTCTCGCCTCCCGCCACAGGGCAGCTTTTCTCCGAGCTCAGAGTTGAACAAATGAACGATCGGGCTTTACACCGAGACATTGAGTTCCCAGGGGCAAGCAGGAGACAGTGGCCTTCCTCCATCTGAACTGCAAGAGGCTTTCCTCTTTGACTAATCCACCTCAGCACAGACCCATTGCGGGTGTCACGCTGGGGGACAGTCAGGTCTTTCCCATCCCACGAGGCCATATTTCAGACTGACACATGGGGAGAAACCTTGGACAATACCCTGCTTTCAAGGGCAGAGGTCCCTGTGGCTTTCCACGGTGCATTGCACCCGTGGTTTATTGAGACTGGAGAATGGCAATGACTTCTACCAAGTATACTGCTCGTAAACATTTGGTTAACAAGGCGCGTCCTGCACAGCCCTAGATCCCTTAAACCTCGATTTTATACAACACAGGTTTTTGTGAGCTCCAAGTTGGGTCAAAGGAAGGGGCTGCGGCAAAGCTACAAATGATCAACATCTCAGTAAAGCAATTGTTTAAAGTACAGGTCTTTTTCAAAATGGAGTCTCTTATGTCTTCCCCTTCTACATAGACACAGTGACAGTCTGATCTCTCTTTCTTTACCCTACATCCAAGGGCTTGAACATTTCTTGATTTGTTGGCAATCCAAATCGTTACGTCTCCGAAACAGAGTTGACTGAGGGGACCGCAGGGCTGGGCAGGACCTTTGACTTCCTATACATCCACAGGAGCAAGAAAACCTCAGCCCCACTCTACCAACACGCACCTAGTAAAATTCCGCCAACCGAATCTCACGCACGCTAACACGTGGGGAGCGTTGCTTGCACCACGAGTCCCCATTTGGCTCAACCGCCGATGCCAAGTGTGTGGTTCCAGTTGCGACGGCCCCCCGTGAAGTGGCTTCCGGATGTGCGAAGGAACCAGGCAGAGTTTCACTGGCCAAATAGACCCCAGCAAAGCTGAAGTTAACTCCCACATTTGGGATGTACTTCAGAGGTAAAACATTCATCCCGTCTTCTTTCCGGATGTCTGACACCATGGTTCTCCCCCTGATCCTAACAGTAGCTGAGGCAGAGACTCACTAAAAGATCTAGGCGGGGATATCCCATCATGCACAGGCTCTCTCCATTCTCTGACCTGGGACCAACTCTCAGTAGGATTCCACATCTAGGAGGCCTCGGAACTCAGCGGGATTTTCTGAGACACACCAACTGGCTGCTCCCTCTCCGCCGCTGTTGAGGGTCGTTATCTTGATTATCCAGATCAACTAGAAAGTATCCGTATCCAGAATGAATAAGATCAACTCTCTGCTCCTCTGACAGCAGAAGGAGCAGGACCATAAGGAACCAAAGAGCGTGGAAGGAAACGATGTGACAGGAAAGCTCAGAGAACGGCCACAGGGGGTCGTCAGCAGGCCTTCCAACCTGAATCATGAATAATTAATGAAGCGCAAATCAAAGGGGACTCGAGTTTCAGCAGGAGCAATTCATCCAACGGGAGATCGCCGGAGGGCCAACAAGATTGAGTGACTGGGAGCCGGGTGCAGTGTCAAAGGGGAGGCGACTGGTTCCAAAGCTCGAGAAGACCATGGGGTCACTTGGGCTACATGAGAAAACACCCCAGTGTGCTGGTTCATCATTCCGACTCCTGCCTGTCTCTTCCCGTCCAAGGAACATGGACCCTAAGTCGTGCAGGTGTGGATGACCATGGGCAGAATTAGGGGCCGTGGCACAAAAGTTCACCGACACGGGAGTTCCACAGAAGGTGCGGTGGATCTTCGCAAATCCAGAGACATGGCAATGGGACCCAGGGAATTAGAGCCTCACAGGCGTCCGGGAGACTTTTCAGGCATAATGCCTGGAGTCGCAAGACGAGCTGAAAAAGGAGCCAGGCACTGAAGGACAAAGCGTTGTTGACTTTCCTCATCTGTGTTTCCCAGTGTGGTCCAATTCACGGTGGTTTCCAAGCGCCTCCTGGGGGAGAAAACACATGAGGGTGCGGTCAGGGTTCTCTGCTGACAGACTTACCTTGGGGAAGAAAGAGAAGCTCTGAAGATGGATCATGGCCGTGACTGCATGTCAAGCAGAGTCTCCTTGATGACACTGAGGCCTACGTCGAGATAGACAAAATGTGGTCCAATTAAAAGGTGTCTATTTTACCACATTTTTTAAAACAAAACAAAACAAAACAACAAAAAAGATGGAAAAGAAGACAGGGGTACAGGCACCAGTGTTACATGTCTGACGGGGAACATCTATTGTTCAAAGCTTGCAGCTGTACAAGTAGGTTTTAGAATGTCTGTCAGCAGTGGACATGATCTTAGAGTGGGCTGTGCAGATAGACCTTTCCAGGTCATGTAATTGGATTAAGTTAATTGCAATTAAGGTACAGGTAACTGATTAGGTTAGGGTACGTTCCATGTCAGGTGACCAGAGGCAGTATAAAAGGCAGCCTGGAAAGCGGAGGTCCCTCTCCGCCCCTTCCTCCGTCGTCCTGGATGCTGCATCGCTTCCAGCCGGGCTGCTGCAGCACCTGCCCATCTCAGCGCCAGCCTGGGAAAGAAAGTAGACGTGTAATTTCAGGTTAGTTTCGCTGAACAATTGATTGTTTCACGCAATCCCTGAGGTGGTTTTGCGGGGGTTGTGGGGGAGGAAGAGACAAAGGAGGCCGAAAGAAACCGATCACACTGGGGCTTGCTGGTGGGGTAGGATGTGTTCTCGTTACTAGTAATTCTTGGAACAGAAAACGAGAAAACATATCCGTCTCCACGTGTGGGAGAAGACCAAGATGGGAATGCGAAAAGAAATGTACTGCAGCATGCTGAATTGGTGGGTAAATGGAAAAAGGACTTTGGAAAAAAGGGGGGTTTGCCCTTCAGCCGTGTAAGACGTCGATACGATACGGCACTTCTTCCCCGTTTGTTCAGATGAATTCGTGTGGTGTGCGTAAAATACCAGGAAAATAAATAAAGAGGGGCTGGAGCTAAAGCCAAAAGATAGAACAGGAAAGATCATCACCTGCTAGTGCGGTAGAGAGGAAGGTAACTTCTCTGTATGAATTTGTGTTTGGAAGTTGCCTAATGAAATGGCAAGAGTAGCGATTCAAGTTGTCACAGGAAGCATCCCTTATCCGTGACTTCAAGCAGACCTGCCAAAGGGTGGCACACGCCATGCCCTGTGTCTTCGATCATTCTGTCCGTCAAGGGAGATAGAATCACCGTGTCTTCTACCGGAGTGAATCGTGAGAGACCTAAGTCCAGTCTCCAGAATCAGTTGTTTGTTTGGGGTTGAAATCTCAACCCCCCATACCTAGGCCACGGGCCCTGTGGCAGGTGGGATTTACTCTTGGACTAGGTAGTCATGGCAGAGGAACACACAATATCCGAGGATGCGCACAACACATTGTGTTCTACAGATTTGACCGACTGGTGGTGAGGTCTCCTCATGACCACACAGGCAGGGAGTTAGCAGGTGGCTTCCTGTGGGTGTGTGAATATCCAACGTGCTTAACCATCGACATGTGTGTGTTTGTGTGTGTTTCAGGTGGCCCAACAGTCCACCCCTGAAAAAGGCGGTCATAAAACCCCCAGGAGACGAAGATGATGGCACGTCGGGACCCCACATCTTGGGCCAAGAGACTGGTGAGAGCCCAGACCCTCCAGAAGCAGCGGAGGGCCCCAGTTGGGCCAAGGGCTCCCCCGCCCGATGAAGAAGATCCCAGGGTAAGTCTAGCCCTGGATCTCTTGGGTATCGGGGTGGGGGTGGGGTCGGGGGGAGGGGGTGTCCCACGGTCCTCAGAGACTGGGTTGGATTCCAAAGAGTTCTGTCACCACCAGCCAGGTTGCTTTTCCCATCCAAGGTGGGCGTGGCTTGGGACCTTCTCCCCGGCCCGATAGGTCCCTTGAGAGACTCTTGGGGGCAACCTCCCTTTCTACTTAGAGTCCTGTATAGCCACGTTTGGCTGCGTTGTTGACATCGGCTTCACCATCGTGCCCCTTGGAACTTTGAGTCCTTCCTTTCAGAGTTCCTCCGTCCCGTGGGCTTTGCGAGGGAACATCGTATCCGAACTCTCCCGGCACTTAACGGCCCCCATGCCGGTGTCCCCTCTTTGGAATCCTTATTCAGCTCTGAATTCACAATCCGTCCCAATGTTGACGTGGGATCGCTGCCTGTGGCTTCAGCTCACTCACTGACATCACTTCCTTTCCACCCACAGCTCAAGTGCAAAAACTGCGGGGCCTTTGGCCACACGGCCAGAAGTACCAGGTGCCCCATGAAGTGCTGGAAGGCAGCCCTGGTTCCAGCGACCTTGGGGAAAAAGGAAGGGAAGGAAAACCTGAAACCATGGAAGCCCCGGGGTGAAGCCAACCCGGGGCCCTTGAACAAGGATAAGGGAGAGAAGGAAGAGAGACCAAGGTGAGCAGTGGGAGGGGTTTTCACCACTCTTAGGGTACTGCCTCCTAAGGACATGGTGTCTCTGCACCTGCACACCGTGTGCCTTTCCGTCTCCGGGCCAGGGAAGGAACGCTGCAGAGAAATAGGCCGGAGCTCCGTGTCCTCCGGGGTTCCACACCCAGGAGCTCCTTGGGCTCTGGGAGATTCAGGGACGGGGAGAGGCGGGGGCGCTTCGTGCAGGTTCCCCACGACAGCGGGAAAAGCGATGGAATCCAAATCACAGTCCTTAGTTGGGAAGCCTAGAGGGCCACCTGGAGGATGGGAAGGTTGGCACGTGAGGGAAGGTGCAGAGGCGGAAAGGGCACCAGATGTCCATTTCTGTATCACAAAACACGGAATGGGGCTGGGCCCCAGACGGGGTTCTCCCTGTCTCCTGGGGAAAACCAGGGGGCACGGCCTGACCTTCTTCTGTTCTGCAGGCAACAAGACCCGCAGAGGAAGGCTCTCCTCCACATGTTTTCCGGGAAACCTCCAGAGAAGCCGCTGCCGAATGGAAAAGGATCCACGGAATCTTCTGATTATCTGAGGGCGAGTGTCACCCCGGGCCCCTGGTCTTTTTCTCCTCTAGGTCACCCTGGTTGATTTCCTTTCAGCTTCCCGTCTGCGGGAGGAAATCGGGGAACCCCTCTTTCTTGCCTTCTTGGGGTCAGGGACTCCACGATCCTTCCAGGTCAATTGGATTCCAGGCGAAGGCATCTGAACATGCCGTATTTCCTGTTGCTTTCTTTCTGTCCAATTATGGCAAGCCTGCCAACAACACGTTCCTAGCGGCATGAGGAAATTAGTCCCTCAGAGGCCCCAAACGTGGAGAAGGCGAAACCCAGGAACATGCATGTGTTCAGAGAAGACGTCCCGAGTACCCTTGAGCCAGCAACCTGCCGTGGGAAGGGCATTAGTCCGTTCCACTTCATGGAAGGCTGAGTGGAGGCGCTTTGATCCAGTTAATGCCCAAGACGCGATCTTTTGAACAATGGTGTGCTTAGATCAGCTACACATAGCTCGAGAGCGCATCTTTCATGTGTCTTGTCCTGATCAGCACTCAGGTGGAGGGTCTGTCCCTACTTCCAAGGACCGCCTGTCGATACTGTACTAAGAATTTCATGGCGTGTGCACCTTGTCTTTGGATGTGCTTGATTTTCACGTTGGCTCCATGCTGAGGAACTTCTAACCTGGGTTGTTTCCTCTCTTTCAGGTTGCAAGCGGGCCAATGCCGGTCCACACAACCAGTAAGAGGCCGCGCTTGGACCCTGTCCTCGCTGATCGCTCCGCAACCGAAATGTCTGGCAGGGGCTCCGTCTTGGCTTCACTGTCTCCCCTCAGAAAAGCCAGCCTGAGCTCCTCCTCAAGTCTTGGACCAAAGGAAAGACAGACTGGGGCTGCGGCCGACATGCCTCAGCCTGCAGTCAGGCACCAGGGCCGCGAGCCTCTCCTCGTGGTGAAGCCGACACACAGCCGCCCCGAGGGTGGCTGCCGAGAAGTTCCCCAGGCTGCCTCCAAAACCCACGGCCTGCTCCAGGCCTCCAGACCCCAGGCACAAGACAAACGTCCTGCGGTGACCCCACAGCCCTGCCCGCCAGCCGCCACACACAGCTTGGGCCTAGGCTCCAATCTCAGCTTCGGGCCAGGAGCCAAGAGACCTGCCCAGGCTCCGATTCAGGCTTGCCTGAACTTCCCCAAGAAACCGAGACTGGGTCCCTTCCAGATCCCCGAAAGCGCCATCCAGGGAGGTGAGCTGGGGGCCCCGGAGAATCTCCAACCTCCGCCAGCCGCAACCGAACTTGGACCAAGTACGTCGCCCCAGATGGGCAGGAGGACACCGGCCCAGGTGCCCAGCGTCGACCGGCAGCCTCCGCACAGCAGACCTTGCCTGCCTACTGCCCAGGCCTGCACCATGTCCCATCACTCAGCGGCCGGCCATGATGGGGCCCAGCCTCTCAGAGTGCTCTTCCGGAGACTGGAAAACGGACGCTGGAGCTCCAGCCTCCTGGCGGCCCCCTCATTTCACTCTCCTGAGAAGCCGGGAGCCTTTCTCGCTCAGAGCCCTCATGTGTCAGAGAAGTCTGAGGCTCCCTGTGTTCGTGTCCCACCGAGCGTCCTCTATGAGGACCTTCAGGTTTCCTCCTCCTCAGAGGACAGCGATTCTGACCTGGAGTGAGACTGCAGGTGGCAGGGGCTCCTTGGCCTCCAGTTCCCGTGACTTGGAGGGGACTGTGGGACTGAGGAGCGCAGAGCAGAGAGCACACTCTGTGCGGTGACTCCGAAGCTCCCCGGCTGTGGCGCTTCTGTGGATGTGGGAGCCCAGGCCAGGCAGGGAGCAGATGCAGGGACTCTGCCTCATTGAATTCTGGTGAGGGACGTTGTAGTTGGCGTGGTTCTCCCGAAACGCGCCAGGAAAAGCTTCCGTGCCAGAGATTCGTTGCCTCAGAAACTGCGTGACGCGCAGGAGTCAGACTTCCGCTGGGACGTCAATAGGAAACTGGGGAATTACTGTGTATTTGCTGTCTAGATGACTGAATAAGGGAAAAGTTAGGGAACCCTGAGAGGTGCAGCCCTTCCGCTGTGCCCCGCCCTGAGAGCAGTGTTTCGGACGCTGGGAAGCGTGCTGTGCGAAGCGCTCTCGGGGTCTTTCCTCAGCCTCGAAAACTGGGCTCTGGAATGCCTTTGTACATATGTGTGTTTAATGTGTTTTGAAGTGAATAAAATTCTCAAAAAGATGACATATTGTCTTTTGACTCTCATTCCGTGTTTGTGTGTAACTGATTTTCCAAGTGAAGGGGTGGCCTGCCCCTCCACACCTGTGGGTGTTTCTAGTCGGGTGGGATGAGAGACGGAGAAAAGAAATAAGACACAGAGACAAAGTATAGGGAGACAACAGTGGGTCCAGGGGACAGGCACTCAGCACACCTAGGACCTGCACCGGCACCGGCCTCTGAGTTCCCTCAGTTTTTATTGATTATGATTTTCATTATTTCAGCACAAAGGAATGCAGTAGGGGAGCAGGGTGATAATAAGGGGAAGGTCAACAACAACAACAAAAAACAAACACGTGAGCAAAAGAATCCATATCATTATTAAGTTCAAGGGAAGGTACTATGCCTGGACGTGCACGTAGGCCAGATTTATGTTTCTCTCCACACAAATATCTCAGCGGAGTAAACAAAGCAAGGCAGCATTACTGCCAACATGTCTCACCTCCCGCCACAGGGCAGCTTTTCTCCGAGCTCAGAGTTGAACAAATGTACGATCGGGCTTTACACCGAGACATTCAGTTCCCAGGGGCAAGCAGGAGACAGTGGCCTTCCTCCATTTGAACTGCAAGAGGCGTTCCTCTTTGACTAATCCACCTCAGCACAGACCCATTGCGGGTGTCAGGCTGGGGGACATTCAGGACTTTCCCATCCCACGAGGCCATATTTCAGACTGTCACATGGGGAGAAACCTTGGACAATACCCTGCTTTCAAGGGCAGAGGTCCCTGTGGCTTTCCACGGTACATTGCGCCCCTGGTTTATTGAGACTAGAGAATGGCAATGACTTCTACCAAGTATACTGCTCGTAAACATTTGGTTAACAAGGCGCGTCCTGCACAGCCCTAGATCCCTTAAACCTCGATTTTATACAACACAGGTTTTTGTGAGCTCCAAGTTGGGTCAAAGGAAGGG
Organism: Homo sapiens; assembly: GCF_000001405.40. Taxonomy (NCBI): domain Eukaryota; kingdom Metazoa; phylum Chordata; class Mammalia; order Primates; family Hominidae; genus Homo; species Homo sapiens. Next base: position 8,018,481 of record NC_000008.11, on the reverse strand, counting down.
GCTGCGGCAAAGCTACAAATGATCAACATCTCAGTAAAGCAATTGTTTAAAGTACAGGTCTTTTTCAAAATGGAGTCTCTTATGTCTTCCCCTTCTACATAGACACAGTGACAGTCTGATCTCTCTTTCTTTACCCTACATCCAAGGGCTTGAACATTTCTTGATTTGTTGGCAATCCAAATCGTTACGTCTCCGAAACAGAGTTGACTGAGGGGACCGCAGGGCTGGGCAGGACCTTTGACTTCCTATACATCCACAGGAGCAAGAAAACCTCAGCCCCACTCTACCAACACGCACCTAGTAAAATTCCGCCAACCGAATCTCACGCACGCTAACACGTGGGGAGCGTTGCTTGCACCACGAGTCCCCATTTGGCTCAACCGCCGATGCCAAGTGTGTGGTTCCAGTTGCGACGGCCCCCCGTGAAGTGGCTTCCGGATGTGCGAAGGAACCAGGCAGAGTTTCACTGGCCAAATAGACCCCAGCAAAGCTGAAGTTAACTCCCACATTTGGGATGTACTTCAGAGGTAAAACATTCATCCCGTCTTCTTTCCGGATGTCTGACACCATGGTTCTCCCCCTGATCCTAAGAGTAGCTGAGGCAGAGACTCACTAAAAGATCTAGGCGGGGATATCCCATCATGCACAGGCTCTCTCCATTCTCTGACCTGGGACCAACTCTCAGCAGGATTCCACATCTAGGAGGCCTCGGAACTCAGCGGGATTTTCTGAGACACACCAACTGGCTGCTCCCTTTCCGCCGCTGTTGAGGGTCGTTATCTTGATTATCCAGATCAACTAGAAAGTATCCGTATCCAGAATGAATAAGATCAACTCTCTGCTCCTCTGACAGCAGAAGGAGCAGGACCATAAGGAACCAAAGAGCGTGGAAGGAAACGATGTGACAGGAAAGCTCAGAGAACGGCCACAGGGGGTCTTCAGCAGGCCTTCCAACCTGAATCATGAATAATTAATGAAGCGCAAATCAAAGGGGACTCGAGTTTCCGCAGGAGCAATTCATCCAACGGGAGATCGCCGGAGGGCCAACAAGATTGAGTGACTGGGAGCCGGGTGCAGTGTCAAAGGGGACGCGACTGGTTCCAAAGCTCGAGAAGACCATGGGGTCACTTGGGCTACATGAGAAAACGCCCCAGTGTGCTGGTTCATCATTCCGACTCCTGCCTGTCTCTTCCCGTCCAAGGAACATGGACCCTAAGTCGTGCAGGTGCGGATGACCATGGGCAGAATTAGGGGCCGTGGCACAAAAGTTCACCGACACGGGAGTTCCACAGAAGGTGCGGTGGATCTTCGCAAATCCAGAGACATGGCAATGGGACCCAGGGAATTACAGCCTCACAGGCGTCCGGGAGACTTTTCAGGCATAATGCCTGGAGTCGCAAGACGAGCTGAAAAAGGAGCCAGGCACTGAAGGACAAAGCGTTGTTGACTTTCCTCATCTGTGTTTCCCAGTGCGGTCCAATTCACGGTGGTTTCCAAGCGCCTCCTGGGGGAGAAAACACATGAGGGTGCGGTCAGGGTTCTCTGCTGACAGACTTACCTTGGGGAAGAAAGAGAAGCTCTGAAGATGGATCATGGCCGTGACTGCATGTCAAGGAGAGTCTCCTTGATGACACTGAGGCCTACGTCGAGAGAGACAAAATGTGGTCCAATTAAAAGGTGTCTATTTTACCACATTTTTTAAAACGAAACAAAACAAAACAACAAAAAAGATGGAAAAGAAGACAGGGGTACAGGCACCAGTGTTACATGTCTGACGGGGAACATCTATTGTTCAAAGCTTGCAGCTGTACAAGTAGGTTTTAGAATGTCTGTCAGCAGTGGACAGGATCTTAGAGTGGGCTGTGCAGATAGACCTTTCCAGGTCATGTAATTGGATTAAGTTAATTGCAATTAAGGTACAGGTAACTGATTAGGTTAGGGTACGTTCCATGTCAGGTGACCAGAGGCAGTATAAAAGGCAGCCTGGAAAGCAGAGGTCCCTCTCCGCCCCTTCCTCCGTCGTTCTGGATGCTGCATCGCTTCCAGCGGGGCTGCTGCAGCACCTGCCCATCTCAGCGCCAGCCTGGGAAAGAAAGTAGACGTGTAACTTCAGGTTAGTTTCGCTGAACAATTGTTTCTTTCACGCAATCCCTGGGGGGGTTTTGCGGGGGGTGGGGGGGGAGGAAGAGACAAAGGAGGCCGAAAGAAACCGATCACACTGGGGCTTGCTGGTGGGGTAGGATGTGTTCTCGTTACTAGTAATTCTTGGAACAGAAAACGAGAAAACATATCCGTCTCCACGTGTGGGAGAAGACCAAGATGGGAATGCGAAAAGAAATGTACTGCAGCATGCTGAATTGGTGGGTAAACGGCAAAAGGACTTTGGAAAAAAGGGTGGTTGGCCCTTGAGCCGTGTAAGACGTCGATACGATATGGCACTTCTTCCCCGTTTGTTCAGATGAATTCGTGTGGTATGCGTAAAATACCAGGAAAATAAATAAAGAGGGGCTGGAGCTAAAGCCAAAAGATAGAACAGGAAAGACCATCACCTGCTAGTGCGGTAGAGAGGAAGGTAACTTCTCTGTATGAATTTGTGTTTGGAAGTTGCCTAATGAAATGGCAAGAGTAGCGATTCAAGTTGTCACAGGAAGCATCCCTTATCCCTGACTTCAAGCAGACCTGCCAAAGGGTGGCACACGCCATTCCCTGTGTCTTCGATCATTCTGTCCGTCAAGGGAGATAGAATCACCGTGTCTTCTACCGGAGTGAATCGTGAGAGACCTAAGTCCAGTCTCCAGAATCAGTTGTTTGTTTGGGGTTGAAAGCTCAACCCCCCTACCTAGGCCACGGGCCCTGTGGCAGGTGGGGTTTACTCTTGGACTAGGTAGTCATGGCAGAGGAACACACAATATCCGAGGATGCGCGCAGCACATTGTGTTCTACAGATTTGACCGACTGGTGGTGAGGTCTCCTCATGACCACACAGGCAGGGAGTTAGCAGGTGGCTTCCTGTGGGTGTGTGAATATCCAACGTGCTTAACCATCGACATGTGTGTGTTTGTGTGTGTTTCAGGTGGCCCAACAGTCCACCCCTGAAAAAGGCGGTCATAAAACCCCCAGGAGACGAAGATGATGGCACGTCGGGACCCCACATCTTGGGCCAAGAGACTGGTGAGAGCCCAGACCCTCCAGAAGCAGCGGAGGGCCCCAGTTGGGCCAAGGGCTCCCCCGCCCGATGAAGAAGATCCCAGGGTAAGTCTAGCCCTGGATCTCTTGGGTATCGGGGTGGGGGTGGGGACGGGGGGAGGTGGTGTCCCACGGTCCTCAGAGACTGGGTTGGATTCCAAAGAGTTCTGTCACCACCAGCCAGGTTGCTTTTCCCATCCAAGGTGGGCGTGGCTTGGGACCTTCTCCCCGGCCCGATAGGTCCCTTGAGAGACTCTTGGGGGCAACCTCCCTTTCTACTTAGAGTCCTGTGTAGCCACGTTTGGCTGCGTTGTTGACATCGGCTTCACCATCGTGCCCCTTGGAACCTTGAGTCCTTCCTTTCAGAGTTCCTCCGTCACACGGGCTTTGCGAGGGAACATCGTATCCGAAGTCTCCCAGCACTTAACGGCCCCCATGCCGGTGTCCCCTCTTTGGAATCCTTATTCAGCTCTGAATTCACAATCCGTCCCAATGTTGACGTGGGATCGCTGCCTGTGGCTTCAGCTCACTCACTGACATCACTTCCTTTCCACCCACAGCTCAAGTGCAAAAACTGCGGGGCCTTTGGCCACACGGCCAGAAGTACCAGGTGCCCCATGAAGTGCTGGAAGGCAGCCCTGGTTCCAGCGACCTTGGGGAAAAAGGAAGGGAAGGAAAACCTGAAACCATGGAAGCCCCGGGTTGAAGCCAACCCGGGGCCCTTGAACAAGGATAAGGGAGAGAAGGAAGAGAGACCAAGGTGAGCAGTGGGAGGGGTTTTCACCACTCTTGGGGTACTGCCTCCTAAGGACATGGTGTCTCTGCACCTGCACACCGTGTGCCTTTCCGTCTCCGGGCCAGGGAAGGAACGCTGCAGAGAAATAGGCCGGAGCTCCGTGTCCTCTGGGGTTCCACACCCAGGAGCTCCTTGGGCTCTGGGAGATTCAGGGACGGGGAGAGGCGGGGGCGCTTCGTGCAGGTTCCCCGCGACAGCGGGAAAAGCGATGGAATCCAAATCACAGTCCTTAGTTGGGAAGCCTAGAGGGCCACCTGGAGGATGGGAAGGTTGGCACGTGAGGGAAGGTGCAGAGGCGGAAAGGGCACCAGATGTCCATTTCTGTATCACAAGACACGGAATGGGGCTGGGCCCCAGACGGGGTTCTCCCTGTCTCCTGGGGAAAACCAGGGGGCACGGCCTGACCTTTTTCTGTTCTGCAGGCAACAAGACCCGCAGAGGAAGGCTCTCCTCCACATGTTTTCCGGGAAACCTCCAGAGAAGCCGCTGCCGAATGGAAAAGGATCCACGGAACCTTCTGATTATCTGAGGGCGAGTGTCACCCCGGGCCCCTGGTCTTTTTCTCCTCTAGGTCACCCTGGTTGATTTCCTTTCAGCTTCCCGTCTGCGGGAGGAAATCGGGGAACCCCTCTTTCTTGCCTTCTTGGGGTCAGGGACTCCACGATCCTTCCAGGTCAATTGGATTCCAGGCGAAGGCATCTGAACATGCCGTATTTCCTGTTGCTTTCTTTCTGTCCAATTATGGCAAGCCTGCCAACAACACGTTCCTAGCGGCATGAGGAAATTAGTCCCTCAGAGGCCCCAAACGTGGAGAAGGCGAAACCCAGGAACATGCATGTGTTCAGAGAAGACGTCCCGAGTACCCTTGAGCCAGCAACCTGCCTTGGGAAGGGCATTAGTCCGTTCCACTTCATGGAAGGCTGAGTGGAGGCGCTTTGATCCAGTTAATGCCCAAGACGCGATCTTTTGAACAATGGTGTGCTTAGATCAGCTACACATAGCTCGAGAGCGCATCTTTCATGTGTCTTGTCCTGATCAGCACTCAGGTGGAGGGTCTGTCCCTACTTCCAAGGACCGCCTGTCGATACTGTACTAAGAATTTCATGGCGTGTGCACCTTGTCTTTGGATGTGCTTGATTTTCACGTTGGCTCCATGCTGAGGAACTTCTAACCTGTGTTGTTTCCTCTCTTTCAGGTTGCAAGCGGGCCAATGCCGGTCCACACAACCAGTAAGAGGCCGCGCGTGGACCCTGTCCTCGCTGATGGCTCAGCTACCGAAATGTCTGGCAGGGGCTCCGTCTTGGCTTCACTGTCTCCCCTCAGAAAAGCCAGCCTGAGCTCCTCCTCAAGTCTTGGACCAAAGGAAAGACAGACAGGGGCTGCGGCCGACATCCCTCAGCCTGCAGTCAGGCACCAGGGCCGCGAGCCTCTCCTCGTGGTGAAGCCGACACACAGCAGCCCTGAGGGTGGCTGCCGAGAAGTTCCCCAGGCTGCCTCCAAAACCCACGGCCTGCTCCAGGCCGCCAGACCCCAGGCACAAGACAAACGTCCTGCGGTGACCTCACAGCCCTGCCCGCCAGCCGCCACACACAGCTTGGGCCTAGGCTCCAATCTCAGCTTCGGGCCAGGAGCCAAGAGACCTGCCCAGGCTCCGATTCAGGCTTGCCTGAACTTCCCCAAGAAACCGAGACTGGGTCCCTTCCAGATCCCCGAAAGCGCCATCCAGGGAGGTGAGCTGGGGGCCCTGGAGAATCTCCAACCTCCGCCAGCCGCAACCGAACTTGGACCAAGTACGTCGCCCCAGATGGGCAGGAGGACTTCGGCCCAGGTGCCCAGCGTCGAACGGCAGCCTCCGCACAGCAGACCTTGCCTGCCTACTGCCCAGGCCTGCACCATGTCCCATCACTCAGCGGCCAGCCATGATGGGGCCCAGCCTCTCAGAGTGCTCTTCCGGAGACTGGAAAACGGACGCTGGAGCTCCAGCCTCCTGGCGGCCCCCTCATTTCACTCTCCTGAGAAGCCGGGAGCCTTCCTCGCTCAGAGCCCTCATGTGTCAGAGAAGTCTGAGGCTCCCTGTGTTCGTGTCCCACCGAGCGTCCTCTATGAGGACCTTCAGGTTTCCTCCTCCTCAGAGGACAGCGATTCTGACCTGGAGTGAGACTGCAGGTGGCAGGGGCTCCTTGGCCTCCAGCTCCCGTGACTTGGAGGGGACTGTGGGACTGAGGAGCGCAGAGCAGAGAGCAGACTCTGCGCTGACTTCGATGCTCCCCGGCTGTGGCGCTTCTGTGGATGTGGGAGCCCAGGCCAGGCAGAGAACAGATGCAGGGACTCTGCCTCATTGAATTCTGGTGAGGGACGTTGTATTTCGCATGGGTCTCCGGAAACGCGCCAGGAAAAGCTTCCGCGTCAGTGATTCTTTGCGTCAGAAACTGCGTGATGCGCTGGAGTCAGACTTCCGCTGGGACGTCAATAGGAAACTGGGGAATTACTGTGTATTTGCTCTTTAGATGACTGAATAAGGGAAAAGTTAGGGAACCCTGAGAGGTGCAGCCCTTCCTCTGTGCTCCGCCTTGAGAGCAGTGTTTCGGACGCTGGGAAGCGTGCTGTGCAAAGTGCTCTCGGGGTCTTTCCTCAGCCTCGAAAACTGGGCTCTGGAATGCCTTTGTAAATATGTGTGTTGAATTTGTTTTGAAGTGAATAAAATTCTCAAAAAGATGACATATTGTCTTTTGACTCTCATTCCGTGTTTGTGTTTAACTGATTTTCCAAGTGTAGGGGTCGCCTGCCCCTCCACACCTGTGGGTGTTTCTAGTCGGGTGGGATGAGAGACGGAGAAAAGAAATAAGACACAGAGGCAAAGTATAGGGAGACAAAAGTGGGTCCAGGGGACCGGCACTCAGCACACCAAGGACCTGCACCGGCACCGACCTCTGAGTTCCCTCATTTTTAATTGATTATGATTTTCATTATTTCAGCAAAAAGGAATGTAGTAGGAGAGCAGGGTGATAATAAAGAGAAGGTCAACCAAAAAAACATATGAGCAAAGCAATCTATATCATAATTAAGTTCAAGGGAAGGTACTATGCCTGGACGTGCACGTAGGCCAGATTTATGTTTCTCTCCACCCAAACATCTCAGCGGAGTAAAGAATAACAGGGCAGCATTACTGCCAACATGTCTCGCCTCGCGCCACAGGGCAGCTTTTCTCCTAGCTCAGAGTTGAACAAATGTACGATCGGATTTTACACCGAGACATTCAGCTCCCAGGGGCGAGCAGGAGACAGTGGCCTTCCTCCATCTCAACTACAAGAGGCTTTCCCCTTTGACTAATCCACCTCAGCACAGACGCTTTACCGGTGTCAGGCTAGGGGACAGTCAGGTCTTTTTTATCCCACAAGGCCATATTTCAGAGTATCGCATCGGGAGAAACCTTGGACAATGCCCTACTTTCAAGGGCAGACGTCCCTGCAGCTTTCCACGGTGCATTGTGCCCCTGGTTTATTGAGACTAGAGAATGGCCACGACTTTTACCAAGTATACGGCTTGTAAACATTTGGTTAACAAGGCACGTCCTGCACAGCCCTAGATCCCTTAAGCCTTGATTTTATACAACACAGGTTTTTGTGAGCTCCAAGTTGGGTCAAAGCGGCTGGGGCAAAGTGCCTGGGGCAAAGCTACAAATGAACAACATCTCAGCAAAGCAATTGTTTAAAGTACAGGTCTTTTCCAAAATGGAGTCTCTTATGTCTTCCCTTTCGACATAGACACAGTGACAGTCTGATCTCTCTTTCTTTTCCCTACATCCAAGGGCTTGAACATTTCTTGACTTGTTAGCAATCCAAATCGTTATGTCTCCGAAACAGAGTTGACTGAGGGGACCGCACGGCTGGGCAGGACCTTTGACTTCGTATACATCCACAGGAGAAAGAGAACCTCAGCCCCACTCTACCAACACGCACCTAGTAAAATTCCGCCAACTGAATCTCACGCACGCTAACACGTGGGGAGCGTTGCTTGCACCGCGAGTCCCCATTTGGCTCAACCGCCGATGCCAAGTGTGTGGTTCCGGTTGCGACGGCCCCCCGTGAAGTGGCTTCCGGATGTGCGAATGAACCAGGCAGAGTTTCACTGACCAAATAGTCCCCAGCAAAGCTGTAGTTAACTCCCAGATTTGGGATGTACTTCAGAGGTAAAACATTCATCCCATCTTCTTTCCGGATGTCTGACACCGGGCCTTTCCATGGTTCTCCCACTGATCCTAAGAGTAGCTGAGGTAGAGACTCACTGAAAGATCTAGGCAGGGATATCTCATCATGCACAGACTCTCTCTATTCTCTGACCTGGGAACAACTCTGAGCAGGATTCCACATCTAGGAGGCCTCGGAACTGAGCGGTATTTTCTGAGACACACTGAATGGCTGCTCCCTTTCCGCCGCTGTTGAGGGTCGTTATCTTGATTATCCAGATCACCTAGAAAGTATCCGTATCCAGAATCAATAAGATCTACTCTCTGCTCCTCTGACAGCAGAAGCAGCAGGACCACAATGAACCAAAGAGCGTGGAAGGAAACGATGTGACAGGAAAGCTCAGAGAACGGCCACAGGGAGTCGTAAGCAGGCCTTCCAAACTGAATCATGAATAATTAATGAAGCGCAAATCAAAGGGGACTCGAGTTTCAGCAGGTGCAATTCATCCAAAGGGAGATCGCCGGAGGGCCAACAAGATTGAGAAAGTGGGAGTCGGGTGCAGTGTCAAGGGGGACGCGACTGGTTCCAAAGCTCGAGAAGACCATGGGGTCACTTGGGCTACATGAGAAAATGCCCCAGTGTGCTGGTTCATCATTCCGACTCCTGCCTGTCTCTTCCCGTCCAAGGAACATGGACCCTAACTCGTGCAGTTCCAGATGACTATGGGCAGAATTAGGGGCCGTGGCCCAAAAGTTCACCGACATGGGGGTTCCACAGAAGGTGAGGTGGATCTTCGCAAATCCAGAGAAATGACAATAGGACCCAGGGAATTAGAGCCTCACAGGCGTCCGGGAGACTTTTCAGGTATAATGTCTGGTGTCGCAAGACGAGCTGAAAAGGGAGCCAGGCACTGAAAGACAAAGCGGTGCTGACTTTCTTCATCTGTGTTTCCCAAAGCAGTCCAATTCACTTTGGTAGAATTCATGTATTTATTTTCCGTTGGCTTGTAGTTGCAAACTTTTGATGTTATTGATTTTTGGTTGGAGAGTTTCGGTTTGAAAAAGTAGATATTCTGAATATGGAGGTTGTCCAAGATTGTATCTCAAGGTGAGTCTACTTGATTCCAGCGAACCATACTTTGACATATAATACATATGTTTTAATTATATTTTGTCTGTTTTAAAACAGCTTAAAAAATCACTTCGTGGAAAATGTCAGTTAGATACACCAATGTTAACTTTCTCATCACATGTCCAGAGGCACTGTAAAATTCATTCTAAAATGCAAAATTCCCAGCCACTTCTACGTGGAACTTTCTGCAGAGTGGGATTGTATCCAGTTTTCAGGGGGCGCAGGTGTGGTACGAGCTGGTCCTTGGTTTCCTGCTGAAGTTGGAATCCTGCAGATTGCTTAGGGGCGGTTTCCACCTGTCCCTTCTTTCCAGGTCATCACTAACCTTTCCTGATCCCCCATGGGGACTCAGAACTTATCTAGAGTCACAGGCCCACCTGGGATGCTGCCCTTGAGCCTCTGTGCTGTCCATGATGGTTCCATGCCACTGATCTGCTGGGACACATTCTGCAGAGGGATGGGCTGGCATGAGCTGTCCCTGCCTTTCTGAAAATCACAGAGATTTCTGGTGTCTGAAGCCACATAGAAATATCTGTGGAGTCTCGGGAAGGCCAGGGATGCCATTCACAGGCTGCTGTTCTTCCTCTTAATGGCAGCAAGAGTGATTTCTGAGTTTCCTAATTGACTTCGAAATAATTTTGTTGATTTTGTTGTGACAAAGACCACTCCTCTTTCTGTGGCATCCAGTTCACCTGTAGGGTTTTTTGGGATTATGTGGAAACTCTTGCATTTTTCCAGAGCCTCAATTCATCCTGGATGTTCTCAGGAATGCACTAGCTGATCCCTGCCTTGGTGGCATCTTGAAACATTGAGGGAGGCCCCTTAGGTCCATGAGGCACAAGGAGGTCCATCAGGAATTGAGGGGGCATGTGTCTGCCCATCTGTAGCTGGAACTTCCATTTGCCTTCAGAATGCAGGTTCTTCCTGAACTAATAAATTATCTTCATCTTGGTGTAAGTAGCCACAATATAATAATTCATAGTAACTCTATTAATAAAAATAACTGAATATCAACAATGAAGGTAATAATGACAATGTTAATTATTATAATATTAATAGTAAAAATAAAACAAAGGCAATATAGATTACGGATTCCCCTAAGTGAAGGACAATGTCCAGATATAGGGACACATGTGTCGTTTGCACTCAGAGTCAAATGAAACGTGTTCCTCAAAGGCAAAGGACAAGCAGCATAAGGAAAACACAACGTTCATGGATGATCACATGGGCTACCTTGGAACTCATGTGGAAAGACTGCAGGCAAAGTGTATCTGGTACTGGGACTGCTCACCAGCCAGCCCCCACCCACCTTCATGAGGTAGGACAGCAGGATAATGGGGAAGGGGTCCATGCAAGGGATGCAAGGCTCGTGTCACACCTGATTCAAAGAAGCACTGCTTCTGACAGATGTTTATCTCCTAACACTGTGTCACCTCTAATTGCCTGGCTGCATGTCTGCCATCTGTTCTTCTTAGGTCACAGGAGGGACAGACATTACTGTCCACCTATCTGCATACAGAGCCATTGGAGGCTATTACCCTTGTTGCTTCCTCTTTGGAAAGGGGCAACATACATGGCAGATGCCATTCTCTGTCTCTTTGGAAAACTTTGTCAGCACATTTAAGGTTTTCTTCAGCCACAGAAAGCCACCTGCTTCAAAGTCTCATCCTCCACAAGTGGCAAGCACAGAATCATTAATGGAGGCAAGGGGTACATAGGCTTTGCCATTTGATTCAGTTGGGACAATAGGGGAGGACTTCTTAGCTCTACAGCTCTGTCCGTGTGGCCAGCTGACAATGTCAGGCTGCACTGCGATTAGACTTGTCCCTTTGCACATAAGGCTTCCCTCCAATCCTTTCCACAGATGTGGATCCTCACATCACTTCCTAATATACATCCTGCACACTAAACTTCATCTATATCCAGTTCCCTGGGAACCAAACCTGTGACAAAAGTGAAAAGTTTCTAGGGAAAATAGGGTTTCCTCATCAGACAGGAATCAAATGCTGCTGAGCTAGAAAATAAAGTAAAGTCTGATGCCATCTCCTGATTTTTTTAATTAGGACATTAGCACTGCCAGCAAGAATTATGTGCATCAATTTGTGGGGACAAACATCATGTTGGAGTGGGATGAGGTTGCTGTGAGTTGAGGAGAAATGCTGGTGAATGGACTTTACCCTCAACTTGGATTCAGGAGAGGACATAAAAACAGCTGGAAATAAAAGGTGTCCGAAAACATTTTTCTGGTTTTTCAAAACTTCCAATTTCAGGTTGGGAGACACTATGTTTAAATTCTAAAGGGATGTAGCATGCTGAGAAGAAATAACTATAAACAAGGTGTCCATTTTATGAATAATACAATTTATGGTATGACAGAAGACCAAGGGACATAACACAAATTTGGAGTTAAAGAAATTAACAGACATTCTCAATAATTCCTCAGCTATTATGGCAGAGATGCTGGGACAATGGATGTCCATGTAGCAGTACTTTTTTTTTTTTTTTTTTTTTTTTTGGGAGACGGAGTCTCACTCTGTAACCAGGCTGCCCTGCAATGGCGCAATCTTGGCTCACCGCAACCTCTGCCTCCCGGGTTCAAGCAATCCTCCTGCCTCAGCCTCCCGAGTAGCTGGGACTACAGGCACACACTACCACACTCAGCTAATTTTTGTATTTTTAGTACAGATGGGTTTTCACCATGTTGGCTAGGATGGTCTCAGTTTCCTGATCTCGTGATCTGCCTGCTTTGGCCTCCCAAAGGGTTGGGATTACAGGTGTGAGCCACCATGGTTGGCCCTTGTAGCAGTACTTTTGAACTTAATGGCTGAAAGTATCCACCTCCAAACTTACATATTATATCTGCAAAAGAGTACAAACCATGTGATGAATTTCAAAGGGAAGACAAGCCTGTGGGAATTCAACAGCCATGGCAATGCTTTGAACTTCTTTTTCTTAAACATGTAAGAAGTAAGTGAAGTTCAAGACCTAACAGAATTGCCAGGAATTATTTGAGGAATTACCAAGATGACCATAGACACTATGAAATCCTTACGATGCCCTCTGCTGGAGTTTCCTCCTACAGCCAGCGATTTTAAGCCAGAAGAAAATGTCTCTGCAGGCATAAGAGTTCAACCCAAATGTACTATTCAATTTTAAATGTGATGACAATAAAATTATGTGCTATATAGCAACAACTTTTTTTTTCTTTCAGACAGAGTCTTTCTCTGTTGCCTAGGCTGGAATGCAGTGGGGCACTCTTGGCTCACTGCAATCTCTGCCTCCTGTGTTCAAGTGATTTTCCCACCTTTTTCACAATGTATCCTTATCCTCAAACTCATCCTCCTAAGTAGCTGGGATTATAGGCATGTGCCACCATGTCTGGCTGATTTTTGTATCAGCAAAATTATTTCTGGGGTGGAGAGTTAGGAATCTTTTTTCTCCCACACCCAAAAACATGTTGTCCAAATGATCTGTCAATAGAAATAATTGATACCTATATTTGCTAACCTACCTTTTTCTTTCTTTAAATTCAGAACTAGAGTATAGAAAAGGATATTAAGAAGGTTCTCTTAATTTTCAACACAAGTTATGGGCTAGGCACTGTGCTAGGTGCTACAGATACGCACTAATATACCCACAATAGTTTTGCCTTATTGCCTTCTATGTTCTAATAATACACTAAAAGAAAAGTATAGATTAGCTTTTTATTTTTTTGAGATGGAGGTTAATTCTCTCACCCAGGATGGAATGCAGAGGTGGGATCTTGGCTCACTGCACTTTCTGCCTCCTGGGTTCAAGTGATTCTCCTGCCTCAGCCTCCTGAGTAGCTGGGATTACAGGCACGTGCCACGATACCCAGAAAATTTTTGTATTTTTCAGAAAGACAGCTTTCATCATGTTGGCCAGGCAGGTCTCAAACCCCTGGCCTCAAGTGATCCACCCATCTTGGCCTTCCAAACTGCTGGGATTACAGGCATGAGCCATAGTGCCCAGCCACAGAGAATAGCTTTAAATAGAATGTATGAAACCAAAAGAAACGTATGCTCATCAATTTTATACTGTATTTGGCCAGGTGCAGAAGATCGACTTGTAGTAATGTAAGGGAATAAGGTCAATTCACATCTAATTGTTTGGACAAGTCACCAGAAATCAAAAGTTGGAGGAGTTGTATCTTTTGAGGTGGGTTGCACAGGCAAGCAGCAAGTTGCTATCTCTCCAAAGTCCTAAACGGTTCTATTTGTCCTACTGTGGAAAAATGAGTCTTCAACTTGATTTCAATTTATATAGGAAAATGCTTAATAAAACTAATAAGGGCTACATTCCAGGACATAGGCAGACCACACATATACTGAAACTTGATTCTAGAGACACCTCCTCTTCAATGTAATTGGATTTTCAAGACAACAAAAATATAACTCTGACACAATATTGGAGAGCCAAAAGGAAAGGACAATTTGGGTTGAAATTTTTTCTTTTAAAAATGTGTCCTTGAGTTCTATTAACAATAGCTAAAGCCTAGGAACAGCTCAAATGTCTATTGAGAGGAAATTGATAAATTATATGCATATTATAGAGTAATATTTAGCAATAAAGGGGAAAAATCAACTCTATGAATCAACATCATGATCATGGATCAATATAATCTTTCTAACCCCGATTGGGGAAAGCTAAGCTAAAAAGTGTCCTATAATATAAATAAATGTATACAAAATTCTAGAACAGACAAACCTAATATAAGCTAAAAAAGTTCAGGAAAGTCAGGTGCAGTGGCTCATGCCTGTTATGTCAGCACTTTGTGAGGTGGGTGGATCGCATGAACCCAGGAGTTCAAGACCAGCCTGGCCAACATGTTGAAGCTACCCCATCTTTACCAAAAATACAAAAGTTAGCCCAGTATGGTGTGGTACACAGGAACAGAAAACCAAATACTACATATTCTCATGTATAAGTGAGAGCTAAACATTGGGTTATACACTGTTTAGCTCTCACTTATATGGAAACAACAGACACTGGAGATTCTTAGAGAGAGGAGGGAGGGTTGGGTGCAAGGCCTGAAAAACTACCTATTGGGTATTATGTTCACTAAGTGTGTGATGAGATCATTCATACTGTAAACCTCAGCAGCACACAATACATCCATGTAACAAACCTGCACATGTATCCTCTGTGTCTAAAATAAAAATTAAAAAAGTAAAAAATGAACAAAGATATATGAGCAGGCATTTCTCGAAAAAGGAGATACAAATGGACAACATATATATAAACAATTCTTACCCTCTCTAGTCATCACGGGAATGCAAATGAAAACTACCAAGAAATATCACCTCACACCTGTTAGAATAGCTATTATCAAAAAGATGGATGATAACAAGTGTCGGTAAGGATGTGGAGAAAAGGGAACCTTTGTATACTGGTGGTGGGAATGTAAATTAGTATGGCCACCTTGGAAAACAGTATGGACGTTTCTCAAAAAATTAACAATAAAAATACCATTTTGTTCCAGCAATCCCACTTATTTTATATATAATATATATATCTATATATATACATATATAGATATATATATATATATATATGAAGTCACGAAATCAGTATGTGAAAGAGTTATCTGCGCTCCTATGCTCCTTTCAGCACTGCTCACAATAGTCAAGATCTATGAAGAAGACATACATGTTATCATTCATTCATGGACGGCTGAATTATTGTTTTATATATATATATATATATGCACAATGGAATATTATTCAGTATTATATAATAATGAAACCCTGTCATTTGTGACAACATTGATGGATCTGAAAGGCATGAAGTCATGTGAAATAAACCAAACACAGAATGACAAATACTGTATGATTCCCCTTGTATTTGAAATCTCAAAAAAACAAACTCAGAAGCAGAGGGTAGACTGACCAAGAACTGTGGTGCAGGTAAGTGTGTAGGTGTGATTACAGTACAAAGTTTTAGATATATCACATAAATAAGTTCAGGAGGTCTAATTTATAGCATAGTGCTTATAGCTATGAATACTGCATTGCATACTTAAAATATAATAGGAGGGTGAATTTTATGTTAATTATTCTTACCAATAAAAATAATAATTAGAATGGGAGGGAGAACTTTGGGAGGTGATGAATATGTTTATAATCTTGATGGTAGTGATGCTTTCACAATGTATCCTTATTCTCAAACTCACTGAGATATACACATTAAATAGGTACAGCTTTTTGAATGTAATCATGTCTCAACAAAGTGTTTTTAAGGGGGGTTGGTTAAAAAATTTAAAAAGGAAGGGTAGATGTTCCTTTGCCCTTCTCTCATGGATTTTTCTCCCTGCTGTCTAGAGTTCAGGAATAATAGGTGGGAATTTAGCAGCCAAACTAGGACCTTTTCTAAAGTATAGCAGAGCAGAGAGCCGGAAGGGACCTGCATCCCTAATGATATTAGAAAGTATCTGTACTAGCCCTGAATGGTATAACTACAGGTTAATTTTAAGTGAAAAAGAAATCAACTTCTGCTTTGCTTAAGCAAACTTATTCAGGCATTAATTTTATAAACATGTAGAGAATGTATACTCCTTATGAGCAGAAACAATGTTTGTGCCATATGGTACATGATGGGTGTTCAATAATGTGTGATGATGATAATAATGAACACAATAGTGATACATAAAAGAAAATAAAAAGCAGTGAAACAAAGTGGTTTAATAAAGATACATAGTTATTTTGTTGAAAGATTCTGCTGCTAATATTATTCAATACTTTTGTATGCTGGTGCAAGTAAGGAAATTTACATTGTCTAATAAAAATTATTTATCAATTTATAAAACAGTAAATATTTCATAGAATGGGGCTATGAATCTGCATTGCAAACTAACACTTTCAGTTGATTTTATGCACAGTAATTATTGAGAATCCCCTTATCTAGATCCAACGGATCTGGACCTACATAGGTGCTACCAAAACTTAAGGAAGAAAATTTTCCTGACTCTATCCATACCTCCAGTTAGTAATACATCTAGAGATTTAGAACTGAAATCCAGACATCCTGCTTCCATGTGCAGTGACCTTTCACTGTCCTGTTTTGCTTCACTTGATGAAGAGGATTTGAGAATAAATGACCACATGATTCAACTCCTCCTCAGCTCTGAGGAATATAGCCCTGTCCTGGCAAACAAGAAGCTCCTGCAGTAGTAGAGGGGGCAAATATATGTTCACTAATCTAACATACAAGGCAGTAGGCACTGTACCATAAACAAGGCACTGTGGGGATTCAGACCAGGGGCAAAGTGGGGATTAATAGGGCAAGTAAAGTCTGGGAAGTGTTCACTAACAAAATGTCTAATCATTAAACTAAACGGTTTCTCAACATGGCCTAATTAATTGTAACAATATAAATGGTTGTTTGTTCATAAACCTTAATCTTTTGCCAAAATATTTGTAGCTTATGTTCCCATTTAACAAGGTTTTCTGGTCAAAACTGTGCACCCACATCATTCTAATGAACTTAGTGTCCAATAAAACATGGACTCTCAGTCGTCTCATGAAGGTCATTTTGTGTGCATAGTACATCTCTGTGAATATGCCTAATGAGGTATGGAAGGACACTTATTATCCAAACAAAGACATTCCACTGGTGCTAGAGAGCCACAGACGGAAGTTTTCTCTGCCTACTGGAAATAAAGCCAAGCTTTCTTCTTTCCTCAGCCATGAGGATTGCTGTCTTCCTCTTTATCATTCTGTCTTTTTTTTTTTTTTATGAGCCAAGCTCCACCAAATAACAGGATAAACTTTGTGTAAGGCTTGGTAAGAGTAGAGTGTCTGACACATTATGGTGCTATAATACTCAAAGCAAAAGCAAAATCGCCTATGACCAGAAAAGGGAGTCACATAGGAAATCTAGAAGACCTATTGGCTAAGAGACCTGCAGCCTCATAGTTCATTAGCTCTCCATAGCAACTCTCACATGAAATGAAGTCAGTGGTGTTTCAAGTGCTTGAAACCCTCTTTACTCTACTTCTAAATGTGAATTAATTAGGCAAGTTTACTAGCAGTTACTAGACCTCAAAAGCAAAATAATCAGGCATTATTCTACTAAATATTGGTCTCCATAACTCCTCTATTTTCTTTTGGAAAAGTTAGTTAGTCTAAGACATTTGGCATAAAGGCTATGCCAAAGCTTTGGTGGGGTCAGCCAGGAAGGATTCGTGGGGCCTCCTTGAAAATATTGCAATTATCTAAGAAATTTTCAACCTATTGCCCCTCAGTACTGTTGGTCCCCTGTACTTGAATTTTCCCCTTAAGTTTGATTCCATTTCCTAACATTATCCTTCCCTCTTCCTCCTCAGCAACTAGTCTTCTAAATTAGAACTTAAACACAATGACCAGATATGACCCTGCAACAGAGCATGCCCTTCTGCATTGAGCATGCAATCATGAATCACAGGTATAAGATCCCTTGAACAGACTTGGTTTTGGTGATTCTGTGTAGGACTTATTGCTTTTACCCAAGAAGATGATCAGGCATCCTAAGTAGATCAGAAAATTTTCTGGAGCTCTTGAACTTGTATAGGCAAGAAAGATTAAGCAACATGTTGCCTTATATGAGGCAAACTATCTTCTCATATTTTCTTTTGAATTCAGGATTTCAAGGTTGGGGAAGGAGTGGGAAAGTAGCCATGGACGTGTAAGAATGCGGATCGTCCTTTTACATTGTCAGGGATGGTCAAATTCTATGCTTTATGTTGTTTGCTAAAAGACACTTTCCAAAGTTTTCAACAGAAAATATGATGGCACACATGCCTATTCTTGGTGAACCCAGACTTTTCTATCTAGTCTGTGATAGTAAATTTAAAAGGACTGCTTAGGGTAAATGAATCCTTCAAGTTATAAAGATGAAGGGCAGTTTTTGGACAATTCCCATTTTGCTGTAGGAAAACTAATCTGGAAGAAGTAAAAGGGAAAGATTGAAATGGAGATAATGGAGATGGAGAATGAGTTCAGTTGATCAAATTTTTGTTAAGCGCCCACTGTATGTGGGGCCCTTACAAGGAAACAAGCAGACAAAGAAAAAAAGCATGTGATGGCCTTGCTCCTAAGAAGCCAGAGGCCAGTCACCTGGATTGCTACATACCAGGAAGACGTCAACAAGCCCCTACAATACAGCACTTGCATAGGATGAAGAAGAGGTTTCTTTGTATGAGATAAATAGCACACAACCAAAAAAAAAAAGCCAAAAGATACACAAGGTTCGAAAACCTAAGTCACCAACCCTTAAGAGATCTGATTGTTGGTGGTGACTTTGGAAGGAAAATTATTATTAGGATTATTTTAGTACTAAGAGTTTTGAGCTGTCTATCCAAGATTGTCATCTGCACCTCTGCCTTAGGTAATACTGTGTGTGTGTGTGTGTGTGTGTGTGTGCATGTGCGTCCCTTTGCATGTGTTTGAAATATATTCTGTATCCCACACTCCACATAGGTTTGGGGCTGATCTGAAACTATACTCTTAGGGATGGGGTTAAGCTACTCTGTCACATTGTGAAGAGTTGATATGTAAGAGATTCTTAACCTTTTATAAATTACCTTTAAAATGTTTCCTTTTCTGTGAAGGGAAGAATAACAATTTGTAAACAAATGCAAAAATATCTTTAACTAAACAAAAGAACAGTTTGTTAGCCTTGTTATGATTAGCAGAGAGGATAGCTGCAGACACTGTAAAATCACTCAGCAACAAGATTTGACAAAACCTTAAATATGGGTCTATTTTTCCTGTTTTATAGAGGAAAATATTAAGGCTCTGGGAACTGAAGTGCTTTTCCCAACAGTGGAGTAAGTGTCAGAGTCAAGGCTGGGTTTTACATCCCAGCTTTCCCTATATATTCCACCCTATGGTTCTGTTGTGCTGTTCCTTTGTGTGACTCCGTAAAGCCTGCTTAAAAGTGATATCATATCAAATTGTATTAACTCAGTAGCACATAACACCAGGGAATTGATTTATAAGATTTTTATTCTTGTGGCGTTGCTGAAGACCCATCTGATTAGTAGTTATCAAGTAGTCATCCTGGCTAAATATATGGGTTTGATTTTTAATTTTGAAAATGAAAAATATTTTAAAATATATGTCTTACATCCATATCCCAGGAAATTCTAATCAAGTTTTAAAACTTTCAAATTTAGATAAACTAATGGTTTTTTGTTTTAATTTTCTCTCAATGAAAATAGAAGAAACTAATTGGATAGAACAGCACAGCAGAAGCATTACTTATAGCCATAAATGGGATAAAACAAGACTGAAGAAGAAAATGCAAGACAGTGCTTAAAAAAGCAGTCTAATGAAAAGTGAGGTCTCCTCTGGATGTCCTTAGGTAGACACTGCAGCAGAACTGTAAAGTTTTTCTGGAAGTCTGGGGAAGAGAGGAGGAAACAGAGAAGGGGCAAGAGGAGAAAATAGAATGAGGCTCAGAATACCAAGCCTTAGTGCTGTCCCTATCGCCTTCCTCGCTAGATCACTGGGTGATCCTGGGCAAGTTTCTTCCTTTCCCTCAGCTTATTTCCTCATCTGTAATGTAAGTGACTAGACAAGATAGCCTATGATGTTCATTGTAACTCTAACTTTTCCTTCCCAAAGCAAATAGCTGGAAAAGACACTGTGCTTACAATATGCAACAAATAAAAACAAAAGATTTTTAAAAACCCCTAGTGTAACTTGAATTCTTACAAATAAGCAATGGTACATCATAATTTTACAAAGCTCTTTTGTGATTTCATTTTTAAAATCAAGTCAAGTTTTATTTTACTTCATAATAAGATAATGGGAGATAAGTGTTAAATGGGTTCATGAAGGAATGTTTGTAAAAGATGCAATAATCCAAAATAGGTAATTGTTATATTAGTAGTTCCCTTTACTTGGGGGGGGGGGGGGAACAGATAGAAGAGTGTTAGGAAAAGCTTCATAAAGTGGATTATATAGAATGTGCTTTAAAAGAGTTTGGTGTTTTACTGAGTGGGGAAAGAGCAATATGGGGAGTTATTGTTCAAGGGTTAAAGCTATAAAAAATGAATCAATTACAGAGATAGGCTCCAAACCATAGTACTTATAGTTAACAATAAGGTATTTTGTATTCAACAATTTGTTAAGAGGGTCGATCTTAGGGGTTCTGACAACAACAACAACCACAACAAAGGGACGTAGGAAACATTTGGAGGTGATGGATATATTATTACCTGGATATTGGTGTGGTAACAAGATAATACTTATGTGCAAACTTGCCAAACTATATCCATTAATTATGTACTTTTTGTGTATAACAATTTTACTTCAGTTCCTACTATATTGCCTGACAAACAATAGATGTATAAAGTGAGATCAATGATTATTGCATATGCATGTCAAAAATAATAAAGAAAGCAGGTGACAATAAAGACATCCTGAATCTTTGGGAAATAAATAGCATTCACCTGCTTTCTCATCCATTGAGATATCACCACCTTTATGTACTTATGTGTCCCTGGAAGTTTCCCGTGGGAGATTTAGTTATTCTCTTTTCGTTAGGCTCTACTGACCAAGAACAAATCACAGACTCAGAGAGCATCATAAAAAGGCCTAGACCCACGATGCCCAGAGACTCCAGGCTCAACCCACATTGATGCTGGCCCTTCAGCCATGAGACTCCATTTGCTTCTCCTTATTCTCCTTCTTTTTTCAATTCTCTTATCCCCAGGTAAGTTGGTAGCTCATTACTATAAGGTTCTGCAGATGAGAAGGCTATATCCCTGGCCAGACAAGAACCTAGAATCAGTCCTGTGGGTTCAAGAACCTAATATTTACAGCTTCACTAGGATTATAATAGGGAAAAATAGAAAAGAGACTCATTTAGCAGTATGTCCTCTTGATAAGATTCCATCCATGTCTTTTGACCTAGTGAGTGGATATAATAATGGATGCTGCTGAAATTCAATCCTGTCAGATGAAACTGCCTACATGTAAATTTCCATGCCCCACCAAGCACCTCAAGATACAAAGTAAGGATACAACAGAACATGACCTCAATGAGATGCCTTTGCGGGACATGGAAATTTATTTGCAGGCAGTTAGATCTGACAGGATTGAATTTCGGTGGCATCTATTATTATATTCACTTAATAGGTCAAAAGAGATGGATGGTATCCTATCAATAGGAGCTACTCTAAATGGGTGTTGACAAATCTGAAGGTTTTATTCGAAGAAACAGAAAAACTATAATCCTAGAATAAATGAAAATTATATGAGAGACTTTTCAAAATAAATTATGTTTTATGTGGTTATGAATAAAAAATGATTTTCAAAGTGCAACTGAAGAGTAGAAAGGAGAGTTAAAGGAACTTCAGACAAGTGAATTAATAAGGAGCAAAGACACCAACAAGTGCTGCTCAAGGTATATTACAGGTAACCACACAGAAGTGGGTAACATAACTTTCAATACAAAAATGGCTAAAATTTACTGGGCTAAGCATGCATTTTGGGGGCTTTTGGAAAAAAAAAACATCATAATAAACCTAAAGAAGATAAAGGGAAAATTATAAATACAAAATATAAATTAATGAAACAAATGAGAAAAAATAGTATTTTAAAAAATGTTTTTCAAAAAGTCTAATACACTTTATAATAACCTGGCAACACTGAACAAGAGAAAATGAGAACATGCTTAAAATAACTATTGCAGGAATGAAAGGTTAATATCAAAACAGATGTTTCAGAGATTCAAATAATTTTTAAATTTGTGTATATTCCGTCTTCACTGTGTACTTGGGGATTTTCCTGTTGCAGTTCACTATATCATGACTGTGTCATCAATTTTGATGCTAGTAAATTATTACCATCAGCATACAAATATGCTGTTGTTTTTCTGATCTAAGAAAAAGAATTTCCTTGCTTTTCTTCTGATGCCAGCTGTCCTCCCCTTTTTTGCTCTACTTTTCAGCAAAACATCTTAGAATAGTTGTCCATATTCTCTGTCTTCAATTCCTCTCCTCTCATTGTTTCTTAAATATATCCCAATCAAGCTCTCATTGTTTCTTAAATATATCCCAATCAGGCTCTCTCCCCCTTTTTCGATCATGCTATTGACACCACTTTTGTCAAAGTTATGAATAATCTCCACATTGCTAGATCCAATGATCATTTTTCACTACAACTTTAATCGACCTATTAGCAGCATTTGACACAAATAATCACTTCCTTCTTCACAGTATACTTTCTTCATTTGGCTTCCAGGACGGCTCATTCACTTGATTCTCAGCCTGTCTCACTGGAGCTACCACTTCGGCTTCCTTTGTTTCTTCCTCATCTTTTGCTTCACACCTCCTACAGGAGAGCTCCAGAGCTCAGTTCCTGGTCCTCTTCTCTTCTCCCTCACCACACACTCTTTGGAGGGGCTCAGCAAGTCTCATCCCTTTCAATTCTCCTTTTGGACCTCCTTTTGAACTCCAGGCTTATAATAAATTATCCAACTGCATAACTGGTATATCTACTTGGACACTTGATTTCAAAAGTAATATATATCCAAAACCAGACTCACGATTTTCCCTCAGAAACCTCTACATACACATTTTTTCTCTTCTTGCAGAGTGCCATGGTCAGCATTGGAGCCTCTCTTAGCTTTCCTGTCCACTTTCATCCTCAGCAAGCCTCTATCTCTGCACCTCAAGAATCTCTCAGGGCTCCCATCCCTTGCCCAACCTCGGGCAGTAGCTGCCACACACTCAGTGAAAGACCAGAGAAACTACTTCTCTCAGCTACCGGCCCTGCCCTGCCTTCAGACCTCATCATGCCTCTCTTCTTATGCACCTGTGAGAACAGAGAGTGAAGGGGGGATTCTCTCAGCTCCCCAACCCACTCCCCAGTAACACAGGGTTTTCCTCGATTCTCACAGTGAGACCTTTACCTTGCTCTGACCTCAAATTGCACCAGTTCCTACATGCCTGTCCCTCAAAAGTGTCTCAGGTAGTTCTCCTGCTCTCCATCTGATCTTACCTAGGAGCACACAAGATAGGTCATGAAAAAACCATTAGTGGGGCCACACGCGGTGGCTCACGCCTGTAATCCCAGCACTTTGGGAGGCCGAGGCCGGCAGATCACGAGGTCAGTGGCTAACACGGTGAAACCCTTTCTCTACTAAATACAAAAAATTAGCCAGGTGCGGTGGTACATGCCTGTAGTCCCAGCTACTCGGGAGGCTGAGGCAGGACAATCACTTGAACCCTGGAGGCGGAGGTTGCGGTGAGCCGAGATCGTGCCATTGCACTCTAGCCTGGGCGACAGAGTGAGACTCAGTCAAAAAAAAAAAAAAAGAAGAAGAAGAATAAAGAAAGAAAGAGAAAGAAAGAAAAGAAAAGCATTAAATCATTAGTGAGTGAATGAGAGTGAGTGTGTTTGGGCCCCTACTGATGCTAAACTATCACAAGCCCACACTCAGCCTTTCAACATTTGCTTGAGGTTCACTTGTTTCCTTCTTATCTCCATCAAGGGCAGCTTCCT
Organism: Homo sapiens; assembly: GCF_000001405.40. Taxonomy (NCBI): domain Eukaryota; kingdom Metazoa; phylum Chordata; class Mammalia; order Primates; family Hominidae; genus Homo; species Homo sapiens. Next base: position 7,994,668 of record NC_000008.11, on the reverse strand, counting down.
CCTGCTTCTGCTGCTGCAACTCAGGTACACACAAAGCATGTGTGGATCCGTTCTTTTTTCAGTAGGGCTTCATTACTCTGAATTTAAGTTAATTAGCTTTTTTTTAAAGACTTCAGCTCTGTCTTTTAAAATGAAATCTATGATCTATAGATTATCCAGCTTATTCTTTTGTCAGGGCAAGAGCATTTTTCTATAACTTTCTAAATTCTAAACAAAAGTAAAAGTTCACTTCTTTCCAGAATCCCCCCATGTCAGAAAGTATTACTATTATCATCAGTTTAGTGATATTTATGGAATTCCAAGTTGACTCTGAGATCAGCTTTTGGGTTAAATTCTTTCTTCCTGATATATAGCCTTTGAAATTTTATTTGCTGCAGATCTCTTGGTAGTGAACAATTTTAGTTTTTATCTGTCAATTTTGTATTGTTATTTTTGTTCTTGAAAGACAACATTACTGAGTACCCAATTCTATATTAACAGTTATGTTCTCTCAACGTTTGTTGATACTAGTTTATTCATTTTTAGTTTGTGCTTCACTATGATATTCAGATAAATATTATTTCATTATAAATTGTCCTTTTTTCAATGTTTGTATGGTCTGGTGTTTGGTTTTAATATTTTATAATTTAACTAATGTGAATTTATTTTTATATCATCTGTTAGAAATATATTCTTTGAATCAATGGATTTATACTTTTTCTTAATTTCTTTTTGAGAATCTCTTGAAATGGTGAATCCTCTTACACTTCTCTTCCCGCATATTTGAATTAAATAAATGTTAGACCTTGTGTTTCCATGCTACATTCTGGGTATATCATTTAAGCATTTTTTTCTTTACTAATTATCCTGTTACCTATATCTAATATATCATTAATAACTTGCATTAATTTTTAAAATTTTTTAATTTAGAACTGCATTTTGGTTTTGTTTTGTTTTGTTTTTTTGGAGACAGAGTCTCACTCTGTTGCCGAGGCTGGAATGCAGTGTTGCAATCTTGACTCACTACAACCTCCACCTCCTGGGTTCAAGTGATTCTCCTGCCTCAGCCTCCTGAGTAGCTGGGACTACAAGTGTCCACCACCATCTTCAGCTAATATATATATATATGTATATATACATTTTTTTTTAGTAGAGACAAGTTTTCACCATCTTGGGCATGCTGTTCTTGAACTCCTGACCTCGTGATCCACCCGCCTCGGCCTCCCAAAGTGCTGCAATTACAGGCATGAGCCACCATGCCCAGCCAGACCTGCCCATTTTTTCTATCATCTATATAGCTTTACTATTGTTTTTACATCTTTGTAATAGTAGATTTTTTCTTTAAACAATCGATACACAGCTGCTTAATTATTTCTCCACATTGACAATTTCAATACATTTAGTTTTCAAGGATTTAAATGTGCTATTCATTTCATTAACTTTTATTCATGGTTTCTTTCTTACCTGATCATTTTTAATGATGAACTCATTGCTCATCCTTAATCTGCCATCATTCTACAGTCTGAAATAAGAATGCTATTATTCAAACTTCCTCTGTGAAACTGACTCAATCCTTTATCTCAATATAGAAGTTCCAGGATTAAAGAACTGGAATTTCTGATGGCCCAAGAGTCAGTAGTACCACCATTAGCATTGTTGATAATAGCAGATCTTCCCAGAAGATATGGGAAACCCTCACCCACCTCCATCAGCTAGCCAATACAAAGTGCCTAGTGCTCAAGCTCCATTTCACAGACTGTTTTTGTGTTTGAAAGAGGAGATATTTTAAGAACTTGCCTAACCATTTTCAAGAATAGAAATGTTTCAAAGAGATCGTCTAAAATGTATTTGTTCGATAGCAGCAGTCATTTGAGAGCAGCTAACTTGCAGTCATGGCCAAAAGCCTAAATCTTTCTTTCATTCTAATCACACCTATTTTATATATTTTGGAGATATTAAAGATTCAGATGTATTCATACTATTCTATGATTTGGGACACTGCTATAGATTCTTCAAAATGTTACAACATTCCAGTGGTATTTTGGGAGGTATAGAAGGTGAGAGGAAACAATGGGCTCAAGTCTCCCCTGACTTCTCTTCTTACAACATATTTCATTGTCCAAAACTTTTAGAACTATATCAATACAACATTGACAGTGGATATTCTTCTTTTCCTTCTGATTTTAATAGGATTGAAGGAAGTGCTTGCTATGAAATTGCTATATGGGTTGTAATCAGACAAATTTTGACTTTGAAAACGCAATATTCTTCTCATTATTTTAAAATGTTTACCAGGATTCACAGTATTATTTTCAATTCTCCCCGTTCAAAGGCATATTTAAATAACTTGATGAAAGGGCAATATTATATATGTTACTCTGCTATGGAAACAGAAAAAACCACCACCAAATTGTATTCTAGATACTTTGTACACCAATTGCACCATCTTTTTTTATCTAAGACATTCAGTTCTTCCACAGGTGGGAGCACATGAATTAGCATCATTTAGTACTTGTAGTTTTCACTACAGACTTTCAGACTTATGGTGCCTAAAGGAAATAGAATGCTTCTAGCTGGGTTTAAAAGCTACAAATAAACAGAGGAAATATACACTATTTTGAAAGTACCACTTGAGCGTTCTGTATGTATTTCAATATTATGTTGCTAATTTTAATTGTTCAAGGTTAAGGAGCTTAAACCTCCTCCTCATGCATTCCTGAATCATCCATTACTCGCACACATACATTGTTTGATACAGCATAAACCTAAGTAAGTAAAGATGTGGCAAAATGAAAAAAAAATAAAATAATGTGATACCATTCTTATCTAGGAATGGCATCAGTAGACAGATGTGAATAAAAGTAATGTGATTATAATTTTAAAAATCATATTTAATAGGATCCATTTATTATTAAATGAACATTAAATTACTTAATGTATAATAAACCCTTAACACGATGACAACTCTTAATGCAGAGTGAGACCAAAATGAAGGTATTAACTATTTTCTTCCTAATCCTTGCTTTAGTTGTTCTTTCCACCAGACTGTCACTTTATTCGAAGGATATTGTAATAGCACAAAGCCATCAGCTTTACCATTAGAGAGATCTTCATTAAATTATCTTTGTTGTAATAGAGGTCATCTGGAGGAAATACTGGTCTGAATACAATAATAAATGTTAAGCTTTCTAGTATTTTCCACTTTTAGACACAAATTGAAAGAATCATTTATAATGTCAAAAACACTTTTTTCTAACTAATCTATTCTATGACTAAGACACTATTAGCAGTTAAAGTAGATAGATCAAATCTAAATATGGAGAGAAAAAGTAATTTCTACTTATGTTTAAACAGGTGAAACCACGAATAAATTGAAAGCCTGAAATATTAGCTTAGGGGAATAATGTCACTTTCGGGGAGCAGGAGCAGCATATACCAGCCTTTAGCTCTACACACTCCCCCAAAGAAAAAAAATATATAGATAGTTATGTACAAACCAAAATAGCACTGGGAGGGTTCAAGGGACCATTTAAGAAACTATGGCAACACAGTGAAGCCAACAAAAAAAAAAAAAAGAGAGAGAGAGAGAGAGAGAGTGAAAGAAAAAAAAAAATAGCCATATAGAAAAAACAGCTGCTGAAATCAGCATACCTGAGATGCCAGAAACATCTTTTTCGGCTAGAAACAAAAGCAGAAAGGGACTATCTGTATCAGCCACAAGGTGGAAGCACCAGGGCCCTCAGTAACCCACTCTGGCAGAAGACACTGGCATTTTTTGCCACTGGAGTAAGCAACATCCCTTTCTGACAGAAAACCCAGAGAAAAAGATGAAGAGGTACCATCTCCTCCCACATCCCTTTTCCCCACCAAAAATGCAGTGACTGTTGGGCCAAACCAGGATTGGAACTGCTACCTTTCTTAAACTGCATGTGTCTCTGACATATGAGCAGCAACCATGTCAAGAGCTCCCACATAAAAACGTTCATACTAAATTTATTCTGTTACTTAAGAGTGTTTATGGATTTACATTCCATTTGTGGACTATCTCACTGGATCTTCTTTCCTTCAGTAAGAGGTGGTTTGGGTCCTGCGGAAGGTCATTGTCTCAATTTGTTTGGTGTTTGCAGAACAGATGTCTGCAACATAGTAGAAGATCAAATTGGTGCCTGCCGAAGAAGGATGAAGTGCTGTAGAGCATGGTGGATTTTAATGCCAATTCCAACACCACTTATCATGTCAGATTATCAAGAACCCCTTAAACCTAACTTGAAATGAAACTGAAACAAAATAAAAATACATCAAAAGTGAAGTTATTTGCATCTAAGAATATTAAAATATACATATTAAGTACTTCCATCTTGATAACCGTCTTGCATTTTCACTTATCAACATAAATGAATAAATACTAATTTCAAATACACCCAAGTACTATTTCTTTGTGAATCATTAACATATCTTAACAAAACTTTTAAAAATGAGAAAACTGTTACTTTTGTTTTCCAAGATGGTGGATTGAAGGCATTGTTAGTCTGCCTCTTGCACTTGGAAAGAGAAATTGGTGTGTAGAGACTCACACTGTGAACTTTCTTTCAAGAAGCAACACAGGAATTTAACAGGAAAATTGAAATAAGCCACAGACCATTTGAAAGAAACAGCAGGATGCAGCTTACACCATAAGCTAGGCAGAAAATTGTAAGTTTCCAGGGTGTGACAGGAGGGTAACTGACTCTAAGATATACGCTTCCACTGGGAAACCTATCAATCCAGGCCGTGAGGGAAGGCCTTAACCCTCCTCAGCGCTGGAGCTGATTTAGGGAAGAGTGGTGAGTATATGAGGAGTGGCATTGGGATGTGCTTTGAATCTCCAGCACATTCCCAGTTTCTGGTAGAATGGAGGGAAGCCATTGCTGATTCTACCTCAGACAGGACCTCCTAGAAGTCTGCCAGGTAACTCAGATGGTTGTCACAGGTTGAGACAACCTCCCAAATGAAATGTGTGATATAATCTTGACTGGGGACAAACTCCCCAGGCCAGAACTGAGAGGTGAGTGGGAAGTGTGCTGCAGCAGCAAGCACAGGAGCTGGGGGCCCCTGCTCTGCAGGTGGATCAGGAAGGGTGTGGCCTGAAGGTTGCAGTTGCTGTCTCCATAGGGGAGACTTATGGTATGGGTCAGTTTTGAGTTCTGAGCCCAGACTTCTTGAAGCTTAGCTAGCTACTCCCATTGGAACACTGTGGGTGTGAGACCTGCCTTGCCAAGTGTGTGGGAGCTGGATGGGGCTTACTACCAAGCTGCTACTCCCCATTCTTCACATAGACTCTCCTTGTACAGAGGCAGTGACAGTTTCACTTCTCTCTGGAAAATTACTCCAGTGGCCCAAGAACAGCCTTCCAATTCCCACTGGAGCCACTGCTTGTCTCACACATAGACAGCCAGAGCATCACCTTACCTGACCTAGTTCCCACCTGGCTTTGCTCAACCACCTACCCTGGTAGATTAACACAAATAACTGAAGAAACTTTTAGAAGCTCTTTGGCTCCACCTATTTCCTGAGACACCAGAGTGCCTCCCATGGGTAACATAAGGCAAGTCCAAATCTCACCACTACCACCACAGCTGGCAGTCTTTTGGAAGCACCACCTCCTGGCTGAAGGCCTACTGACAGTCCTTTACAGCATCTGCAGGTAGAATAACATAGCACCCAGGAAGGAGAAAAGTTGTGAGTGACCACAACTGTTACCATTGCTTGCATCATTCTGGCTAAGCAGGAGGCCCTGAGTCTGTCCATGTGATGAGTTCATTACTACTACAACTGGCATTTGAGAAATCCAATACACAACACACTAGGACTATTTATAACCAAGGAATCTTTCAGAGTCTACAACACTCCCCTGCCATCCCCATCTGATCAGCTGCTGATACACACTGCTGTGAGACGTGAGGACAAATTATATCACTGGATCCATTGCAGACATTCTTGAGCACCAGCCTGGTGTGCGGCATCCCCACTGGGTAGCTAGACCCAGAGAAGCAGCAGCAGCATATGCAGTAATCTGAATTTCATGGCCTCCTACTCTGAGGAAAGAGGAAGCACACCACATCAAGGGAGCACCCTGGGGACAAAATAATCTAGATGGCCTTGAGTCCCAGAACATTCCACTTGTGGGAAGTTGTTTGGTGGTTTGTTTTTGTTTTTATTTCCAGCAGAGGAACATGTGCATGCTAGGCTCAGCGAGGAAAGTCTGTAGCTATATCTCAACAATCAGGCAGCCTTGATGCTCAAGAAGAGTCTTGGAGAATGGGGACTTATTTTCCATCTCATACACTACTGCAGACACAATAGTACTGTACTCAGAGCCAGTGTACTGAGGTGAGTGGCCATAAAACCTACTGAGACACCAGCCAGGACAGCTAAAGGAGTACTTGCATTACCACTCCCCCAACCCCAGGCAGCACAGCTTGCAGCTCCAAAAAAGACCGCTTCCTTCTGCTAGAGGAGATTAGAGGAAAGAGTAAAAAGGACTTTGTCTTGCATCTTGGATATCAGTTGAGCCACAGTAGGATAGGGCCCTGGTCAGGGTCATGAGGTCCCCACTGTGGATGTAACTAACTTTTTTTTTTTAATTTTATAGGCTGATAGGCAGAAGGGACTTGTCTCAAATAAGACTTTGGACTTGGAGTTTTGAGTTATGCTGGAAACAGTTAAGACTTTGGGGGACTGTTGGGAAAGCATGATTGGTTTTGAAATATATATAAAATACATGAGATTTGCGAGGTGCCAGGAGCAGAATAATATGGTTTGGCTCTGTGTCCCCACCCAAACCTCATCTCAAATTATTATCCCCACACATCGACAGAGGGACTTGTAATCGCCATGTGTCAAAGAAGTTTACTTCATGCTATACTCATGATAGTGAGTGAATTCTTAGGAGATCTGATGGTTTTAAAAGTAGGAGGTTTTTTTTTTCTGTGCACTCACTTCTCTCTCCTGCCACCTTGTGAAAAAAGGTGCCTGCTTCTGTCTTGCCTTCCACCATGACTGTAAGTTTCCTGAGGCCTCCCCAGCGATGCAGAACTGTGAATTAATTAAACACCTTCCCTTTGTAAATTACCCAGTGTGGGGTAGTGTCTTTACAACAGTGTAAAAATGGACTAATACAGGTTCCCTGAAATATTCTGAGTCCCTTTGGAGGCAAGAATCTCTTTATACCAGCATGGTATACTGATGAAGTACATCCTGATCTCATGGGCTAAGAAAAAATTTATACATACCCTTTATGTGTCAGCAACTCTATGTGCAGGCTTTTGAGACCCAGAATGGGCTTTCTTGCCCCATCTAGTCTATGTAACATTTTTCTAAGCCAACTCAATGTCTTTCATCCACACTGGGATAGGTCCTAAATTGCTGTCTGTTGCCCACCTGAGATAATGACATGTTGTTAAATCAGGTGTGTGTGACCCTGATACGTCTATCTGAGTGGCAGGAGAGGGTCTATCTGTTCACAAGAGTCTCTGCAACATTTTCTAAGTCAGTTCAGAAGCTTATTGATTCACCTTTGCAGGCAATGTAGCCATGAGAAAGGTCTCCAAAAATTCCTGACCTTCTGGAAATTTTTAAAGTCTCCGCAGGTTTCCAGAGGTGACTGTAGCTGCACTGAAAGTCACTGCCTGGATAACTGGCCTGTTAAAGCAAAGGCAAAATATGTCAAGCCCACTAAGAATACCCAGAAGCCATGGTATTCAATTAATTTTTGTCTTTCTTGCAGGTGGGAGAATACTGAGGATTATGCCCTCCTATAGCCAGTGAAGGTTACTCCAGTGCCTAGATGTACCAGTCAAGAGAGGTCATGGGAGAGCAGATGGCAGAAAGGGCAGCCAGGTCCTTTCGCTGGGGTTTACTGCTTGTCATGAGCTCTGCTGCTGGGCAGCATGTGTGATTTCTGACTCCTGCCATGTCCTCAAGAAGCCTTGCCCCATCAGCCAGCTGTCCTACCTCCTGAAAGCTGGTGCATGTTTGTTAACATGGAGATCCAGAACAAGAGTCACTTTAGTATTTATCCATAGAGTCCCCATGTGTGCACATGCTTACCTGCAGGTTGTTTTTCCTATTTTTCTGAATGTTAATCCTTGCCTTCTGGAACTCGATATTACCCCCTGTGGCCAAATATGGGATAATTGTAAGGGGAAACTGCTCTTTAGGTCCCAAGTCCACAGGGTTAGTACTATTATCAATATTAAAATTATTAATTATGGATATTAGTATCATAATAATCATCATCATTCCTGTTAATACTCATCAATATGTTTATTATTATTATCATTAAGATGGTTTATTAATGTTATTATTCAGTAATAAATGTTTAGTTTCTCCATTCACTCAGTCAAACTGGAGTCTGACTCCCGATATGACTATGGATATGACTGCATATGACTATGAGGGTTACCCTGCAGATATAGACATGAACCGCTGTCCCAGAGACAGCTCTTGCAGGCACTAATTGCTCTTTCATAGGATGAGTTCCTTACAGGAGAGAAGGGCTGATCTCCATGATGTGGTTTCCTCAGGGTCTCATTAAGGGCTGGTGATACAGGAGCACTGCCTACCCCTCTTACTCACGTGAGAGTGGTACATTCTCTGTTGTCATGGCTGGGATGGCTCCATGTTGAACATATAAATTCCAGGTTCTAGAAGCAAAAAAGCAAAAGATGCATTGGATCTGCATAGGGAACTGCAAGCCATCCAGCAACCACAGGACACAGTCAGAAACAACCACGTGGACCACATCGCCCAAGCTCAGCTGCATGGCTCTCCATTGGGTTAGGACGAGGACCTATTCCACCAGGCTCAACTGGAGTCCTATCCCTGGTCCCAGGACCACAAGGAGCATCTCTTTTTTTGGAATCACACTGCTCCATTCGAAGGACAGCCCTCAGTTCTCTATCTTCAAAAGAGGCTGCAAATGGTGCTGATTGGGAGGGAGCCGCCAGCAGCATCACCCTCTACAACTATAAAATAAAACTGTCTCCCAGGGTGGGATATTATGCTGACCCTACCTAAAAGCACATTTCCTAGATGTTGCTTGTTGCCTGGAGTTTGAACAGCATTGTCCAAACTTTGCCATTGAAGAACAAGGAAACTTACCTGGGGTAGTTGCAGGAGTAGGCCTAAATCCAGGTGTGAAGATCCTTGAACTGGGGGTGTTTCTGTACCTGTAGAGATTGCAGACTGGGAAAGGTAAGGCTCTGGTCCTGCCAGGCTCTCTAGAGGTTAAGAATGTGATCTGCAGAAAGACATGAACTAGCACAGGCTACTGTAGAACATCTGCCCCCAAGAATCATAAATGCCTTTTCACTCATCCTGCAGAATGCACTCTCTACTTTAATGATCGTGTGGGATGTGACTTTAATTTTTAGGCATGGGGATTGATCTTAAGAAAAAGCAGGCAAAGTGCCTTACCTGTCCTGGGACTCTGCTCCACTTGCCAACATTTGAGTGGATTCATTTGTGTGGTAGTCAAGCTACAGGAAATAAAGGGACCAGTCAGTCTTCCACACAATGACACAGAGGCCAATTATCACAAGTCCAAATCTCCATTTGTCATCCAGCTCACATTCCCGCTGTGGCACAAGGTCACATGCACTCGTGTCCAACTCCAAATAGTAGCTTCACATAGTATGCCAGCACTCTCCCACCCATCACCTCTTCTAGAAGGTCTTCCGCTGGATTGGAAATGGCCTGGGATAAAAGATAATGACCACAGGAAGCAGTTGTTTTTTTAGGATCTGATCCACATGAGAAGGTAGGACATCTAATTTGGTCTGAGGACTTTAGCTATGCTAATATTTCAGGTAACTGTCCCCTGTGTCTATAGATTTACAATGGGAATGGAGTGAGAGATGATGAAAACTGTTTTCTTTCCTAGTGAGTATGAGGTAGAACCCTTACATCATGCTCTCTGTTGCCTGTTCTCCATACAGAGCCATCTCCCATTTAGAGAGAAGACATGGATTGTCAGTGGGAGCAAGCCTGAGATATGCCCACTGGCAGCTCCCAGAAACCCCTGAAACCTGGCCACATCATGAAGTTTCAACTGTGGGTCTCATGCCTCTCTTGGTATCTTGAATTCAGAACATTTAATGTCATGGCAGGCCAGGGAACTTCCTCTGCTCTAGTTTGGCTCTCTATCGCACATTCACCGCCCCCCCCCCCCGCCACACACACACAAAGTCACACACACTCACACATCAACCTACTGGCAAACCAAGGTAGAAACACACACACACACACACCTGCTCAATCCAGGCCAATATCCCTGATGAACATTAATGCAAAAATTCTTAATAAAATACTAGCAAACAGAATCCAGCAGCACATCAAAAAGCTTATCCACCACAATCAAGTCGGCTGCATCTTTGGGATGAAATGCTGGTTCAACATACACAAATGAATAAATGTAATTGATCACATAAACAGAACCAAAGACAAAAACCAGACAATTATTTCAATAGATGCAAAAATGCCTTTGATAAAATTCACCATCCCTTCATGTTAAAAACTCTCAATAGACTAGGTACTGATGGAACATATTGCAAAATAATAAGAGCTGTTTATAACAAACCCACAGCCCACATCATATTGAATAGGCAAAAGCTGGAAACATTCCCTTTGAAAACTGGTACAAGACAAGGATGTCCTCTGTAACCTCTTCTATTCAACATAGTATTGGAAGTTCTCACCAGGGCTATCAGGCAAGAGAAGGAAATAAAGGGTATTCAAATAGGAAGAGAGTAAGTGAAGTTGTCTCTGTTTGCAGATGACATGACTTTATATTTAGAAAACCCCATCATCTCAATTCAAAAACTTCTTGAACTGGTAAGCAAGTTCACCAAGTTCTCAAGATATTAAATCATTGTGCAAAAATCACAAGCATTCCTTTACATCAACAATAGTCAAGCAGAGAGCCAGATCAAGAATGAACTCCCATTCACAATTGCTACAAAGAGAATAAAATACCTAGGGATACAGCTAGGAGTACAAGGGATGTGAAGGACCTCTTCAAGGACAACTGCAAACCACTGCTCAAGGAAATAAGAGAGGACACAAACGAATGGAAAAACATTTCATCCTCATGAATAGGAAGAATCAATATTGTGAAAATGGCCATACTGCCCAAACTAATTTATAGATTCAATGCTGTACCCATCAAGCTACCATTGACATTTTTCACAGAATTAGAAAGAACTATTTTAAATTTCATATGAAATCAAAGAATACCCCGTATACCCAAGACAATTGTAAGCAAAAACAACAAAGCTGGAGGCATGACGCTACCTAACTTCAAACCACACTAGAAGGCTACAGTAACCAAAACAGCATGCTACTGCTGCCAAAACAGACATATAGACCAATGGAGCAGAACAAAGCCCTCAGAAGTAACACCACACATCTACGACCATCTGATCTTTGACAAACCTGACAAAAACAGGCAAGGGAGAAAGGATCTCCTATTCAGTAAATGCTGCTGGGAAAACTGGCTTGCCATAGGCAGAAAACCAAAACTGGACCCCTTCCTTACATCTTATACAAAAATTAACTCAAGATGGATTAAAGACTTAAATGTAAAATCCAAAACCATAAAAACCCTAGAAGAAAACTTAAGCAATACCATTCAGGACATAGGCATGGGCAAAGACTTCATGACAAAAATGCCAAAAGCAATTGCAACAAAAGCCAAAATTGACAAATTGGATCTAATTAAACTAAAGACCTTCTGCACAGCAAAGAAACTATCATCAGCATGAAAAAGCAACCTACAGAATGGGAGAAAATTGTTGCAATCTGCCCATCTGACAAAGGTCTAATAACCAAAGTTGACAAGGAACTTAAACATATTTACAAGCAAAAAAACAAACAACCCCATCAAAAGTGAGCAAAAGATATGAACAGAAACTTATCAAAAGAAGACATTTATGCAACCAACAAATATATTTTTAAAAAGCTCAACAACACTGATCATCAGAGAAATGAAAATCAAAACTACAGTGAGATACCATCTCACACCCGTCAGAATGGCGATTATTAAAAAATTAAGAAACAATAGATGCTGGTGAGGCTGAGAAGAAAGAGGAAGGTTTTTACACTGTTGGTGAAACTGTAAATTAGTTCAACCATTGTGGAAGACAGTATGGCTATTCCTCAAGGATCTAGAACCAGAAATACCATTTGACCCAGCAATCCCATTACTGGCTATGTACCCAAAGGAATATAAATCATTCCACTATAAAGACACATGCACACGTATGTTTACTGCAACACTATATACAATAGGAAAGACATGAAACCAACCCAAATGCCCTTCAGTGCTAGACTGGATAGGAACAACACACAACACAGCCCGTTGGGGGCTGGGGGTGAGGGAAGGAAACTTACAGGATAAGTCAATAGGTGCAACGAACCACCATAGCAAAGGATACCTATATAACAAATCTGCTCGTTCTGCGCATGTATCCTGTATTTTTTAAATTTAAAAAGAGGAAATACATACATACATACATACATGCATACATACATACGTATGTACATACTTTTGAAAAACGTCTATACAGCTTGGATCTTCATTCCTGATAAGCCAAGGAACCTGGAGAAACACCAGAATTCTGTCCCTCTGAGAATGCCGGACAGGTTTACCTTCATCACCATAAAATTTTGGAACAAATGTGGTAACTGCAGGTTCTCCCCACAATGAGTAACTGAAAATTGAGGCAGTATTTCAGATCCTAAAAAACTGATGAAGTAATTCGCCACACATTTGGGTTGTTTTTGCCTTTTCCTACTATGAAGATTGCTAATAGGAAGAATAGTGTACAAGTATCTGTTTGATTCCCTGCTTTTAGAATCCTTTGCTTGTTTGTGTGTTTGTCTGTTCCTTCTTGAGACAGGATGTCACTCCAGTCAGCCAGGATTTTCCAGTGTGTAATTTTTGTTGTTTCCTTTTGTCAAGTTTTAGAAGTTGTTATTTTATTTCTATTGAATTTTAAGGCATTTTTAGATATGTATTAAAACATTATCACACAGGCCGTGTGTTACATTGCAATTATTTTCATCATTCCTTTAAGAAACAAAAGATTTAGCTTAGATATCTTCCAATTTGTGAATCTTTTCTGATTTTGACTTTTTTAAAAATGCTGTCATATACAAGAAACCCTTGGATTAAAAATGCCATGAATATTTCTCTTTTCTTGCAGTCATAACTTCGGTGTATGTCATCAAATAGTCTCTGGTTTATAGCATGTTTTCTTGAAAGTGTTTCACAATGTATTTTGGGCATTGAGAATTTCATCAAACTTAAGTGAAGGTTTCGACATTCACTATTGAAGGGAATAGTCCTATTTGATGCCTTATTATTTGCATATCTTGCTTCCACAAGAACATTTCACGCAAAGACTTGTCTTCTCCCCAATGCCAGATCATTACAACATGACATGGAATCAACTGGCCAAAAATGGGAAGGTTATCTCTGGAATGTCTATTTGACTCCATTGATCACTTCATCTTAATTAAGACAAAAAATATGCTGTGTTAATTACCTCACATTGTTGCAAATTCTCAAGTCAGAAAATGTAGTTATAACTTCTTGGCATTTAGTCACTGAAAGAATGATCTTATCTCACAGATGCACATGCTTGGAAGTACTTCTCAAGGCATACACACACATCCAGAAACAAACACACAAATACACTCATACACACAAACTGTTTAATATGTACACAATTGTTAAATAGCATTGTTATACATGAAATAAGGCAAATGTTTAGCTACTATCCTAACCCGGTTCCACTCCTAACATATTTGCTCATAATACTGACAAGTAAATCTGCTTCAACCCTTCCATAGTCACAATGTAAGCAGTGTCCATTAAATTCTCTGAGGAATGCAAGAGGATACAACCTAAGACAAAAAACCTAATTGAATCCTGATATTTCATTAGTAAATAGGGTAATTGATGGATAAATGTAATGGTCTCGGTGGGTGGACAGTAGTTAAATAAGGGCTGATGCAGCAAGATAATTATTTAAAGGCGTTTGAAAGAAATTGAAACAGGAGAGTGGATGTATTCAGCTAAAATAAAATCCGGAAGCCCTGAAATAAATCTCATTTTGCGGGTAAAAAAATGGCATTGGAGGAGATTCTGGGTCAATCATGAAGCTGTGAAAGTTGCATCTTGGAAGCAGGATCCCTGTAATGAAACGAGACTTGTTTATCAGAGGTGGTCTTTCAGAGGAAAAGATTTTGAAGAATGGCCCCTTCCTTTTGTGTATTTGACGATTAGATTTCATGCCAAATTTCGGGTTTTAAACTCTATTTAAACGTTAAAAGAATTAACTAAAATGGCAAAAAAACAAGAAATTTTTTGATTAGGAATCGTCAAATATTCATTTCTTGTTAGATACAGTTACCAAACACGACCTACCGGAGAGAAACAATTGTGGAGAATGGCCCCTTATTTTTGTATATTTGCTGATTAGATTTCATAGTCCATTTCTCATTAGGTACAGAGATCAAAGTTGACCTACCCAAGAGTAGAGATATCCAGGACAGAACTCAGGGCACGGTAGAACCACAGAATCTTGGGTGAAATATTGCTCAAGAACAAAAATGTGCTTATTCAGCGTGTTTCTGTGTGACATGTGTGGAAACTAAAGTGCAATGAGCATGACAGGAAGACAGAATATCAATTCGGCTCACCTCAAATCAGTTGTGAGCATTAAAGAAAACCAATTCCTAGGTCCCGCTTAAAGAGATAAGACCATCCAACAACCTGTGTGAAGCCACCGCATCTGGCTTGCTCATGATTCTGGGGATCATTCTCCAGAAAATGGTGGCTCCTTTCTCCCTGTGGAGCATCTTTCTAAGCAGTGCCCTTTCTTCCCCCAGGACACTTTACATGAGGTGCAGGAAGCCTTCTGATGGAGCACACCTGGCCCATGAAAAGACAAGGGAAAGAAAAAGGGCCAAAGGTCACAGTCCTCTCATTACATCATCATCCTTAAAATCATCCTAATTTCATGAGCCCTGAAGACAGGGCTGTTTCTTTACACCTAGAGGCCTTGGCGCCGGGCCTCAATTCTGCCCTGTTCCTTACTGTCTAAGACATTTTGGGAAAATCACTAGAGCCAGGACCTTCATTCCTGGTAAGCCAGAGAGCCGAAAGACACACCCAAATTCTGTCCCTCTTAGTTCAGGGAACAGGTCTACTTTCGTCAGCATTACAATTTTTGCACCAAATGTGCTAACTGCAATTCCACCATACAATGCATAACTGGAAATGGAGGGAACATCTCAGATCATGAACAATCGATGAGAGAATCCAGGAGATACACGGCTTATTTTTGCCTTTTCCCTGTGAAACAAGGGCAAGTATTAAAAACTTTATGCTGTCTTCTATTTCACTGCCTGCTTTTAAACGTCTCCGATGTATTCTTCTTGAGAAAGGGCCTCACTACTGTCACCTGGGCTTTTCTAAGGTATAATTTTCCTTGTTTGCTTTTGTCAAAATTAGAACATTTTATTTCATATCTATGAAATGTTGATCCATTATCACATACGTATGGAAATAGTATCACCAATGCTGTGTGATAAGTTGTTTTTATTTTGGTCAATTCTTTAATAAACAAAAGGTTATAGTTGGGATACCTTCTGATTTCTCAAGGTTTTTGTTTCATGTTTTCTTAAACTGCCGCCGCACGTCCGAAACCACTCACTATACAATGTCAGGACCATCTCTCTTTTCTGGCACACATAAATTTGGGGAATGTCATCAATTAGTCTCTCGGTGATTGCATGATTTCCCCAAAGTCTTTCACAGTCTACTTTGTGCAATGAGTATCTCTTCAAACTTCAGTGCATATTTCTACCATTTGATGCTTTATTATTTGGCAACCTAGCTTCCACAAGAGCATGTCAGGCAAAGAGTTCTCTTGTTCTCCACTGGAAGGTAATTTCATTCGCACAGAGAATCAATAGGCTGAACGTAGAAAGGTTATCGCTGGAAGCTCTGTTTCATTCCACGGATCTCTCCTTTCTTATTAAAGAAAAAAATACGCTGTGCTAAATACCATACTTCATTGACTAATCTCAGGTCAGAAAGCACACTTCCGATTTCTTGTCCTTCTGTCGCTGAGAGGATGATGATAGCTGCCAAAAGTACATACTTGGAAGTTCATCCCAGCACGAGCACACACACACATACACACACACACACACACACACACACACACACACACACACAGACACACACAGGGTTTCATAGGTGAAGATTTCTTCCCTGACATTCTTTTACCTAAAATAAGGCAACTGTGTGGCCACTGCCCAAACCCGGTTACACTCATATTATATGTGCCTATCACCCTGAGGAGTAATTTGATTCAGGTGTTCTAGAAGTCATGATGTGGGCTGTGTCTGTTGAATTCCCAGCGATGCAAGGGGACACACCCTGTGACTCATTCCTTAATTGAGTGCTGATATTTGATTGTTTTATCGCGCACCTGATGGGTGGGTGGGGTGTTAGCGGCTGGTGGGGGTGAGTTCTATAAGGGATGATGCGGCCAGAGAGCTCGTCATTTGAAGACTCTCTCGGAAGAGATAGCGTCTTGCTGCAACCTGCGGTCCCAGCAGAAAAACCTTGTGATCCTTGTTGCGGGCGACATGGGGGATGACTCACTCTACTTGGGAGGTGAGTGGCAGTTCAACCACTTTTCAAAACTCACATCTTCTCGGCCAGATGCAGCTTTTGCTGAAATCCAGCGGACTTCTCTCCCTGAGAAGTCACCACTCTCATCTGAGACCCGTGTCGACCTCTGTGATGATTTGGCTCCTGTGGCAAGACAGCTCGCTCCCAGGGAGAAGCTTCCTCTGAGTAGCAGGAGACCTGCTGCGGTGGGGGCTGGGCTCCAGAATATGGGAAATACCTGCTACGAGAACGCTTCCCTGCAGTGCCTGACATACACACTGCCCCTTGCCAACTACATGCTGTCCCGGGAGCACTCTCAAACATGTCAGCGTCCCAAGTGCTGCATGCTCTGTACTATGCAAGCTCACATCACATGGGCCCTCCACAGTCCTGGCCATGTCATCCAGCCCTCACAGGCATTGGCTTCTGGCTTCCATAGAGGCAAGCAGGAAGATGTCCATGAATTTCTCATGTTCACTGTGGATGCCATGAAAAAGGCATGCCTTCCCGGCCACAAGCAGGTAGATCATCACTCTAAGGACACCACCCTCATCCACCAAATATTTGGAGGCTGCTGGAGATCTCAAATCAAGTGTCTCCACTGCCACGGGATTTCAGACACTTTTGACCCTTACCTGGACATCGCCCTGGATATCCAGGCAGCTCAGAGTGTCAAGCAAGCTTTGGAACAGTTGGTGAAGCCCGAAGAACTCAATGGAGAGAATGCCTATCATTGCGGTCTTTGTCTCCAGAGGGCGCCGGCCTCCAACACGTTAACTTTACACACTTCTGCCAAGGTCCTCATCCTTGTCTTGAAGAGATTCTCCGATGTCGCAGGCAACAAACTTGCCAAGAATGTGCAATATCCTGAGTGCCTTGACATGCAGCCATACATGTCTCAGCAGAACACAGGACCTCTTGTCTATGTCCTCTATGCTGTGCTGGTCCACGCTGGGTGGAGTTGTCACGACGGACATTACTTCTCTTATGTCAAAGCTCAAGAAGGCCAGTGGTATAAAATGGATGATGCCGAGGTCACTGTCTGTAGCATCACTTCTGTCCTGAGTCAACAGGCCTATGTCCTCTTTTACATCCAGAAGAGTGAATGGGAAAGACACAGTGAGAGTGTGTCAAGAGGCAGGGAACCAAGAGCCCTCGGCGCTGAAGACACAGACAGGCGAGCAAAGCAAGGAGAGCTCAAGAGAGACCACCCCTGCCTCCAGGCACCCGAGTTGGACGAGCACTTGGTGGAAAGAGCCACTCAGGAAAGCACCTTAGACCACTGGAAATTCCTCCAAGAGCAAAACAAAACGAAGCCTGAGTTCAACGTCGGAAAAGTCGAAGGTACCCTGCCTCCCAACGCACTTGTGATTCATCAATCAAAATACAAGTGTGGGATGAAAAACCATCATCCTGAACAGCAAAGCTCCCTGCTAAACCTCTCTTCGACGACCCGGACAGATCAGGAGTCCATGAACACTGGCACACTCGCTTCTCTGCAAGGGAGGACCAGGAGAGCCAAAGGGAAGAACAAACACAGCAAGAGGGCTCTGCTTGTGTGCCAGTGATCTCAGTGGAAGTGTCGACCCACACGTAGGGGTGCACGCACACACACACACACACACAAATACACCCACAAGCACGCACGCAAACACACACACACACACCCCCAAACAAACCCGAACACCGTCAATCCTACATAAAGTAATGAGGAGTCCAAGTTTCTGTCTCTACAACAGGGACAACTGGATAGTGATGGCTGCATCTCAGGATGAGCCCACACATGGGAAACATCAAGTTTTGGGGTCGTGAGTCTTCCGAACCTCTGGAGGGATTGTCTGTGTGTTTGTGTTCATGGTAGATGACATTCACTGTGTATTTCTGAATATGACCTACTGACGTGTAGGTTTGCGTGTGAGGTTATTGCAGGGGACTCGGTTTCCTATTTTCTCTTGGGGTATGTTTCATTCGTCAGTTGTTGGGCGGCACGGGAAGGTGAAATTTTGCTCATGTGGCACATCCGTGGATCATTCTCACCACCTTGAATAGTGGAAACTGGAATGCATTTAGAAGATAGGAACGGTGCTCTTCTTTCTTACCCTGGCTCGCCGTTTTTACATTGGTTTCTGAAGGGACCTCAGGCGCCCTGGGACTTGTGCTCTTGCTGGAACCCACATAACGCCGGAAACAGACAGACCGACTTGCCTGTTTCACGGGGTCCACTTCCAATGAGTCGAAACGGAAAATTTTCCCACTGGCGTGTCAGTCATTTGGAACTAAGTCCTATTGATAATAAAGAAAATCAAACACAGGAGTGTGTGTATTCAACTGAAATAAATTCAGAAAGCCCTGAAAAAAAATCTCATTTGGTGTGCTTACAAATGGCATTTGGGGAGATTCCGGGTCATTCGTCCAGCTGCGAAAGCTGCATCTCTGAAGCACAGTCCCTGTCCTTCAATCAGACTTACGTATCCGACGTGGTGTTTCCGTGGAAATGATTGTGGGAAATGGCCCCTTCCTTGTCTGTATTTGCTGATTAGATTTCATGGTCCCTTTCTCGTTAGGTGCAGTGATCAAAGTTGACCAACCCCAGAGGAAAGCTGCCCAGGGCACCACTCAGGGCTCCATAGAACCACAGAATCTTGGACGCAACCCTGCTCAAGCACCCAAATGTGCATACGAACAGGGTCTCCGTGTGACGTGTGTGAAAACTACAGTGTGATGAGCATGACTCGCAGACAGGTTATCGATTGGGCTCCCCTCAAAATCAGTTAGGAACATGAAAGCACACCGATGCCCAGGTCCCGGCTGCAGGAATAAGACCCTCCGACGTCTTGTGTGAAGCCACGGCATCTGCGTTGCTCATGCTTCTGGGGATCATTCTCCTGAAAATGGTGGCTTCTTTCTCCCTGTGGAGCATCTTTCTAAGCAGTGCTCCTTTCTTCCCCCAGGACACTTTACATCAGGCGCACGAAGCCTTCTGATGGACCACACCTGGCCCATGAAAAGACAAGGGAAAGAAACGGGGCCAAAGGTCACAGTCCTCTCATTCCATCATCCTCCTTAAAATCATCCGAATTTCATGGGCCCTGAAGCCAGGGCTGTTTCTTTAAAACTAGAGGCCTTGGCGCCGGGCCTCAATTCTGCCCTGTTCCTTACTGTCTAAGACATTTTGGGAAAATCCCTAGAGCCAGGATCTTCATTCCTGGTAAGCCAGAGAGCCTGAAGACACACCCAAATGCTGTCCCTCTTAGTTCAGGGAACATGTCCACTTTCGTCAGCATTACAATTTTTGCACCAAATGTGCTAACTGCAATTCCACCATACAATGCATAACTGGAAATGGAGGGAACATCTCAGATCATGAACAATCGATGCGAGAATCCAGGAGACACACGGCTTATTTTTGCCTTTTCCCTGTGAAACAAGGGCCAGCAGTAAAAAGGTTATGCTATCTTCTGTTTCACTCCCTGCTTTTAAACGTCTCCGATGTTTTCTTCTTGAGACAGGGCCTCATTCCCGTCACCCGGGCTTTTCTACGGTATAATTTTCCTTGTTTTCTTTTGTCAAAATTAGAACTTTTTATTTCATCTCTATGAAATGTTGAGCCATTATCACATACGTGTGGAAATAGTATCACCCATGCTGTGAGATACGTTGTTTTGATTTTCATCAGTTCTTTAATAAACAAAAGCTTATAGTTGGGATACCTTTGGATTTCTCAAGGTTTTTGTTTCATGTTTTCTTAAACTGCCGCCGCACGTCCGAAACCACTCACTATACAATGTCAGGACCATCTCTCTTTTCTGGTACACATAAATTTGGGGAATGCCATCAATTAGTCTCTCGGTGATTGCATGATTTCCCCAAAGTCTTTCACAGTCTACTTTGTGCACTGAGTATCTCTTCAAACTTCAGTGCATGTTTCTACCATTTGATGCTTTAGTATTTGGCAGCCTAGCTTCCACAAGAGCATTTCATGCAAAGACCTGTCTTGTTCTCCACTGGCCGGTAATTTCACTCGGATAGAGAATCAATAGTCTGAACGTGGAAAGGTCATCGCTGGAAGGTCTGTTGGATTCCACGGATCTCTCCTTTATTATTAAGGAAAAATATACGCTGTGCTAAATACTATACTTCATTGACTATTCTCAGGTCAGAAAGTGCACTTCAGACTTCTTGTGCTTCCATCGCTGAGAGGATGATGATAGCTGCCAAAAGTACATACTTGGAAGTTCATCCCAGCACAAGCGCACACACACACACACACACACACACACACACACACACACAGACACACACACGGTTTCATAGGTAAAGATTTCTTCCCTGACATTCTTTTACCTAAAATAAGGCAACTGTGTGGCCACTGTCCCAACCCGGTTACACTCATATTATATGTGCCTATCACCCTGAGGAGTAATTTGATTCAGGTTCTAGAAGTCATGATGTGGGCTGTGTCTGTTGAATTCCCAGCGATGCAAGGGGACACACCCTGTGACTCATTCCTTAATTGAGTGCTGATATTTGATTGGTTTATCGCGCACCTGATGGGTGGGTGGGGTGTTCACGGTTGGTGGGGGTGAGTTATATAAGGGCTGATGCGGCCAGAGAGCTCGTCATTTGAAGACTCTCTCGGAAGAGATAGCGTCTTGCTGCAACCTGCGGTCCCAGCAGAAAAACCTTGTGATCCTTGTTGCGGGCGACATGGAGGACGACTCACTCTACTTGGGAGGTGAGTGGCAGTTCAACCACTTTTCAAAACTCACATCTCCTCGGCCAGATGCAGCTTTTGCTGAAATCCAGCGGACTTCTCTCCCTGAGAAGTCACCACTCTCATCTGAGACCCGTGTCGACCTCTGTGATGATTTGGCTCCTGTGGCAAGACAGCTTGCTCCCAGGGAGAAGCTTCCTCTGAGTAGCAGGAGACCTGCTGCTGTGGGGGCTGGTCTCCAGAATATGGGAAATACCTGCTACTTGAATGCTTCCCTGCAGTGCCTGACATACACACCGCCCCTTGCCAACTACATGCTGTCCCGGGAGCACTCTCAAACATGTCAGCGTCCCAAGTGCTGCATGCTCTGTACTATGCAAGCTCACATCACATGGGCCCTCCACAGTCCTGGCCATGTCATCCAGCCCTCACAGGCATTGGCTGCTGGCTTCCATAGAGGCAAGCAGGAAGATGCCCATGAATTTCTCATGTTCACTGTGGATGCCATGAAAAAGGCATGCCTTCCCGGCCACAAGCAGGTAGATCATCACTCTAAGGACACCACCCTCATCCACCAAATATTTGGAGGCTGCTGGAGATCTCAAATCAAGTGTCTCCACTGCCACGGGATTTCAGACACTTTTGACCCTTACCTGGACATCGCCCTGGATATCCAGGCAGCTCAGAGTGTCAAGCAAGCTTTGGAACAGTTGGTGAAGCCCGAAGAACTCAATGGAGAGAATGCCTATCCTTGCGGTCTTTGTCTCCAGAGGGCGCCGGCCTCCAACACGTTAACTTTACACACTTCTGCCAAGGTCCTCATCCTTGTCTTGAAGAGATTCTGCGATGTCACAGGCAACAAACTTGCCAAGAATGTGCAATATCCTGAGTGCCTTGACATGCAGCCATACATGTCTCAGCAGAACACAGGACCTCTTGTCTATGTCCTCTATGCTGTGCTGGTCCACGCTGGGTGGAGTTGTCACAACGGATATTACTTCTCTTATGTCAAAGCTCAAGAAGGCCAGTGGTATAAAATGGATGATGCCGAGGTCACTGCCTGTAGCATCACTTCTGTCCTGAGTCAACAGGCCTATGTCCTCTTTTACATCCAGAAGAGTGAATGGGAAAGACACAGTGAGAGTGTGTCAAGAGGCAGGGAACCAAGAGCCCTTGGCGCTGAAGACACAGACAGGCCAGCAACGCAAGGAGAGCTCAAGAGAGACCACCCTTGCCTCCAGGTACCCGAGTTGGACGAGCACTTGGTGGAAAGAGCCACTGAGGAAAGCACCTTAGACCACTGGAAATTCCCCCAAGAGCAAAACAAAATGAAGCCTGAGTTCAACGTCAGAAAAGTTGAAGGTACCCTGCCTCCCAACGTACTTGTGATTCATCAATCAAAATACAAGTGTGGGATGAAAAACCACCATCCTGAACAGCAAAGCTCCCTGCTAAACCTCTCTTCGATGAACTCGACAGATCAGGAGTCCATGAACACTGGCACACTCGCTTCTCTGCAAGGGAGGACCAGGAGATCCAAAGGGAAGAACAAACACAGCAAGAGATCTCTGCTTGTGTGCCAGTGATCAGAGTGGAAGTACCGACCCACACTGAGGGGTACACACACACACACACAAA